>NC_000003.12:67282727-67585757 GCF_000001405.40 Homo sapiens | reverse complement strand
CTTCTGACCTCAAGTGATCTGCCCGCCTCAGCCTCCCAAAGTTCTGGGATTACAGATATGAGCCACTGCGCCCAGCCTAAAGCAGTACTCTTGGTGGACAAGGGAACATGAGTGGTAGCTGGGAGAAGCATCAGCATGATGGTGATATGTACATTCCTGGTGTAGTCAGCTCTTACATTCTAGTGGCTTATTGGCATCCAGTGGCAGCTGGAGACAGATGATGGAATATCCGTGTTCTGAAGAATGTCCTTTGCCTGCTCTCTAAGCATCATAATACTTAACTTGTACCAGTATTTACAGTGCCATCATTTTTCATTATATGTTCCCTTATCCCATTGGAGCACAAAGGGAGCAGAGAGGAGCACTGAGTGTCCGCTTCATGTTCTTTCCATGGTCAAGACCATGTGTTTTCACAACTAATTTAAGAGAGAGTTGGAGCCAAAGCAACTTTAACCTAATTCGAAGGACTGGATTGGTGGGATCAATTGGAAAGTTCCTGAGGCAGGAATGTTCCTGGAGGTATCAGGTGATTAGAGAAAGAGAGCAAGCAAGCTGTGGGACATGAGGTGAAATTGGAGCATGGAGAATAACCTGTAGGGCTCTGTATGCAACTAGAGGGGTGCTGGCTTTTGCAATGGTTTTATTTATTGATTTATTTTTAATTTTCTGACAAGCTAATTAAGTTATGTATTGTATATCATAAAATTTACCCATTTCAAGTATATCCTTCAATGGACAAAATGTACTGTATCCATAGGATATGGTTTGGCTGTGTCCCTACCTAAATCTCATCTTGAATTTTAGTTCCCATAATCCTCATGTGTCTTGGGGAGGGACCCGGTGGGAGGTAATTTAATCATGGGGGCAGTTACCCTCATGCTGTTCTTGTGATAGTGAGTGAGTTCGCATGAGATCTGATGGTTTTATAAGGGGCTCTTCCTGCTTTGCCCGGCACTTCCCCTTCCTGCCACTGTGTAAAGAAAGATGTGTTTGCTTCTTCTTCTACCATGATTGTAAGTTTCCTGAGGCCTCCCCAGCCATGTGGAACTGTGAGTTAATTAAACCTCTTTCCTTTGTAAATTACTCAGTCTCAGGCAGTTCTTTATAGCAGCAGTTACCAGAGAGTATTCAATTATATGGACTAATACACCACACAATGGAATACTCTTTGGCAACACAAAGAACAAACTATTAATACATTCAACAACATGAATGAACCTCAAAAACATGGTATCATGATATTAAGTGAAAGAAGTTTAGTTCCATGATGTTTAGTAAATTTACCAAGTTATATAACCATCACTGTAGTCCAGTTTTAAAACATTTCATCCTCCAATAAGATTCCTTATGCCCTTTACTGTTAATCCCATTACTCCTGCCAGCCCCAGCAACCATTAATCTGCATTGTGTCCCTATAGATTTGTCTTTTCTTTAAATGGAATGCTACAGCATGTGGTCTCTTGTGTCGAGCTTCCTTCACTTAGTATCATATTTTTGAGGTTACTTCATATTGTTGAATGTATTAATAGTTTGTTCTTTGTGTTACCGAAGAGTATTCCATTGTATAGATACAGCACATTTTGTCCATTTACCAATTGGTAGATATTTATGTTGATTTGAATTTTTGGCTATCACGATTAATGCTGCTATGAACACTTATGTCCAAGTCTTTATGTGGAATGTATTTTTATTTCTCTTGGGTGCTGTGATAGACAGAATTCTGGCCCCAAGACTTTTACCCCTAGTTTTGTGCCCTTGAATATGTGGTATTACATGGCAAAAAGGACTTTGCAGATGTAGTTGAGGTTACTATGCAGTTGACCTTAAGATCAGGAGATTATCCTGGATTAACTAGATGGACCCAGTATGATCACATAAGCCCTTAAAAGCACAAGAGGAAGTAGAGGAAGTCAGAAGAGAAGTTTAGAGAGGTATAGCAGAAATCAAAGACATTTGAAGCCTGAGAAGGATTTGATGTACCATTGTTGGCTTCAAGATGAGGGCCTTGTGTCAAGGAACTGGATACCTCAGTCTTGTAGCTGCAAGGAACTGAATTCTGCCACTAACTAGTAAGGTGGGAAGAAGTCTCTAAGCTGCAAATAAGAATCATAGTTCCAGCCAGTAGCTTGATTTTAGCTTGGTGAGACTCTAAACAGAAAATCCAGTTACATCCTGCCAGACTTCTGACCTGCAAACACTGTGAGACAATAAATGAGCATTGTTTTAAGCCTTTACATTTGTAATAATCTGCCACGACAGCAAAAGTAAACTAAAACAGGTAGATCCCCAGCAGTGAAATTGCTAGATCTTATGGTAAATTAAGACTTTGAGAAACTGCAGTGGTTTTGAGCTCAAGGTGACATGATATTTTAAAAGGATCCTTTCGCTGAGCCGAAATTGGCCTGTAGGGAGCCAAGAGCAGAAGCAGGAGACCAGTGAGGAGGCAGGCAAGCGGGGAGGATGGTGGCTCTCCCTAGGGTGGCTCTTCCAAGTTGGAATTTGGACAGGGCAATGGATGACAGAGGCATCTGCAGCAGGTTTGGCCCTCTGCTGGAAGTGGCATGGCCAGAGATGGTGTGGCAGGAGGTGGTATCCCAGAGCCTTGGTGATTGAACATACCAAGGCCACTGGTGAGTCTCAGTGGGAGGCTGAGGCATCAGAGGAGAGGGAGGTATGTCATGGACTCAGTGGTAAAAGAAAGACAGTGTAAGGTATTTTCCCTTTTGTCACTGCATACAAGTAACTGCCATTCACTACCCTGAGACAGTTGAGTTACTGGAGGGAGGTGATGGAAGTTTGATGGAAGAAAACAAACATCAAAATGAATAGACTGAGAGTTGCCTTATGGGAGAATTATCGTGTGATGTAATAAAAGGTGTTTTTTTTGGTGGGGGAGGGGAATGTCATTCCACCAAAATGAATGGTTTAGATGTGTGGTGTAGTCAGTCAGAATGGCTACTAGTAAAAAGTCAAAAATAGCAGATGCTGGCAAGATTTTGGAGAGAGGGGAACACTTATACACTGCTGGTGGGAATGTAGATTAGTTCAGCCTTTGTGGAAAACAGTTTGGCGATTTCTCAAAGAACTTAAAACAGAACTACCTTTCAACCAGCAATCCCATGATTGGGTATATACCCAAAGGAATGTAAATCATTCTGCCATGAAGACACATGCACATATATGTTCATTGTAGCGCTATTCACTATAGCAAAGACATGGAATCAACTTAGGTGCCCATCACTGGTAGACCGGATAAAGAAAATGTGGTACATATATAGCATGGAATACTATGCCACCATAAAAAAGAGCAAGAACATGTCTCTTGTAGCAACATGCATGGAGCTGGAAGCCGTTATCCTAAGCAAACTATCCTAAGGAACAGAAAACCAAATACTGCATGTTCTCACTTATAAGTGGGAGCTAAACATTGAGTACATATGGACACAAAGAAGAGAACAACAGACACTGAGGCCTACTTGAAAATGGAGGGTAGGAGGAGGGTGAAGATTGGAAAACTACCTATCAGGTACTATGCTTATTACCTAGGTGACAAAAAATCTATATAACAAACCCCTGAGACATGAAATTTACCTGTATAACAAAACTGTACATGTACCCCTGAATGTTAAATAAGTTTTTTTTAAAGAAATATGGTATATTAATATGCCATGCACATGGCAAAATTTCTCTGGTACTTATTAAGTGTTAAGTACAAAACTTTCAAAGGATCTAGCTTGGTTTAACCTGAGAACTAAACAGAGTTCCTAATTTGGCTTCTTAATTTGGGTATTGTAAGTTAATATTTAGTGCTCTGACTTTTTGGGAGCTAATTTACAACTCTTACTGATTTACCATTTCTGCACATTAAATGCATGTCTGGTGATTAACTGTATTGTTAGAAGTCATCCTTACCTGACTGAATCCTATAAGTTGCCTTAAATACCACCGGGTCTTTCTATAATTATTCTTTCCTCCCGTAGGTACTTTAGTGCTCACATCTCCTTAGCCTAATACTCCAAGAAGTGTCTCTGACTTTCCATACTCGAGTTAGGCGTCATTTTGAGATGCTGCCACTGCACTTTATACATCATGCATTCTTTTGTCTTTGTTTTCTTTTCATCTGTCTCCCTAACTTGATTTTGAGCTTGAAAAGTTCAAGGCTCACTTTTCACCATCACAGCTTTGGTGCAAAGAACTTGCAACAGGAAAGTGCTCAGTAAATACTGATTGAATTAAAGCAAAGAATTGCAGCCATCACTTCATTGCATGCCCTCCTCTTCTAAAAAATACTGAATGTTTAATCTCTTAGAGAAAGATTAAGTGTCCAGAGAAAGTCACTTCTCATTGACAGACCTTCCAGTCCTTTTGACAAACAAATATGGCAGAAGACAGCCCCATTATGTTGACCATAGACATGTGTGTGACACATCTGCTTACCAAGTCTTATTTTCAGTATTAACAAATAGCTGGGTACTACGTACTTTTGATCTTGTGCCTTCTTAATTTATCTGCATTTTTGGACTTTACTCTTGAGAAAAAGACCACCATGGGAATGACTAAAGAAAGTGCTAACCAGCGTTGGTGACATGCGCAGTAACTCCCTTTGCATCAGCACACAGAGATACATGTGTGAGAAATATCTTTATTAGAAAAGTGACTGGATATCCAAGTGTTAAAAGATTAAGTATTCTTCAGAAGAAGTTAGCACCATTTACCTTACAAGGTACCAGAGAGGGAGGATCCTTGATTTCAGGAACACAAACACAATTCTTAATAGATACAGGTGGTCATATTTTCGGAAGGTATTTCCCAGGCTTCCTGTTCATATACCCATTTAGGATGATTGCATGTTTTCCCCCTATTATAAACAGCTCTAAACAATTTCCCACAAACAGCTCAATTTAATTTGACATTTATTGGGTTACACTTGACATTTCCAAGTGCAATAGGAATTTTTTTTTCTCCCTGACAACTCACTTGTGAAATTATGATTGACGGTCTATAATATTCAACTCAACTGTGTTCAAAACTGACCAATGATTTTGGAAGATGAAACAGCTTCAAATTTTATGACCCATAGGTAACGTTCGCACCCTGGAAGTAGAGATAATAGTTAATCAAGGGACAATCTCTGCCGTTTGCCTGTTGTCTCAGGCTTCATTTCTGGACTCAGCTTTGGCCAGCTTCCATACATCTCTCCCAGTGCCCCGAGGAGGCACTTAGCAAATGTTGGGTGAAAGAATAAAGGTAGCCACTTTGAAGATGTATCTTTCATTATATTTATCTTTTTAGCACTCTTTTCCTCAATTTAATCAAAAAAAGCTTATTGAAAAATTTTTCAAAAAATAAAATATGAAGAAGAACAGGTAAAATTTTCCCACCCAGATGTAATCACTTTTGTCAGTTTGTGGTGTGACCTTCCAGACTTACATATGAATGTGTAAGTGCATACACACAGCCACGAAACATGGCTGTATCTGTCTGTGTTATGAATGAAATATATATATCATGGCAACAGGTACTGGTGTGGGCTTCTCCTATGTTGCTTATCTGAATATGCTAGAAAAAAAAGAGGAGGGATTTTTACGTTGTATTCTTTATTCCATGAAGTTTGATTTTTAAAAATGTATTAGGATATAGTTGTATAGTAGTAACATAATTAAGAAATAAAGATGGATAAAACCATAAAACATAAATATATTGAGATTTGCTACAGTATATTCTAATTTGATGGTTTCTCATTTATTTTTATTTTTTTCTTTTTGTTGACTCACCTCCTTGATTTTTAAGTCTTGTGGAGTTGTACTGACTGACATCTGTGACTTAAATATTTAATAATGTGTCTTTCTGTTTATGTATCTCAGAATAATAGGTACCATTTTACCTTGTAACTCAATGTCATGTGTTTTCCTATAAACAAGGTAAGTTAATTTTTTTAAACATACTAACTTTATTTCAAAGGATAACATCGTAGTATCTTTGATATCTGACGTGGACTTTATTTTCCATTACCCTGTTCAAGTTTAAAAAATTTGATTTTTTCTAACACCACCCTGATTTGTTTGAAAGCTTTTAGGTGCTACACTGAAGGACGTTAGTGCCCAGCTTGGAATATCACTGTGCTCCTAGAACAGACTTTCCAATCAGGTAGAAAGAGAAGCCAGGACAGAGAGACCCCTCTGCAAGTTTCTTGGTTTGTAATTTAGTGGCAGTAAGCTTATTAACATCTGTTCGAATTTTACCCCTGATTTTATATTGCACGTAGTCTGAGTAATAAGATTTTTAAAAAATGATGGGCAATAAAACTTGTAGTTCTGAAGGGCAGGGTGTTAGCCTATGATTACTGTGTTAGTCTCATCCAACTTCGAGTTTCATCTCAGAAAAACAAAGCTCTATGAGCACTTGGCATTAATTAAATTATGTGTAGAGAACTTATTTCTACTTAAATTAATGCCACTTGACATTCTAAATTCTTCTACTCTTAATCTTGTAATTGCCTTATCTTGCCATGATTTATAAATTGTGAATATGAGCCCTTTAACTTACTGGAAACTCAATTGTAAAATGATCTATTAATGAGGAAGGAAAATTTTTATTTAAGGGTGAAATAATTTTATTTTCAGCTTTATTTTAATTATAAATTCTGATATTGCACATAACATACTGAAATTCCTAATTCCTTTCTTTCTGAGGAAATTTTAGGGTTGCAAGATAGAAATTTTAGCCTTTGGAAAACAGTAAAAAATCCTAGAAAATATTCTGTATGTGTTCCAATTGATGCCAGGCCAGGTGTTCCTGGATCTTCTTAGAGAGCGGCAACACTGGTGCCAGGTCACCCCAACCTCCCTTGGCCTCTCCGTGTTGCTCTCCTGCCTGGGAACCCTTTTTCTCCTCTGAGGCCCAGGTTCAGTCCCATCAGACCCTCTGGGTCTCAGGCTGTTCCCGCTAATGTTTGACTGACTTTGACCAGTGAGAGAAGGGAGTCAGAAAAAGCCTGCAGATAAATTCCTTGCCTTGTCTTTCTTCCTCATCTCCACCCTTCTTCCTTCAGGGATGATTCCCAGACACAGTGGTTCGTATGGCCTCTCTAGAGACACCCATCTCCCATAACCAAGCTTCCGGAAAGCTGTGATCTCCGGTTCAGCCGTGGTCACCTAGGCAACATCCCATTTTGCATTCCTTTCCTTCCTCCCTGGCCTCATTGCCCTGTCCCCTCTCTTTCTGGCTTCCCTGAGATTCTACTCTCACATAAGATTTGGCATACACATTTTTCACATGCTTTTGCTTTCTAGGTAAGTCAATCTAAGACATTTTGAAAACATAAATTCTCATAATTATTTTGTCTAAGTACTTATTGGAAAATTAGTTCCAGCAGGCACCAGCTTACTCTTGATTAGTTGCCACTATTTCTTTACCTCTTGGATATAGAATAGGCTTTAAAATCATATATATGTATATATATGATTTTATATATATAAAATTTTATATATATAAAATTTTTTTATATATGATATATGTAAAATTTTTTATATATGAAATATATATAAAATATATAATACATATTACTCTGTGTTCCTTATATTATTGAGTTTATGCTATTTATTCATTGTGTAACTTATAAATCAATCATCTTAACCAAAAGTAGATGTGATTTTGAAGTGTTAGGAGTTAAAAATGTTGACCAAATCAGAGATAAAAGCCCAGAAAGAAAGGAAGATACAAAATAAACCCCTGGTCTTCCCCCCTTACTTCACCTGCTCTCACCAAGCACTCTGCAACTGATGATGCTTTTTGAAATTCAGATTTGACACCTTCTCTTCTTCCTATTGCTCTTAAGATCTTGAGAGGGTATCCTTCCTGATCTTGGCCTTTAGGTCTTTGGGCAAATGGAACTATAATTCCATTGTTCAGTAAAATTGAATGAGAAAGTGCATATAAAATATGTAGCATGATGGCTGGTAGTGTGGATGCCCCTTTACAGTAGGGGTGTACCTGGCTGCATACCACTTTCTGAGGCTCTGAAGAGTTCCTTGCCTTCTTTCTTGCCATTCCTGCCCTTATTTGAGGAAAAGGATCCAGGGAAGACAGAGGCTCTGGTAGAGATTCTTTTGGCTGCCAGATTTTTGCCCTGAGCAAAATGTGTTAGGTCTCCACAGGTTGAAATGCCACCAGATTTTAAGAACTCTATAATATGAAAAGTCTTTTATTTAGCATTTAGTAGCTGTGAAAATTTAATGTTTACATCAGCTCTCCTCCTGTGTCATTTCCATGTATGTCTTCTTTTACTTAGTGCAATTCGTTTTTTTTCTCTCTAGCTCATGATTCTACTTAAACTTATGAACCAAGCTCTGCTCTGAGTCCTAATTATTTTGTAGTAGAGAATATTCCTTAAAAGTCCTTTTATCTTATTTGTAACTTCAGTATAAGCACTTAACTTTTTTTTTTGTTTTTTGAGACAGTCTGTCTCTGTCACCAAGGCTGAAGTGCAGTGGCAGGATCTCAGCTCACTGCAACCTCCAACTCCTGGGTTCAAGCTTTTCTCCTGCCTCAGCCTCCCGACTGGGAGTACTGGCATGTGCCACCATGCTTGTCTAATTTTTTTGTACTTTTTAGTAGAGATGAGATTTTGCCATGTTGGCCAGTGATCTGCTCACCTCAGCCTCCCAAAATGCTGGGATTACAGGTGTGAGCCACTGCACCTGGCCAGCACTTCACTTTTGAGTGTCCTAGTTGGACTTAATTCTTTCCTTAGACCATCTACCTGGGTCGATCAATCAGTAGAGTTCTTTAAACTCAGGTGGTTAATCCATTTTGGGCTTTTTGTAAAAAAAAATAAAATAAAAATTAAATGACTGATATTGACAAGTGAAGTTTATTTGAAGCATTTGGTTATCAATTCTTAGTGAGGATTAGAAGTGTTCAAGCTCTGAATCAGGTGAACCTGTAGTATTTTCTGTCTTCTCAACTTACATGCTTTTCGCCTCCAACCCAGTTTGAGATATTTTTATTTAGTTGGCAGAGTGAGAGTAACTCTCAACTGAAATTCACAAAAATCAACAGTTGGGAAAAATGTGGCACTCAGTAAGTTTCTTCGAGAAGGTTTCTATTTCCTTAAGATGATCTCCATCTTACATAGCAGAGCAGTTGTCTCAAGCGGAGGGTGTTCTTGACATTTCCCTAAACTGTTGCAGCTCTTCAAGATTGCTCTGGAAATTTAAATATATTTATCTCAATTCATCTATTTTCTATTTAAAGAGGAGAATGTTTCAACACACTTGTGAATGGGAAATACTTCTGAAAACTCTGTTCAATTCTGAATCAAGAAAATTTCCTAAGTCTACCTTTTTTTTTTCCTGTTAAAACTTGGACCAATTGTTTACTGGCCCACATGAAATACTTCTGTGATTTGCTTTATACAAATCCTACCATGGCATACTGTGTCTCTCTCTTCAGAGAGTCGCTAGGTTATAAAGGAACAATATCCCTGCAAACTCAATGAGCCTGTCTTTCAGACAAGTCTTGATCTGGGATTTCTTGAGAACTGTGTTGACCTGTGTTATCTGTTTGCTACTCTGTTGATTGGAGTATTTCTTAGTTATTATTCTCATGGCAATAGTCATGTCCACAGAAACTCTGCTGTGGAAATAGCAAGGAGACCCATCTTTTCCAATATATTCATTCAGCTGCAGTTACATGGAAATTCAAGATAAAAAGGACTCAGCTGTCAGTGAAAGAGGATTCCCAGTCAAGGCCCCTGCATGGAGGTACCTATATTTCACGTGACAAGAATGGCCTGATGATAAGTGCCTAGTTTCTCTGTTTCAGTCCTTTAGGAATCCAGAGAACAGCTGCCCCTAGAATCCACTAGAATTCCACTAGATTCATGTTATATCACCCATTTTCTTCAAATCTGTCTAAATGAGATGGACTTTTTTTATTCTTAGGTTCAGTAGCAATAGCATAATTGTAATAATTTCCCAAGAACACATGCTTCCTACCAGGATAATTCTCATAGGTGTCCTTGTTGGCTAGCTTTCTTTTTTAATAAGTTATTCTTAAAACAACTTTATAGAAATGCAGTTTATGTATCATTAATTTACCCATTTCAAGTGTATAATTCAGTGATTTTTAGTAACTTCATTGAGTTCCACAACCATCACCATAAATTACTTTTGGAACATTTTCACCCTCCCATAAGATCCCTAATGCCTGTTTGATGTTAATTGCCATTCTCACCCCCAGCCCCAGGCAACCCCTCATTCACTTTCAGTCTCTAAGTTTGCCTTTTCTGGACATTGCATATAAATGGAATCATATGATATGTGGCTCTTTGTATCTGGCTTCATAGCATACTGTTTTTGAGGTTCTTCTATGACTTGGCATATATCAAGAGTTATTTCTTTTGTAATGCTGAATAGTATTTTATTATGTGGATAATCTGTTCACCAGTTGGTGGACATTTAGATTGTTTGCACTTTGAGGCTATTATTAATAATACTGCTGTGAATATTCATGTAAGTCTTTGTGAACAAATGTTTTCATTTCTCTTGAATAGATACCTAGGATTGGAATTATTGGATGATATTAGCTCTATGGTTAACTTTTTGAGAAACTGCCAAACTTTTTCCAAAGTAGCTACACCATTTTACAGTCCCCTTATCAATGCATGAAAGTTTCTATTTCTTTATATCCTCACTAACTTTTGTTGTTTTCTGTCTCTTTAATTTTAACTACTGTAGTAGGTAGAGAGTGATATTTCACTGTGGTTTTAATTTATCTTTTCTAACTGACTAATGCAGTTGAATATCTTTTCATGAACTTACTGACCATTCATCTAAATTCTTTGGTAAATTATCTGGCCATATAGTTTGCCCATTTTTTGATTGAGGTTTGTCTTATTGAATTGTAGGAGTTATTCATAAATTCTGGAGAAAAGTCCTTTATTAGATATGTATTTTGCAAATACTTTTTCCCAGTGTGTTGCTTGTCATTTCATGTTTCTAGTAGTGCCATTTGAAGTCTATAAGTTGAATTTTAACAAAGTCCAACTTACTAATTTTTTTCTGTTTTGGAGAATGCTTTTGATGTTGTATCTAAATTTTTTTTTACCTGAGTCACATCTCGAAGATTTTTCTACTGTATGTTCTTGTAAAAGTTTATTATTTTAGCTTTTACATTTAAGTCTGTGAATCTATTTGGAGTCATTTTTGTGCATGGTATGCGGTGAGAGTCTAAGTTAAAATTGTGCTATTGTCTCTACCATTTTTTGAACAGAGGATACATTCCCCAATAATTGCCTTGGCACCTTTGCCAAAAATCAATTGACTATAAATGTAAGAATTTATTTCTGGCCTCTCGATTCTGTTCCATTGATTTATGTATCTATCTTTATACCATGTGGTCATTAGAAAAGTAGTTCCCCAAAGACGTCCATGTCGTAAGCCCTGGAACCTGTGAATATGTTATTTATGTGGCAGAAGGGACTTTGTAGATGTCTTAACAAGTATAAACGTTTAGATGAGAGATTATCCTGGATTACTAGGGGGACCCAATCTAATCACAAGTCCTTAAAGGCAGAAAACCTTTCCATTTTAGGTCAGAGATGAGAGATGAAAGGAGGAGGAGGTATTTGAGCATGACAGGGGCTTGACCTGTGGTTACTGGCTTTGAAAATGGTGGAAGGGGGCCACTAGCCAAGGAATGTATGTGTCCTCCAGTAGCTGAGAACTGTCAGCAAGGAAACAGGGATCTTAGTACTACAAGCCCAGGAACTGAATTCTGTTAATCACCTGAATGAGCAATGACACAGATGCTACATAGTGCCTCCAGGAAAAAATGTAGCCCTGCTGTTGTTGCAGGACTTTTCCTTAGTTCAGCTAAAGATGGGGCTCTTTGTCCCACAGCCACAAAAATTCAGGCTCGCAGACAATTTGAATGGTGAGTAAGACAGGGTTTTATTGGGTGAAAAAGAAAAAAAAAGGGGGAAACAAGGATTCTCACCAGGCCAAGTCCCTGATAGAGCGCTTCCCACCAGGCCGTTTGAATCCCAGGTTTCACACAGGAAAAGGAGGGGCCAGGCTGCTTTCTGCTGGAAAGATCCTGAACTTCTCGAGGCTGTACCCCAGTGGGCAGACTGGGTGGAGTTTCTCCAGGGACCCCCTCCCATGTGGCTGTCTCACTAATACCTTGATTTTAGCCTGGTGAGACCAGTGTTGAGTTTCTGACCTACAGAATTGTAAGATAATACATTGTGTTAAGCTACTAAATTTGTGGTAATTTCTAATGGAAGCAATCAAATGTAATATATGTCAGAAACATGGTGACGTGATTACTGTTAACTTTATTAGAAAGTTTGAAATTTGAAAGTGAAAATTTTTCAATATTCTTTTCCTTTTCAAATTCGTTTTGGCAATTCTAGGTGTTTTGCATTTCTGTATACATTTTAGGATCTGCTTGTCAATTTCTGAAAGTAAACCTGCTGGTGTTTTGATTAGAGTTCATGTTGATCCTGTACATCAATTGTGGGAGTATGGCCATCTTCACAATATTGAATCTTCCAGTCTGTGAACATGGAATAGCTCTCCATTTATTTAGATCTTTATTTCAGCAATATTTTGTGGTTTTCAAGCGTATGTCTTTCATTTCTTTTGTTAAATTTATTTCTAAGTATTTTATTTTTGATGCTACTGTGAATGGCATTACTTTAATAATTTCATTTTTAGATTATTCATTGCTTGTATGTTGAAATACAATTGATCTTTGTATCTTTTATTTTGTATCCTGTGACCTTCCTTTTCTTGTTTATTCATGCAAATTGTGTTTAAAATTGATTCCTTAACATTTTCTCTATACAGAACTATGTCTTCTGTGAATAGGCCATGTTATGTCTTTTTGTTTTTTTCCAGTGTGAATGCCTTTTTTTTTCCTTCCTTGCCTGCTTGCAGTGGCTCAACCTCTACTACCATGTTGAGTAGAATCGGTAAGAGGCGACTTCCTTACCTTGCCTTCTATCTTAGGGGAGTAGCATTAATTCTCTCCCAGTAAGTATGATATTTGTCATATTCCTGGCTGTTTTAACCTGTAGTCTGTGGTGTGGTGTTGCAAAATGCAGAGTAGCTTCCTGCTAGTAAGAATCTAACCTGTTCTTACTGCTCTGGGTTAAATCATTCATTAACACTGAGAGAGTACATTTTTTTACTGTGCAGGGTATAGCTGCAAGCCAAGTTCTTTTGTTGAACAATTGTGTCCTGCATATATGTTTGTAAGAACACTGATATTTTAATGTTGTTGAAGCTCAAGCAGAAATTAGTAGTACTGCTATTTATAGGCTAAAGAACTATTTAATTATTCATTTATTCCTTCTTGTATTTGTTCCTCCACTTGGTCTTGTATTTTTTCATCCATTTGGCCATCTGTATCTCTTTTCTTACATTTATCCAAGAATGATGAATTAACATATACAGTGTGCTAGGTGTTGTGATAGGTTGGGGATCTGAGGGAAAAGTTACTCCTGTTTCTTGGGGAATTCACTTTAGATGTAGGATTGTAGGAGACACAGACACAAAGGGAATAAATTAAACCTTTTTAGTTCTCAGATATAATATGCATAGATAGGCATTTGACCTGAATAATGTCTGATGTGGGGCAATTTGTAATTTCCTGGAAGATGATCATAAAGGAAGGAGCTGCCTACCTGGCAGTTGCATTTCACAGGTGGTTGTATTAGGTGGACTACAATCTCCTTTCTGGATTGCTTGATTGTTTCCTTTGTCATTGCCTCTTATGGTAACTCTCATATGTGATATAAACTTTGTTTCTCTGAAGAAAATGGACACACAAGGAAGCCACCCATAAGTGGTGATAATGGAAGGAAAGAGCAACATGTGGTCTTGGTAAGAGAAGACAAATTTTGCATAGAAAGAAACATTTAATTTGTTAGTAGCCCACATTTATGAGATCCAGGAGTCCTACATCTGTTCTAAACCAAAGAAAAAGTGATTTGTGACCTTTTACCAGTAATCTAGTCAGTGCAAATATTTTTTATAAAATGTTTTACATTGTACAAGGAAAATTAAATGATATAGGGTGAACATTTAGCCAGTGTTTACTGTGGTCTAAATAGTTTGCTAACTTGTTCTAATATATGGTCTTATTTCTTCTGTAAATAATTCTGTGGAATACATGCTATTTTAGTTTCATTTACAAATGAGATAGTTGAGGGCCAAGGGTTTGGATATTTGCCTGACATTAAACAGAAGTGTTTTATGTGGAATTGGCATTTGGACACTGGCCCTTAGAATTCAGGGTGCTATTGTCTCACTACTCCAAGAGTTGTTGTCTCAGACCTGGGGTTCATCCGGTAAATGTCAACAGTCTAATGCAGGGTTTCTTAAACCTGATGATGTAGACATTTTAGGTCAGATAATTCTTTGCTGTGAGGGCTGTCCTGTGCATTGTAGGATGGTTAGCAGCATCCCTGGCCTCCATCCCCTAGGGTGGAGGTGGAGTACTAGGTGCCAGTAGCATCCCCCAGTTGTAACCACCAGAACTGTGTCCAGACATTGCCAAATGTTCTCTTCTGTGGGGGGCAAAATTTCCTCAGGTTTAGAATCACTGTAATTACCAGGTAAATTAGGATTACATCCTGTGGTATACTGAGAAGGAAGGAAATTATGATTAACTCTGTTTAGGGTAGATACAAGAAATGTTGCTGAGATAGTGACATCTGAGGTTTCATCCCTACATGGAATTATCCAAACTGCAAAATTAGAGGGCCCAGTCTCCAAGACTGTCTTTACTTTTCACACTGACTGCAAGTGTGAGGTTTCCCCAAAACACCCTCAGTTTCAACAGTTTGCTAAAAGGACCCACAAAACTCACTGAGTGCTCATGATTACTATTACATTACAGGGAAAAGATATGAAATCAGATCAGTCAAAGAAAGAGGAGACAACTAAGTTGGAGTTTAGGAGGATTCTGTACACCAGGTTTCTGTGTCCTCTCCATATGGAGTCAGGATGCATTACCCTCCTGTCGTTAATGTGTAACTGTATGTACAGAGTATTGCCAGCCAGGGAAGCTCACCCGAGCCTCAGTGTCCAGAGTTTTTATTGAGAGCTTCACTATATAGGCATGATCAATTGCCTGATTGCCCATGTGGTTGATTTCAGCCTCTGTGTTCCCCACTGTAAAACACATGATTGATCTTTCTGTCATGCCCAGCCCCTAACCTAAGACTATTGGCTGTAGCTGGCCCCACCTTAATTGTTCTTTCCCAAGACTAACATATTCCCATAGGGATGACATGGGTTGCCTCCTAGAAGTTGAGGACAAAAGCCAGACCACCCTTTGGGCAAGGCCAGATTTTCTACTACACAGTCCCTGACAAAAGGAACAAATGTGCATTTGTAGATGAAGTAGTGTGGTACGTTGCCACAGGACTGGCAATTCAGGGAGAATGTAAATGGCAGGCATATTAGTCAGCTAGGGCTGCCATAACAAAATGCTACCCACTGGGTGGTTTAAATAACAGAAGTTTATTTTTCATAGTTCTGAAAGCTAGAAGTCCAAGATCAAGGTATTGATTCCATTCTGAGGCCTTTCTTCTTGACTTGCAGATGATTACCTCCTTGCTGTGTCCTCTTACGGCCTTTCTTCTGGGCACTCCTGTCCCTGATGTCTCTCCCACTTCTTATAAGGACATCATCATCGTATTGGATTAGGTCCCTTCCTAATGGCTTTATTTTAAATTAATCTCCTCTTTAAAGACCCTGTCTCTAAATATGGTTACACTCTGAGGTACTGGGGGTTGAGAATTCAATACGTGAATTTAGGGAGGTTTACAAACAGCCCATAGCATTCTGCCTTCTGCATGCCCCCTCCCATCCCTGATTTGTTTCCTCTTGCATGTAAAATACATTCACCCTATCCCAACAGCCCCCAAAATCTTAACCCATCTAGCATCAGCTCTAAGTTGAAAATCTCATCTAAATCAGCCATGGATGAGACTCTAGGTGTGATACATCTTGAAGCAGAATTCTTCTCAAGCTGTGAATTTGTGAAACCAGACAAGTTATCTGCTTCCCAAATAGGCGAACAGGCATACAATAAACATTCTAGTCCTAAAGGGACAAATTAGAAGGAAGAAAGGAATCCTGGGGCCCAAGCAAGTCCAAAACCTAGCAGGACAAAGTCCATTGTATTTTAAGGCTTGAGAATAATTCTCTTTGTTTCCATGATGCTCTGCCTCTGGGCCCACTGAGGCCAAAGTCCAGCCTTCTGGGTCCACTTGGGCAGCAGCCATGCCCCGGTGGCTCTGAGTGATAGCCCCGCCCCTAAGAGTCCAGGTGAGAGTAAATATGATCAGATCTGTGTATAAGAAAAAGAAATATTGAATCCTACTTGATCAATCTTCATTTGCTTGGAGGTTACAGTCTACTTGGGGAGACAGGCATCTGGGCAAATAGTTGTAACAAACTAAGAAATAGTAAACTCTATGAGTGCTAGAAAGATTATGTCCTAAGAATTTAGCATTTTTAATCTGGAATATCCTCAGGGATATTTTGAGATTTTTGTTGGCCATGTATCTTGCAGGAAATTACTGAGTTAATGAATCATGAAATGAGAGAATTAATGCATTAGCTTTGGTAAGCTTGATAATTTCAGGATTCCAGTTAGGATAGGGGTGGGGATCATAACTGAAAAGCTCAACGGTACAATCATCGTTCCTAAATATGTTTCTAATACAGTTTCAACTATAACAATCTTAACTCTGACTTAGGAATTGAAAACTGAAAAAGTGGAAACTCCATATAGCTCTAAATTTGTTCTTAGAGCTTTCACTCTTTATTTTATTTTATTTTATTTTTTTTGAGACGGAGTCTCGCTCTGTCGCCCAGGCTGGAGTGCAGTGGCGCGATCTCGGCTCACTGCAAGCTCCGCCTCCCGGGTTCACGCCATTCTCCTGCCTCAGCCTCCCCAGTAGCTGGGACTACAGGCGCCCGCTACCACGCCCGGCTAATTTTTTGTATTTTTAGTAGAGATGGGGCTTCACCGTGTTAGCCAGGATGGTCTCGATCTCCTGACCTCGTGATCCGCCCGCCTCGGCCTCCCAAAGTGCTGGGATTACAGGCGTGAGCCACCGCGCCCGGCTCACTCTTTATTTTTTAAAAGCTTGCTGCTCTAGGAAGAATGAGGGAAGGTAATTTTAATGATTTGAAGTTTGTGTTCAGAAAATACTTATGCTTTCTTTTAAAAAGATGCCACTTAAGTTTTCTTTAAGACCAGGATGGAAAACATTCATTTTCTCACGTTTTCTCTCTCATTTATCTCTTTCTGTGTTGCTGTGGAATCTCAGACTTACATAGGATCAAAGAATCATATTACTTTTTAGTCTTTTATTTATTTTTATCCCTTCCTTACTTTGCTACTTTAAAATCTATTCGATGCTTTCCCTTCAGTGTTGTAGCCAGCTGGGTGTCTCCACTTGGCCCAAAACCATGCCCCTCAGTCTGTTTCATTTGATGGATCATTTTGGATTCTCCTTATTCTCTTGTCTTTTGTGTCACATGAATACCCTTTTCTTCAGTACATTTAAGCCCAACGATGAATGTTTCTTAAATTGTAACCAGTTCAGTGACTCTAATACCACAGTTCTTTTGCTGTCCTGGTCTCTCTCACACACACAACAGAAGTCACTGAAGACTGGTCACCACGATGCCCTTGTTCTTACATTTTGGTGGAATTTAATTTGTGCAGCCATTCTTAAGAGAGCTGATCAGTGCGTATCTTTTTCTTTTGCTGAGGCGGCTAACAGCGTTGTCATCATCATCTTTTCTCCCTCTCTGTCTGTTTTTAGAGTCAAGTACAATTGAATTAACTTTGTAAAATGATAGCTTCAGAAAACATTTTCACAAGAATAAAAAGACAGATTTTCTTTGTATATAAATAAAGAAGACAGTTTATGCTGGGAAATGAATCTTTTAATAAAACATTGTCCCTCTTCCACTTTGGCTCAACTGGGGAAAAATCAATTTTAGGGTCTTCGAATGTGAAAAAAGAACAAAAGGAAATGAAGTTTTTCTGTATAAGTGGGAATAAAGAAGGACTTGAATATAGTGGTTGCCAAAAAAGTTTTCAGATTACCATTTTCCTTTAGTCTTTAAATTCCTGACATAGGAGGCTGGGCAAGGTAGCTTATGCCTATAATCCCAGCACTTTGGGAAACTGAGGTGGCAGGATCGCTTGAGGCCAGGAGTTTGAGACCAGCCTGGACAAAACGTTAAAACGAAAAAAACTAGCCAGGTGTGGTGGTGTGCACCTGTAGCCCCAGCTACTAGGGAGGCTGAGACAGGAGGACTGATTGAGTCCAGGAGTTTGAGGCTGCAGTGAGCCATGATTACATCACTGTACTCTATCCTGGGTGACAGAGCCATACCCTGTCACTTAAAAAAAAAAAAAATCCTGATATAGGAAGTATAGTTCTGCCATATTAAAATGCAGCATTACTTTATATTTAAAAGTATTTTTAAGTTTCCATTGATATTTTTCCTCCTCCCACCTTTTTTTTTTCTTTTGAGACAGGCTCTTACTCTGTCACCCAGGTTGAGTGCAGTGGCGCGATCTTGGCGCACTACAACTTCTGCCTCCCAGGCTCAAGCAATCCTCCCAGCTTAGCCTTCCGAGTAGCTGGGACCACAGGCACACACCACCATGGGCAGCTAATTTTTTTGTGTTTTGGTAGGGATGGGTTTTGCCATGTTGCCAGGCTAGTCTTGAATTCCTGAGCTCAAGTGATGCACCTGCCTTGGCCTCCCAAAGTGCTGGGATTACAGGCGTGTGCCACCATGCCCAGTCTTTCTTGCCTTTTAAAGGAGGTTAGACATACTGCAATTATGAGGCATAAAAACATAGGATGGAAGGAATCTATAATTATAAAGGAAACTATTAATCTTTAATGTCCTAGGTAATTGTATCTTTTAAATTTCTTAAAAGTGTAATTTATTCACCACAGAGAGAAACATAGTGGTTCATCTTTACTTCTGGTATATGCGTTTTTCATGAATAAGATATAATTTAAAATTGTAAGAAAAGTGAATCATTGGAAGATAGTAGAGGAATTGTTACTTTGCAAAATCCACCATAAAGCCGGTTAAGAAATTATGTTTTTTACTTTAGAAGAAAAGCATGCATTATTTTCAGAATTTTTATAAATAATACATGATCATAGTTGAAAAAGTTGAAACTCCTTTAAGTTATTTTTCTGTGTGGAGATACATATGTATATGTGACTATTTTCATATAGATTTATTTCACAAAATTTTGATTATACTTTATACAGTTGTATTCAGCTTTTTTTAACATTAACATGGTATATGAGATTTTTTCCATATTTTAAAATATCCCCCCCAAATGTAATTCTAATGATTATACTAAAGTCTCTCATTTGATGAATTAAAACGTACTTAACCATTTTCTTCCTGTAAAGTTTTTAGGATGATTTTACCACTGCAAATTTGCAACCTGAGAAGTAAAAATATAACTTTGTGAGGTCAAAGACAGACTAGAATGTTCACCGTATTCGGAAAATCAGTAAGATCACAGAAAGGCTCATCAGCTGCCTGATGCTTGAGTAGCTCACTCAAGTGCTTGTCGTTGAATGCAAAATCTTGTCTTAAGTGGACAGGTGTGTGAATCCTTCCACCGCTATACTCTCCTTGCCTGATTGAGTCAAGGTTGTTACTGTGGTCCCTGGAACAGAGTGTGCCTCAGTAAATCAAATATAACAAAAGGAAGGAATGATTTTCAGATAGGATAGACAGCTAAGATGAACAAGACTTTTAGAACATTTCCAATTTGAGCAGTGAATCTGCCTTGTGGAAGCTCAAAATGTACTTTAAGTGACAGCTGCCGTGTAGTGTTCAATTCACCCTTTTTCACCAATGCATTTAGTAGACCATTGTGGAGAGGCTCCAAGGTGCTAGGCGCTAGTGAGAGTGCTAGGGATACGTTGTGAATGAGACATTGTTCCTGCACCTGAGGAGCTCACAGGTTATGGAGGATGACAAATTACTCTTGTACAATATGATAAACATCACAGTGGAAATTTGGATAAATTATTGTGGCAACCAGAGAGTTTACAAACTTTAGCTAGAGAGTCAGAAATGCTTCTCAGGGGCAGTGGCATATCTCATGCTGTTGGCAATGAAGGGTATTTGTTTATATGCCAATGTTACACAGTTTGTACTTAAGCCAGTGGCCAATGAAATAGGTTAGTTTTTAATTTTTTAAAAGTATGGCATATTTGTATTTTAATAGCTAATATTGGGTTATACAGTTGGGGTAAGACTGAAATAATAAAATAACTACTTTTCACATAGATATTTCCAAGGCACCCTGTAGTGCTACAGTACATTGATTTAAAAGAAGACTATATTGTATTTAGTAGAGTTTTTATTACTAACTCTATATAAATCAGGAACTATATAGAGTATATGTGACTAAATCAAATAGTTTATGAAATTATTTGTGTGGAATGACCTTTCTCCCCTAGACATAATCCTAGTGAAATCAAGGAACCTGTTTTATTTGCTTCCTTATACTCAGCACCTAGTGCAGTGACCAGCACGTAGCACATATTTAATGTGTTTCCCTGTCAAAATACTATTTAAGTTAAGACTTGATTGAGTCTGTTAGGTACCAGAGTCACTCACTCATTACTTTAATTTCAAATGCTACAGTTTGAAAACTTAATGTATGCTTGGTTGTTAAAAAAAAAAAAGCAGTGGGAAGAATAGAAGTTGTGTTAGAATACAAGGTACATTTTATTTTCACCAGAAAGGAAAAATATTGTTCTAAGATTATAAATAGCACGAAAGGCTTATTTTAATTATTTTAAAAATATGATACCTTTCCACTGCAGTACCTGGATTTCAAGCTCTGACTCAGGGGTGTCCAGTCTTTTGGCTTCCTTGGGCCATAGTGGAAGAAGAATTGTCTTGGGCCACATATAAAACACACTAACAATAGATAGCTCATGAACTAAAAAGAAAAAAGTGCAAAAAAATCTCATAATGTTTTAAGAAAGTTTTCAAATTTGTATTGGGCCACATTTAAAGCTGTCCTGAGCTGCATGTGGCCTGTGGGCCACAGATTGGACAAGCTTGCTAACTGTTTTGTATAGAATCTGAAACACAGATGATTAAGACAGGGATGCATAGTACCTGCAGGAGAGGATTTTATTTAGTAACTCATGTCCATTTTGGTGAATGTAGAGTTTATACCTGTGGCGTTTTGTTTCTAACTAGTTTCACTAATACAGTTTGCCATGCTGACATATTTCCTTCTCTGTTTTGGTAGATTACTTTGCAGGTTGCTGAAAGTCTAAGTCAAGGTAAAGTGTGAGGTAAAGATCAGAGTGAGTACTATTAATAGCGAGGGGAGGGGGGAAAGCTAGTGAGCCCTGTAGATCAGCTCAACAAAGTGTATATGCTGGAATCCAGTACTTTGGAGATAATCTTCCAAGTGGAATGCAGTCCAAAAAATGGACACTATTACTTCCTGTGCTGGCAGCCGCTCTGTTTACAGAAGGAAAGAGTATGTTCGATTGGTCAAATTACATTGCTGTTGCAGATACACTTGATTTTTCTAGTAGGAAAAATTATAATATTCTTAATGTTTTTCTCTTTTTATCCCTCTCCCTCTATTCTTTCACAGATATCACTTAATTGGCAAAAGAGAGCTTCAGGGACAACTAGTACTTCTTTTCTTTTTCTTTTTTCTTTTTTTTTTTTTTTTTTTGAGACAGAGTCTCACTCTGTTGTCCAGGCTGGAGTGCAGCAGCGAGATCTCCGCTCACTGCAAGCTCGCCTCTCGGGTTCACGCCATTCTCCTGCCTCAGCCTCCTGAGTAGCTGGGACTACGGGCACCTGCCATCACTCCCAGCTAATTTTTTTTGTATTTTTAGTAAAGACGGGGTTTCACCGTGTTAACCAGGATGGTCTCGATCTCCTGACCTTGTGATCTGCCCGCCTTGGCCTCCCAAAGTGCTGGGATTACAGACATGAGCCACCGCGCCCGGCCAACTAGTAGTACTTCTTTTCTAGCATATGCTAAAGTTCAGTTGCAGGCTCCTTAAGAAGTTAAGTGAGCCCCATTCAGCCTAAAAGGGAGCATATTGTACATTGTGTTCTGTACTTTGCCATTTTTTCACTGAACAATATTTTAGAGGTCAGTGTATAGGGAACAGCTTCATTCTTTTCAAACGCTTCATGGTGTTCTAGTTTATGGACGTATCATATTTACTTACACATCCTCACTGTCTCATTTTTCTCACTATTCCTGTTAAAGGCTAAATGTGTTATTCTGAGCTAGTTGAGGACTTGAAACTTAGGGAATGAGGAACAATAGAGCATTTTACACATGACGGGCCTTGTTCAAAGTCAGAACAAGAGGCTTGGAACTCCTTAAGAGACCATACTGTTTTTCACTGTTCACAGCAGTTAGAATCCCAAAACTAATTTTCTAATATAGCGATTTCTGGCTCTGGTTTTGGGAGTACCCAAGGTATTTTCCAGTCAGATTCTGTGGTATTGGGACATTTTCAGAGAATACATTAAAAAATGTATGTATTATATATTATGTATATATGTATTATATATTAAAATTATAAATAAACTATAATAGAAATAATTAAAATAATAAATAGAATGTAAATCGTACACATTATAATTCCTAAGCTATATCAAACATATAATTACTTTATTAATTTAATCATTAAAATGAAAAATGTGTAAATTATATAGTTTTCCATTTTAGAAATTACGGTATTAAAAGATATAGATAATTTTTTATATGTGTACATACATACACAGTTCACTAAGGTTTGCAAGACTTTTTAGCCTTAATAAGGATAATACTAATAGCAGTAATAGTAGGGACTACCACCTACTGAGCATTTAACTATGTGCCAGATGTTGTATTGAGGCAATTTATAAAAATCAAGTCATTTAAATTCTTCAGTGTCATTATGAGGTGACCAGAGTGGTTGTCTTCTTACAGACAAGGAAATTAGTGTTGAAAAAGTGTATGCAACTTGCCATACACTTGACCATTAACCATCGTGCTGCATCTTTATTACATAAAATTGGGGGAATGTTTTGCCAAATAAAATCTAAATTGGAGGCCGGGCGCAGTGGCTCACGCCTGTGATCCCAGCACTTTGGGAGGCTGCGGCAGGTGGATCATTTGAGGCCAGGAGTTCGAGACCAGCCTGGCCAACATGGCGAAACCCTGTCTCTACTAAAAATACAAAATTTAGCTGGGCATGGTGGCCTGTGCCTGTAATCCCAGCTACTTGGGAAGCTGAGGCAGGAGAATCACTTGAACCTGGGAAGTGGAGGTTGCAATGAGCCGAGATGGCACTGCTGCACTCCAGCCTTGGTGACAGAGCAAGACTCTGTCTCAAAAAAAAAAACAAACAAAAAAACTGAATTGGAGAACTTGGGCTTTTAGGGTATATTTAAAGTGCAAACATGAAGGAATGCCACTATGACTGAAGATTACACAAGGAAGAGTTTACAGTGAGAATGTTTGTGCTCTACTGGACTCTACCCTAAGGGAAGGGGGGATGAATGGTCAATTGATGTCTTTAAGTATTTACAGTAGTCGTTCATCCTCTCACTGACCTGTTCCCATTTCCCCCATCAAAAATGCAGAAGGGAGTAGGGGCAGGGGTGTAGGAAGAGGGGCCAAAACCTTGCTGGAAACCAAAGGCTTCATGGATAAGTGACTGATAAGTAGAGGAGGAACCTTTTCAAATGATGTATTGAGCTTTTAAAACCCTACAGTGTAATAGCAAACTAGCAATACACAAGATTTATTTGTAAGAACTCTGCATGTAAGTGTGTGTCATGTGTGCATTTGTCTGCCTTTTGAACTGGTATGTACAGGAATAAAGAATCCTAGGATACTCATGATAATGACAGCTATTTAATTTCCTTTGAATTTTGATTATGCACCACTGAAAAGTGAAACTGCAAGAATTTCTTTAGTCATTTTTATGGAAGGGATGGGAATAGAGTAGGGGGGCAAAAAGAAAGACAAACCAAGAGGGAATGGTTGATTGAATGTTGAAGGGGGACTTGTTTGGCCTAACATATTTTTCTAAATATTTATTTTTGCTGGAATATGAAGATACACTTAATCTTCCAGCTCATTTTTTGTTGGAACGGTTATTTAGCAAAGCAAGTAGGGGGCTGCTGTTGCTAAGCTTTTTGTTATTATTTTGCCACACAAGAGGATATTTTTTAAATAGTTGTTGGGAACTTTAAGACTTGCTGAGCAGGAAATGCCACATGTAAGGATGTCTTAATGTTGGCAGTGTTTTTAATGCAAGAAAGCAAAAGATGTTAAAGACCCACTTCATTTTCTTGGTGCTCATCTGTGTCCACCAGCATGAGAGTAAATAAATGTGGTATTTAATGTTCATTAACCCTTTACTACAAAAAGATAATAGGCACAGTGCTTGCTACAGTAGTTCTGACCAGTGCAGTTTGTAGGAGTCACTAAAACAAGGTGCAAGCAGCCCCTGGGAATAAGATAAAGCTAATATAATACTAAATGACTGAGAGGATTGTGTTGTTCTTACCTTAAGGAAGAAAATGTTAGCCATCAAAGAGGATTTTTTTGTGTTCTTTTAGCATCTTGTGGAGTCAGAAGCCTAGCATTCTAGATGAGCAAAGTACACAATTGCGTTAGTATTAACTTGCTGAGTTTGTGTTTGTTATGCTGGTTTTATATTCATTTTGTGAGTGTGGGTGAGGAGGGAAGGAAAAAAATGGAGTTGGGAGGGGAGCTTATCTGTTTTAATTGATCACTGACACCTAAGGCATCTCAAGGCTAGGCAGAAACTTCCACGTCTTGCTGTTTCCTAACCTGAAGGAGGGGGAGAGTTTGTGGTTCCAGGGATATGAAAAGGAAGACCTGGTGTGATGTTCTGTGTGTGAAGGAGTTACTTGGAGGAGGCACTAGAAAAGCAGATGAGGTTCTCCCACACTCCCAAAGGCTGAGTTTACTCCTGGGGTTGGGGGCATAGTGAAGAGAACCATTTAGGTATCCTACACTTACCTAGACACCAAGACTTGTACATTGTACCTCACCGGCTTTGTGTATTAATAATTGAACCCCCACCACAATGCTGTGAGGAGGCTTTACTTACCTTCCTGGTTGAGAGAGGACATCTAGCTTAGAGACATCTCTTGCATAGCTAGTGGTTGGCAGACTCAGGGCTTGAACCCAGATCTCACGTTCTTTACCTAACATGGCTATATTTATTTCCTAGGGCTGCCATAGCAAAGTAGCACAAACTGGGTGACCTGAACAACAGAAATTGATTGTTTCATGGTTCTGGAGGTTAGAAGTCCCTGCTCAAGGTGGTGGCAGGGTTGGCCCTTCTGAGGCTGTGAAGCAGAGTCTCCCAAATTTCTCATTTTTTAAAAGATACTATTGTATTGGATTATGGCCTACCCTAATGATGCCATTTTAGCTAACTGCATCTTCAACAACTCAATCTCCAAATAAGATCACATTCTCAGTTTCTGGGGATTAGGACTTCAACAACTGAATTTTCAGAGGTCCTGAGACACAGTTCAACTCCTAACATGGACTTAGAGTTTTTCTTCCTTGTAGCCATTATATAGATATATTTTAAAGATTTAATTTTTTAGAGAAGTTTTAGGTTCATAACAAAATTGAGAGGAAGGTACAGAGTTCCCATATACCCCTCCCCCGACAACTGCACAGCCTCCCCCAATACCAACATCCCCCACCAGCATGGTACATTCATTACGATTGATGAACCTACATTGACACATCATCAGGCCAAGTTCATAATTTACATTAGGGTTTACTCTTGGTGTTGTACATTCTATGGGTTTGGACAAATGTCTAATTATATATATTTGTCCTTATAGCATTATACAGAGTAGTTTTATTGCCCTGAAAATTCTCTGTGAAAAATTCTCTGCCATTATAATTTTTATTGGTAAAAATTTTGATGTCAGTTTCACAAAGTTTCACCTCTGATAATTTTATTTTTTTCTTTACAGTAAACATATAGATGGTAGTCTGGCTCTGTCCTCACCAATATTTCATCTTGCATTGAAATCCGAATTGGAGTCCCCTCCCTGTATGGAGGGAGGAATTTGGTGGGAGGTGATTGGATCATGGCGGTGGTTTCCCCTATGCTGTTCTCATGATGGTGAGTGAGTTCTCACAAGATCTGATGGTTTTAAAGTGTGGCACTTCCTTGTGCTATCTCTCTCTCCTGCTACCTTGTGAAGAAGGTATTTGCTTCTCCTTCACCTTCTGCCATGATTGTAAGTTTCCTGAGACCTCCCCAGCCATGCGGAACAGTGAGTCAGTTAAACCTCTTTCCTTTATAAATTACCCAGTCTCAGGTAGTATATTTATAGCATTGTGAAAACAGACTAATACAGGTAGTTTTCTTACTCGTTCATACTACAATCGAAAAAGACCTCTGACCTCTTACTCTACCTTCTCATGGTTCCTTCTGCCACCCTTGTGCACGTATGTTAGCTGTAGAAGGGATTTGTCATAAAATAAAAAATAATGAGATTTAGTCATGTTTTCAGCAACGTAGTTAAGGTATTCTTTAGAGTAAATCTATTAATACATTGTGATATTATTTGCTCCCACATAAAAACTTGATAGTTTTAAGAGTTGAAACCTATATGAAAGACTAATAAAATCAAGGATTTTTATTTTTTGTCACACTGCTTATCTTGAATAGGGTCTTGATATGTTTCATTTTTTATTTTTTAACCTCCCAGCTGATGATTTTAATAAAATAGGGCCCTTGGGAATTAACAAAATTATACCATATGGTAAGGGTAAAAGGATCATTGATCTGGTTAACAAACCAGCCTGAGTTTCCAGGGGAGCGACCCTTTCTCCAGCCCTCCTCAGCCTTGGACAGTTACATTATTGCTTAACAATCATCATCTGCTTTTAGTGGAACTGCTTATTTTTCTCCTTGGCTTGGGCAGATTGCCCCAGTGTTTCAGATACTGCCTTTTGGAAACGGATCAGTAGGAAATTTCTATTACCGGAAATCATCTGTTTCTGAAGGAGACAAACTATTCTTTTC
Organism: Homo sapiens; assembly: GCF_000001405.40. Classification (NCBI taxonomy): domain Eukaryota; kingdom Metazoa; phylum Chordata; class Mammalia; order Primates; family Hominidae; genus Homo; species Homo sapiens. The sequence continues at coordinate 67,558,591 of NC_000003.12, read as the reverse complement.
AACTCAACTCACTCTTGTGAAACAGAAAGCCCAGCACTTTCTCACAGCTGCTCTAAGACAGTCCAGCAGGGTAAGAACAGTGAGGAATCAAATGTACTACAAGCCAGGTGGGACCATAGTCCACCACGGCCAAGCAAGAAACTGGAATATCCATGCCACAAATGTGGAAAGTGGGGCATCTTCTTTCTAGAGAGCTACCGAGGCTGTTCAAATTTCAATTTTCTCTGTGGCATGTAAACCGTATTTTTTTTTTTTTTTTTGGTGTCAAAGAATAGAAAATTAGTTTTAATTGTTTCTTATGAGGCACCATATGGCTACTCTATAATTTTGGCTTTCCATGGAGCTGCATGTGCATATGGAAAATGAAATTAATTGGAAATCACACCCTGAAATCTATTATTAAGTTAATATAGCTAACAGCTTGTGGGGTGTCCTCACACTCAGCATGATGTAATTGCACATAATAATAAGTAACTATAAACTCATATAGGAGACAAGCCGGAATAAACAGAGGTCAAAGGGACAGGCTTTGGAAGGGAAGAGCATTAATAATGGATGGTGCAGCAAACGTTTCAGTTCCTCACCATTCACAAACCCAGGGTAGAGGGAAGCAGTTTAATCATATTCAAATGAATTAATCAGCAGTCTTGTGAATTTCACAGCCAAGGGACTGATTGTTATTTTGCAAACTAGTGTTCTGCAAGCCTAAGGTCACTCTTGGTAGAATCAGTGACAGTGATTTTTCAGGGGTGCCCAAACTTGCCTGTGCATCAAAACCCTCTGTGGAACTCTTAGAAACACTGAACTCTGAATCTAATTCCTGGGATTTTGATTCATTTGCTTTGGATTTCTCAATTATTAAGATGCACTACAAGTGATTCTGATGCCGCTCAGCCATGGACCATGGAAACCACTGATTTCAGTGATATATCATACAGCTCTATATATTTAAATGATAAAGACTACAGCTAGTTTGTGTTCAGTTTCCCTAATGTGGTTCCTAACCTTATAACAGAATAAAGTAAGTTCAAATAAAAACATGAGGTCTGCAACTTCATTTGGTAAGCCCAGAAATAGTGAACAAATAATTTGATGTCATCTGTGCTTTTTATGAAATTTGTTAGTTTATGGGTCTGTCTCCTTGGGCTCAGTGAGGGCACTGGCTGTTTTATTCACCTTGGTGGTCAGGACGTGGTAGGAATTCAATAAATGTTTATGGAATATAAATTTGAATATGAAAAGGAGCAAAAAGGTTATTCTCTTCATTAGAAACATCAGAACGATCTCTGTTCATCTCAAATTGATGCTAAGAGCCATGTTACGTCTATGTAATATGTGATATTAGTATTTCTTAAAATGTCACCTGAGTATTGTAGAGGTAGAGTTGCATGCATTTGATACTAGGAAGGAGATTCTTCCTATCCTTTATTCCTCTTCCAGTGAGGGAGAAGTCTGCAAACATTAAGTTATACTTAAAAGAAACATGTCTAGAATTCTAGTTGGGAGATTCATTGACCAGACTTTTGGAATAAACACTAGTCATCATGCTAGCGACAGGTGGTCTTGTGCATGGTAGAAAGGCAGTCCAAGCCTATGTCTCTGAAACCTGCTCTCATTTCTGTTTTCTACTTTACGATTTATGTTATCTCATACTCCCCATGTTGCCTGTTCTCCAGTTTTTTTACTTGTGTTATTTCCATTCTTCTATTCCTGCTCAATTTCTGCCTCAGGGCAGAATTGTGTCCAACAGCTCTTAAATGCAGCGCAGAAACTGTGATGTTAAAAACATCTTGTTATCCGGCCCCAAAACATGTTGTCCTTGGTAACTCTTACTGGTTTGTACATAAAGCAGGTTGGGATCTCATTGATGGGCTAGTGGGAAGGAGATAATGGTGTTATAGCAAAAAACTGCAGCAGAGACAATGGGAAGAAGGTCTGTGACTTTAGAGCTGAACAAAGCCAAGAAATATATGCAGATACAGTAGGATGTTTTGTGGCTTGACCAGCAGACACCACTAGCTGTCTCTCAGGGCTCCCGCTCTTCCTGAATAATAGAGCCTTGATATTTTAAAAATTTAATTCTCTATTTTGAAATAAATTCAAGCTTAGGGAAAAATTCCAAGTACAATATAGACATCTCCCATATCATTTTCATCCTGATTCCTCAACCGTTAGCATTTGAGAGGAAGCTACAAACGTGATACTGCATTTCTGCTAAACATTGTGGGTATGTATTTCCTAAATAGTGAAAACACTCTCCTACACCATCAGCATTCAGCCCTCCAAGTCAGGAAACAGTGTTGATGCACTGCTGCCCCCCAGGACACAAAGCCCACTGAAAGGTCACCAGCTATCCCAGTGGCGATTGTCCTTCTTTTCTGACCCAGGATTTCAGTCAGGAACACATGTCACATTTAGTTATCATGTCTATTGGATCTCTTCTACTCTGGAACATTTCTTTGATCTTTCCCTGTCTTTCTAGTCTTTGATAGTTTTAAAAAAAAGTCAGGTCTTTTTCTGTTTAGAACGTCTCTCAACCTGGATCCATCCAGTGTCTCCACATGGCCAGAATCAGGTCCCCCACTCGGGGAAAATGCCATAGAAATGATAGTCAAGTGTTTATATATGTCCCATCAGAAGGCACATGGCCTGTCCCACTCTGTTCACATTGGTACATGCCAGGTTTCTCCACCTTAGATTTGACATTTTTCCTTTGTAAGTGATTTGAATTTTGTGGGGAGATGTTCTGAGATTATGCCAATATCATGGTCCTTGTCTACCTTCCACCCACCAGTCTTGGCTTTCATGGGGTTGTCAATTGGTATTCTCATTTCCATCATTTGCTGGTTGGTATTTTAGTATAAGGAAGAGCCTGTTCTTCTACCTTATTTATATCATCAAAGACTTACGAATTCTTGTTTTATTCAGTGGATTGTCTTTCATTTCTAAGCCTTTTTGACATGGCTTCATCATTTCTTTAACCACTTCCTTACTTTATGGCACAAGATATCTCAATGTCAACTTATCCCTTTTTTGTCCCAGCCCTGGTATCAGCCATTTCTCTAAGAAACCCTGGTTGTTTTTGGGAAAGATTGTATTTAGAAACTAAGATCTGGGCACTTGTTTGTGATCATTACTGTTGAGGCATTACTGCTTTTAGGCCATCTCAGGAGGTAGTATGTGTGTATAGACATACACAAACACACATATATGTATATGTAAGTATACACACAAATATATATGAGTATAAAATATACACATTCATTTTACCCTCCCTATGTACATTTACATACATAAACATGCATCTGCAACCATTTATTTGTCTACCTGTGTTACCAAAAATATTGGGTTTATATTGATACTTCCAATTTCATTCCTAAATCTCAGGGTTCTTTCTAGCCTCCTACCTTTCCATATTTGGAAGTTCCTCCAACAGCAAGAAACTTGCTCTCATCCTCTATATATTATTTCCTTAATTTACTGTTATTAATCAGTGTGATCAGTTTCCCAGCTGTTCTGTCTCTTCTGCCCACAACCCCCGTGCTCTCCAACATCTTCAGTTTTGGGGTGCTGTCAGATATGCTACTACCGTGTCTTTGTGAGGAAGCTCCCCAACATCCCTCAGTGCCTGGGTACTTGATCTCCAGTATGCATGCTGCCAGTATCTTCACAACACTTCTTCTACCCCTCAGCACTTGTCCTCACGTACTAGGGGACCTGTCACTTTTTCACTGAATATATGGCTACCTGGAATAAATTATTTCCCAACCTCCCTTGTAACTAGTTGTGGGCGTGTGATTTTATTATGGCTACTGGTAGCCAGTATGACCATGAAGTGGAAGCCATATGTTGACGAACTGTGATCATTATGAAATTGCAACTCCAGCCCTATAACTCACCTTGGGACTTCATGTGAGAGAAACAGAAACTTCTCTCTCTTATGTAAAGTTTTCAACGTATTATTTTAATTTTTTGGTCCCTTAACAGCCAAACCGAATTATAACTAATATTGCCCCTTCTAGACAAGAAGGAAATGAAAATAATTCTGAATTCAGTCAGGCAGTAAAGAAATTCATAAAGGAGTGTAGCACCAAATTTATTGAGGTTACAGTGAGGGGTTTGAATTTAAATCTCCCTAAATCAAGTGACACAATTTATAGAAGTTTGTAAGAATTACAGCTGAGTGTAAAGAATTCTATTGCATGACATCAAGGTTCTCAGGCAATTAGAAAGCAACTGAAATTCCTAACAACAACAACAACACTCCAACAAAACAACATTCACATGGTTAAGTAAATGTAATAGCTTTAGCCTTACAGAGGGTAGCTGACTTCTCTCTGCCAAAATCAGACAGAATTTGGTAAAAACATGTAGTAGCACATCCTGAGGGAACCCCGGGATGCCATCTTTGAGATCACTCTGTATGGGGCTTCCCATTTGTCTTGGCAACTGGTAAAGATAGCTCCAACCTGGCTATCAAGAGCATGCAAAAAATCACACCTACCCCGACCGAGAGGGCTACCCCAGCTCCTTAGAGTTGTGACCTTGTCTATGACATGGGATTCAAAAGTATTTAGTTACTGGTTATGTTACTTTTAACCCAAGGAAGGTTTAGAATTTAGTAAACATGATAAAATTTCTGAAACCCATGATAATTAATGCTTATCAATTATTAGTAATCTGCGTACATTTTTTAGTTGATGTGTTTCTACTGTTTAAGATAACTCGGAATATTAAAGTAACTGACAAAGTAGATATTGATTCTACTTTCTATGTTTAGTTGAGTAGTTACCATTACTCTTGTAATTTTTATGTTGAAAGATAAAGTTTTTGACAAAGATTATAAACAATATTGCAATGCTTTTAAAGTATATGGAATCTTTTATTTTAATTTGTTAGGGAGTTACTGGTGCAATTTAATACTTAGTAGATTTTGCTTTCCAGGTCAGAAATTGAAGTACTTTAAGAAAAGAAAATGGGTATAATGAGTTTGTAAATGCAGTTTAAAATGTTTAAGAAAAATTAAAAATTAAATTAAATTTGTAAATGATACTGATTACTTAAGGGAGTTTAGTGTATCTAACTTGAATTATTTAAGTCCAAAAGCCCCCTTGAAAGTGAATTACATTTTAAACTTATAATTTTCAGCTTATAAGTAGAATGATAAGATTTGCAAGTTGAACTCAAAGGCTACAAAAAAGATGAAGTTTTAAACATTTGTCACTTTATTAAAGCAAATATTTAACTGAAGACCACAAGTGGACCCTTTGTGGCAAAGCCACCATGGACAAAGGGAACAATTCCCTGCTGCAGTGGCCATGATGGAAGATCTGTGGTGGACAAGAGTGCTGTCTTCACAGGGGCTGGATGCCACATTGGATGCCAAAGCTAATTTCTAGTGTCATTGTCTGGGCTAAGATGGCAAGATTAGGGATTGTCAGCCTTCAGTACCTGATCTCGATGCCCTGGGCAGCAAGATAACATTCATATCCACTTCTTGGTTGGGATGGGAGATGTCATAGAAAAAGCATGGGCTGTCTTACTGTCTGTTGAATTCTGGTGTTTTTAACAATTAATTGATGACAATAATTTCTAAATTATGTGATTAGTGGGTGGATTAGAAGTAATACACATACAAAGCATTCAGTATATTTCTTATCACCTAACAGGTGTTCAGACAACAGTTGCATTTTTTAAAGAAAGATGATGAGACTGCTGAAATAGCTTACAAATGATTTGGGGCCAAATCAGATAATTTAAGGTATAAAACACACAGTAGTTTACATTTATCAGTCACTTGAAATGTTGCCAGACATTGTGCAAAGTCTTTACATAGATTGCATCCTTGAATTCTCCCAATAAACCATGAGATATTTATTGTTATACTCTGTTTTGCAGATGAAGAAACTGAGGTTTATGGAGGTTAAGTGACTTATCCAGTTTTACACAGCTAAGTAGAAAGAGTTGAACTGGAATGGCAATCCACAAAATCTAATGCTAGACTACTGAACTCAAATCCACGTTCTCGTATTCCTATGTTATAGACATCCATGTCTGCAGTAACAGTGTTGCAGAGAAGTTAAGACCAGCCAGTATTGCCTTTACTTTGCAGAATTGCTCTCTGACTTTTGTACCTCATCAATTCAGACTACTGTCTTTTTTTACATGCATAATAAAAGTACTACATGAATACACCAATAGAGTGGGCCTTGTTTTATTATAATTTGGTATATTAAGTCACAAAAATGTTTGGTTAAATAGACAGTAAAAGGAATTGTCCTTGAAGCCATTAATACATGTGAGATACGTGATGGGCACAGCCTTTCATATAGCTTGAAAGGAAAGGTTTTTGTTTTGCTATTATTGGGTCATTGTGTTTTCCCCATTTTTTCTTTTTTCTTTTTTTTTTTTTTTTTTTTGAGATGGAGTTTTGCTCTGTTGCCCAGGCTGGAGTGCAAGTGTTTTCTCCATTTTAATTGACAGTCAGTTTCCCCAGAAGCCATCATCAGGAGTTCTGGTCATATTTGATACTGGGTGGCGTGGCTTCTTGCTGACCACTGTCACATCATGTTCCCACCAACTTCTTATATTCACCTGAGCTTGAATAGGTGAGAGTTGTGGGTGGCCTCTTAGCACCATACTAAGGTGGTGTGGATAAGGTTTCAGCTCTGGCTGGATCTTGTGCTCTGGAGTTGACAGCTGTGTGATATTGGGCAAGTGACTTTATTTCTTAAGTTTCCTCATGTAGAGGACTGCTGTGAAGATAAACGAGGTGAGGTTTGTAATGTCCTTTGAATAGCTCCTGGTGCATAGCCAGTGGTGAGTATGTGGTCTCCTTAAGACACAGAACAACAGTCCCAACCATTATAGTAACAATAATGGCAACATCAGTAATGGCACTGAAGGACAGATAGCTGTGTATGCTCACTCTGCTCCACAAAACGCCAGCCAAGCTTCAGTGTCTGGTTGCTTCCCAGCTCATTTTCCCTCCCTCCCAGGCTGCCACAGGGCTGGATCAGTCCCTGCATCGATGTTGGGGGAGGGATGTGCTGTGCTGATATAAGCCTCAGCCTGCTAATGAGGCCCAAAGTTGAGCAGCTCCAGACGGAATCAAGTGTTGTGTTCTCTGCCAGAAAATGTGGTGGATTTCCAAGGCCACCAGCACTAGCGGCAGCCATGGATATCAAAAGGGAGACTATCGAAAAGCAAGACAAGACACAGGCCTTGGGTCAAAACAAACTATCAAAACATAAATAAAAACATGGTGTGCATTTGTAGCAGGCGAATCCTATCAAGGATCCAGAGGTACTCATTTTACACATAAAAGCATTAGTCCATCAGAAGGTGGCAGGGCAGTACTAAATGTCTTTAGAATTTGGGCAGCTTTTGAAGGCATCTAACCCTTTTTAACTTTGTACTGTCTCATCAACCATCTCATCAACCATGAGCACATTTTACTTATTTCTGAATACTTGCAAAAAATACAAGACGTGAGTGTTTTATATATTCTTAACACTTGGCAAAAGTCAGTAATAGATTACTTATTACAAAAATTATTTTGCCCAATAGGCAACATATTTATCATTATCATCTACCATTTACTTGATATGTATAAGTATAAGCCAGTATACACCAAGTATTGTGTTAAGTATTTTCCATGCATTTCTGCCGCCGCCCCTGCCCCCACCCCCCGTTTAATACTCATAGTAACTCTTAAACGTAAGCACTTTTATTATCAGCTTCATTTTGTAGATAAGAAAATCAAGGCTCTATTCACTTGGCCAAAGCCGCTCAGACCCCTAGAAGGGGACAAAGCGTGAGTTCTAATCCAAGGCCATCTGGCCTGCAGCTCATGAACTTATCCACTGCACCTAATTATCTCTGGTAAGGTATCTTCTTTAGGAGAAATTTAAGACAGATGGTAAACTTGGTAAGACAGATGTACACAGAAAGGAGACGGTTTGGCTGGGTGTGATGGCTGACACCTATAACCCCAGCACTTGGGAGGCTTAAGTCCAGGAGTTTGAGGCCAGCCTGGACCACATGGCAAAACCCCATCTCTATAAAAAACAAAAAAAATTTCCAGGCATGGTGGTGTGCACTTGTGTTCTCAGCTACTCCCAGTTACTTGGGAGGCTGAGGGAGGATCACTTGAACCCGGGAGTTCGAGGCTGCAGTGAGCCATGATCATTTCACTGTACCCCAGCCTGGGTGATAGAGTGAGACCCTGTCTCAAGGAAAAAAGAAAAAACAAAAAAAAGGAAGATGTGTTAACAATCCTGTTTATAGATCTTAGATGTTGGTGTTGGGGGACACCTCAAGAGAGTGCATCACCCCTTTCTGCTTCACGAAAGGAGTCAATGACTTGAGATGCAGTAATGTGGCCTGAGTCTCACAGAGACCAATCATGTTACCCGCATGGAGCAGGTCAGCTAATTCTGGCAAGTGCAGATGTATGTGCCCCAGGCCCAGGGAAGAATACGGCTGGTGTTCAATCAGAGGATTAGCAGCTGAATTCAGAAGTGTCAATTTTGCCCGTTACTTTATTTTGAGTCACTCCTCCCATGAAATGAAGAAGTGGTTTAAGCCCAGTAGAGCTGAATGGTGTCTGTGTACACATCTCAGGCAGCTGATTTAATCTAATACGTAATAAGCTTATTTAAAAATAACTGTCATTTTCCCCATTTGCAGATACAATATACGTTCCTTGTAGCAAATTTGCAGTTTAAAAAAAAAAGAAAAAATTTATCCATTACAACCTTTCTCTACCAGTAATCAGAGTTAATATCTTGGCATATTTCATTCCAGATTTATCCTCAGTTATAGATTTGTATATGTACATATATTTAGTGGTATATATTTTGCACTATGCTAAGCTTTTCCCCCTCATAACAATGTACTGTTACTCCTCTTACCAGGTCAAAGAAACATCTTTTATTTAAATTTGAAAATAGTTTTTCTCTCATTATAAATAGTCATTGTAAAGAACGCAGATTATAACAAAACTATAAAGAAGGAGGTAAAGATCAACCCCTATTCCCTATAGATAACCACTGTTGATGTGGGCTTTATATTAATATCATTTCAGACTTTGTTTAGACATTTGTGTCTATATTTTCTAAAGTTTGCAAAAAGTAATGTACTCTAGTTTGTACCACAGATATGTTTTGGCTTTTATCTTCTAAGTACTTTCTGGTGGTTTCCTTTCAAAAATCCTGCAGGCTTATCAAAAGTCTGGAGTCCCATGATGTTAAGCTTCAGGCAGGTGACAGTGACATTGATAGCGTAGAAAAGCTTTTGGTTAAAGATAGTCGTTTTCGTCACTTCATTGCTTAAGTATCAGTCTTAAGCTCCAGGTATCATCCTGGCTTTTCTGGAGGTTGCAAGTATTTCCAGGAAAATTCAATCCCTTGTTGAAAATGGAAGAGCCACACAGAAATACTTGGGCAAGCGTGGTGCAAGGAAACTTGTGGATGCAGCTATTTTTGATAATTTCCACTGAGCTTACACAACATCATTACTATAAAAAACTTATATATAAATAATGAATTGTTTCTATTTCTAAAGAGTTACTATGTTCATGGCTTAAAAAAAATTCCCATTTGAACTCAGTATTTTGCATATAATTGACTGTGACTGATTTAGGAGTGTTTCAAGCAGTATTCTGATTTGGAAGTGGTAATGGGGGAAGCTGATTCCTTTTTTATACGCCTTTGGATAGTCTCATACCTGTTGGGTGCCTCTTGTAGGCCAGGCATTGGACATTGCGCTTTGTGCTAAGGTGTATAAATTAAATATTTTGTTATGCTTAGTCTCAGTAAGTATTTAGGAAGAGACTTGTGATCCCTATTGTCAATATTTTCGCTCATTTGTCCTAAGGATACTCTTGTAATATGTTCTCAGAAACAATAATAGATTTATTGATTTGGGAATTGAGTCATACAAGTATATGCATTTGTTAAAACTTATTGATTGGTACACATGAGATTTGGGTATTTCACTGAAATTAAATTTTACCTCTTCCCCAAAGGAACTGTACCTTATTTGGTTCTTAATGTTTATTATAAATTAATATTTTTAAACTCTAATATTTTTAAACTCTAATAACTGATATGGATACTGAAGAGTTTAACTGTACTGATGCACGGAACTTACTCTGAATTGCATGAAAAAATAAGATGGGTTGTGCTGGATTGAGAGATGTGACAAAGCACATGTACAAAATGTGAACAGTTGTAGATCTAGGTTATATGTGGATATTTACTAGTCATTTGACATTTCTATGTGATTGGAAATTTTAATAATAGAACATTGGGGAAAAATCAGTAATAAGGCTCTATGTGAGGAAGTTAAAGCACAGTCTCTCAAATAATCTTTCTGGCTTAAAAATCTCAACTCTGTTTCTTCCTAGCTGTATGACTCCAGGAAACTCCCTTAACTTCAATTGGGTCATTTGCTAAATAGAAATAGTGAATACGCTCAGCACAAATCTTATTTTTCAGTAAGCTCCTAGCAAACACTGTGATTATGATTTCATAGAGTAAAGGAAGTGATGATTGTGAATGAATGACCGTATGCTGAGGGCCTGCTATGTGCCTGGTACTGGTCATTTTCAGGAGAATGAGGCGATTTTGTTTTGCATCATGCTGTGTCGTCCTTCGGTAGAAACTTTCATACTGGAGGCGGTGTAAGGGGTGTGATTAGCAAAACTGGAGAGTGGCTTCATTAGGTTTGACAGAATCTCTCCCTGGCTTCATGGATCCCCCTTGCTGTAGCATCTCCTTTGAACTCCAAGGGCCTTCAGAGGAGAGGTGGCATCTGCTTTGTTAGACTTGGTAGCATTCCCAAGTCAGTGTTAATTTAGTTGATTCGTGAAAATTGTTCCCTTTGCATAAGGCTAGGACATCTTCTTTTCTGGAGTTATTCTGTTTTTAGCTTTTTGGACAGGTATCCTGGGAAATTCTTCTAGGGTAGCAAGATCTGCCCCCTCCCCACAGTCAAATCATGTTTATGCATTATGACAGACTGTTCCACCTCCTGCTGGGAGGCAATGAGAAAGGGTCAGGAACCTGGAAGAGGCTGCAGCTGGATTTAAGGGCACCAGTGCTTGAGGACGAAGGAGAGTATTTCAGGTAATTCTATAGATGTATTGTTTACTTCTGGATGTCCATGTTGCTGAAAACTAAAGTAGAAAATAGAGTAAAACACTATGTGTTCAGGGAGTATCTTAGTTCATTCTGGCTGCCGTAAGGAAATACCAGAGACTGGGTGGCCTATAAACAACAGAAATTTGTTTCTCATAGCTTTAGGGGCTGGGAAGTCTAAGACCAAGGCTGATGCAGTGTCTGAGGCGAGCCTGCTTTCTCCTTAACACATATTGCCTTCTAGCTGTGTCCTCACGTGGTAGAAGGGATGAGGGAACTCTCTGGGGTCCCATTTAGAAGGGCACTAATCCCATGCAGGAGGTCTCTGCCCCCACCTCCCAGTACTATCACCTGGGGGTTAGGATATCAACTTATGAATTTTGGGGTACAAGAGACCCAAACATTCAGACCATAGCAGAGAATGTGGGGGTATAGAAAAAACATTAGCCATATTAGCAAGCTGTGTGTGGATAGGAGGAATAGACTTATATGCTAGCTTTCCAGCTGTGATGATGCAATATGAATCTTTTTTGTTTGTTTATTTTTTGGGATGGAGTCTCACTCTGTAACCCAGGCTGGAGTGCAGTGGTACAATCTCAGCTCGCTGCAACCTCTGCCTCCCCGGTTCCAGCAATTCTCCTGCCTCAGCCTCCCAAGTAGCTGGGATTACAGGCACCTGCCACCATGCTCAGCTAATTTTGTTTGTTTGTTTTGAGACAGAGTCTTACTCTGTGGCCCAGGCTGGAGTGCAGTGGCACAATCTCGGCTCGCTGCAACCTCCACCTCCCCGGTTCCAGCTATTCTTCTGCCTCAGTCTCCCGAGTAGCTGGGATTATAGGCGTGTGCTACCACGCCCGGCTAATTTTTGTATTTTTAGTAGAGACGGGGTTTCACCATGTTGGCCAGGCTGGTCTCGAACTCCTGGCCTCAAGTGATCCACCTGCCTTGGCCTCCCAAAGTGCTGGGATTACAGGTGTGAGCCACCCTGCCCGGCCTGAAATATGAATCATTAGTGCAAATTTCTTGTAATGATTGGAATTTCAAAGGGTATCCTCCTGTAGGACTGCTTGGTTCATATGAAACAGGACTTGATTTCTGTGCCACACTAATACCATTGGAGAACTACTTAAAAGCTGCCAAATTTTATTTCAGTTTTACCAGATATGGATGCTAGCTCTTAAGTATTTTCCTGTGCTGTCTTGGGTGGTATAATTCCAAACTCAAGTCAAAAAATTTTGTATTCTTTTACTCCAAGAAGTAAAATTTATACCAGCTTGTTAATTCCCTCATTTCCCATTTATAACACTTGGCCTGACTTCCCCCAGTATGAATTCTAGCTCAAGCCAGGCATTGAAAAATAAGATGCAGAAAGTGCCAGAAGAGATTTGAATGCTCACATATAATCAGAAATGTCGTTTTGAAAACAGTCCAAGAAAGTAGGTTCAGGTTTTATGGCTTCTGTGGTTAGGTGTAGCACATTGATAATGAGTGTTCCAATTCACAGGGATTTAAGTGGATACATTCTTATTTGGGAGTGGTTCTGTGGGAGAGTGTAATGGAGGGTAGAATTTGAAGTAAATGTGGATCTCTCTGGCTGCTGGAACTGAAATTAGTTATCTGAGATATAGTCAAACATGCAAATTAAATAACTTGGAAGTATTGCAGGGAAGCAGGTGGGAAAAGGAAGAATGAAAAGGAGAGAGGAAAGGAGGGAGGAGGGAGAAAGGAAGAAAGCATGAGGCAGGGAAGGAGAGAAGGAGGAAACCAAAGAAAGTGGCATAAAGAGAAAAGGAAATAGCTATTTCTCAGGCCTTCACAACCCTTGAAAGCCAAATATAAACTCTTCCAAGTTCATTGATACTGCTCAGTTTCATCCTCCAGGATGTAATCTAAAGTCCCCTCTGTGTTTAACATTCGAGCAATAGACTTAGATTTCAAAAACAATGAATGCATCAAGACAGGCAATAAAAGAGCAAGACATTGCAATTTAAAACTCAGTGCAATTTGAAAGCAGCATAACAGTTATGCTGGACCTCAGTAGATGTGTGTATCATGGGAAAGTGGTTCTGAGATCTTTCATCTCTCTTGGGGTAGGTCATTCCTGGCTTCTGCTTAACTCCAGCATGTCATTGACCACTTTACAAACTTTAAAATTGAAGACAAATGCCTCCTGGATTCCTTTTTATGGCAACAACATCAAGCTGTTGTCTGGAATTCTGTATCTCTAGCATTTGGAATTATAGCAGATTTAAAGTATGGAATATGTGTTTCTTTGCAGGATGGGAGGAGGGGAGCGTATACTTTATTATTGTTGCTACTAAATAATGCTTAGTATGAATCTCACTGACCCCTTGAGGAACTTTTATAGGAGAGTTAGCTTACCTGGCTGGGGGCTGTTTTATCTGAGAGTTAGCTTACCTGGTTGGGAGCTGTTTTGAGACTGGCATGATAAAATTATTAGAGCTCTTAAAAGTATTTGGGGTAAAATATCTAAATTTAACAAAGATGATCAATGTATTTTCTATTTATATGCTGTTCTTGAACATAGGGAAATAAACTTTAATCTGTAGAAGTTTTCTGAATATCTGAAATAGCAAATTTGAATGATTTATAGTGCAGGATCCTGGCATGATTTGCTGCTTTATTTGAAGTGGTGCTATAGTGATTTCTAGTTTAAACAGCAAACCATGAAAGCCAAACAGAAATAAATAGAAAAGCAAAGTAGCCTTTTTTTAGTTGTTTTTCACTCCATGTCCTTGCTCTCCAGTCCCATCTTCCTAGAAGTCTCACAGCTCTTCCTCATGACGTTGGCCAAGTACTCTTCTCTTTATAGCTGTATTGGTCCATTCTCACACTGCTTCCCTGAGACTAGTAATTTATAAAGGAAAGAGGTTTAATTGACTCACAGTTCCGCGTGGCTGGGGAGGCCTCAGGAAACTTACAATCATGGTGGAAGGCGAAGGGGAAGCAAGCACTTTCTTCACAAGCTGGGAGGAGAGAAAGAGAGTGAAGTGGGGAGTGCCACTTTTAAACCATCATATCTTGTAAGAACTTACCCACTATCATGAGAACAGCATGGAGGAAATCATCCCCATGATCCAATCACCTCCCACTAGGTCCCTCCCTTCACAACAGGGGATTACAATTTGAGATGACATTTGGGTGGGGACACAGAGCCAAACCATATCAATAGTTCTTCCGTCCTTTTTCCTTCTCAGCTTTACTTGACACCATTTCCCCTTCCTAATTTGCTTCTTAATGCTTATTATAAATTAAAAATTTTCAGTAATTTGTTTGTGTCTATTTCTTCCAGTCAATTTTAAGTTTACAAAAGGCAATGACCATGACATTTAAAAAAATTTTTTGAATTCCCATAGAATAAGTAAGTGCTCACTAATATTTTAAAAGGGCAAAACATTTTCCTGCCACTCCCAGTTTTCTTGCGTGACTCTTTAGGAGGTCATGTTATAAGGTATTCAGCCATGTGTCCTTAAGATATCTTCTAGAGGCTTCCTCAAATATAAACACCCCGACCCCATGTGGTAAAATGGTAAAGGCTGATACAGAAATGAGTATTTAAATATTCAAGACAAACTACTATGAATTAACTGCCCACATTTAATTCACAGCTTTTAAACTCTTTTTATTTTTCTGACACATAATTGCAAAATAATTAAGTCAACATAGAAAAGATATAATGTTGTACCCATAATACTACTCCCTAGCCACTTAAGGTAACCTCAGTTAATAGTTTGGTTGTTGCTCATTTATTTATTTGTTTTTGAGACAGGGTCTCACTCTTTTGCCCACACTAGAGTGCAGTGACATAATCATGGCTCACTGCAGCCGCAACCTCCTGGGCTCAAGGGATCCTCCCACCTCAGCCTCCTGAGTAGCTTGGACTACAGGTATGCCACTATGCCAGGCTAATTTTTGTACTTTTTGTAGAGACAGGGTTTCACCATGTTGCCCAGGCTTGTCTCGAACTCCTGGGCTCAAGCAACCCACCTGTCTCAGCCTCCCAAATCAACCCACCTGCCTCGGCCTCACAAAGTGGCTTACAGGCATGAGCCACCACACCCAACCTTGGTTATTTAGATTTTATTACGACTATGTAACTGTTTACAGGTGTATTTTTTAAAAAATGCTAGTCATTAAGGTCAGCTTAAAGCTTAGTTTGTGCATGGGCATTTTCTGACATTTACACTTAAAAATATACTTAATTTATCCAGTAGTCATTCCGGAGCAGGTTGTTGAATTTCCATGTAGTTGTGTGATTTTGAGTGAGTTTCTTACTCCTGAGTTCTAATTTGATTGCACTGTGGTCTGAGACACTGTTATGATTTCCATTCTTTTGCATTTGCTGAGGAATGTTTTACTTCCAATTATGTGGTCAGTTTTGGAATAAGTACAATGTGGTGGTGAGAAGAATGTATATTCTGTTGATTGGGGGTGGAGAGTTCTGTAGATGTCTATTAGGTCTGCTTGGTCCAAAGCTGAGTTCAAGTCCTGAATATCCTTGTTAATTTTCTGTCTCATTGACCTAATATTGACAGTGGGATGTTAAAGTCTCCCACTATTATTGTGTGGGAGTCCAAGTGTCTTTGTAGGTCTCTAAGCATTTGCTTTATGCATCTGGGTGCTCTTGTTTTGGGTGCATATATATTGAGGATGGTTAGCTCTTCTTGTTGCATTGGTCCCTTTATCATTATGTAATGCCCTTCTTTGTCTCTTTTGATCTTTGTTAGTTTAAAGTCTGTTTTACCCCAGACTAGGATTACAACCCCTGCTTTTGTTTGCTTTCCATTTGCTTGGTAAATATTCCTCCATCCCTTTATTTTGAGCCTATTTGCACGTGAGACGGGTCTCCTGAATACAGCACACTGATGGGTCTTGACTCTTTATCCAGTGTGCCAGCCTGTGTCTTTTAATTGGGGCATTTACCTCATTTACATTTAAGGTTAATATTGTTTTGTGTGAATTTGATCCTGTTGTTATGATGCTAGCTGGTTATTTTGCCCGTTAGTTGATGCAGTTTCTTCATAGTGTTGATGGTCTTTACAATTTGGTATGTTTTTGCAGTGGCTGTTCCGGGTTTTTGCTTTCCATATTTAGTGCTTCCTTCAGGAGCTCTTGTAAGGCAGGCCTGGTGGTAACAAAATCTCTCAGCATTTACTTCTCTGTAAAGGATTTTATTTCTCCTTCGTTTATGAAACTTAGTTTGGCTGGATATGAAATTCTGGGTTGAAAATTCTTTTCTTTAAGAATGTTGAGGGCCGGGCATGGTGGCTCACGCCTGTAATCCCAGCACTTTGGGAGGCTGAGGTGGGTGGATCACCTGAGGTTGGGAGTTTGAGACCAACCTGACCTACATGGAGAAACCCCGTCTCTACTAAAAAATACAAAATTAGCCAGGTGTGGTGGTGCATGCCTGTAATCCCAGCTCAGCTACTTGGGAGGCTGAGGCAGGAGAACTGCTTGAACCCAGGAGGAGGAGGTTGCAGCGAGCCAAGATTGTACCATTGCACTCCAGCCTGGGCAACAAGAGCAAAACTCCGTCTCAAAAAAAAAAAAAGAAAAAGAATGTTGAATATTGGCCTCTCTGTTCTAGCTTACAGGGTTTCTGCAGAGAGATCCACTGTTAGTCTGATGGGCTTCTCTTTGTGGGTAACCCGACTTTTCTCTCTGGCTGCCCTTAACATTTTTTCCTTCATTTCAACCTTGGTGAATCTGACAATTATGTGTCTTGGGGTTGCTCTTCTCAAGGAGTATCTTTGTGGTGTTCTCTGTATTTCTTGAATTTGAATTTTGGCCTGCCTTGCTAGGTTGGGGAAGTATTCCTGGATAACATCCTGAAGAGTGTTTTCCAACTTGGTTCCATTCTCCCTGTCAGTTTCAGGTACACCAATCAAACGTAGGTTTGGTCTTTTTACGTAGTCCCATATTTTTTGGAGGCTTTGTTTGTTGCTTTTCACTCTTTTTTCTGTAATCTTCATTGAGTTGATCTTCAATCTCTGATATCCTTTCTTCCACTTGATCGATCTAGCTATTGATACTTGTGTATCCTTCAGCTCCATTAGGTCATTTATGTTCTTCTCAAAACTGGTTATTCTAGTTAGCAATTCATCTAACCTTTTCTCAAGGTTCTTAGCTTCTTTGCACTGGGTTATAACGTGCTTCTTTAGTTCAGAGGAGTTTGTTAATACCCACCTTCTGAAACCTACTTCTGTCAATTCATCAAACTCATTCTTCATCCAGTTTTTTTCCCTTGGTGGCAAGGAGTTGTGATCCTTTGAAGGAAAAGAGGTGTTCTGGTTTTTGGAATTTTCAGCCTTTTTGTACTGGTTCTTCCTTATCTTCGTGGATTTATCTAACTTTGGTCTTTGATGTTGGTCACCTTTGGATGGGATTTCTGAGTGGATGTCCCTGTTGTTGATGTTTATACTATTCCTTTCTGTTTGTTAGTTTTTCTTCTAACAGTCAGTCCCCTCTGCTACAGTCTACATTTCTGCTGGAATTTGCTGGCGGTCCACTACAGAACCTGTTTGCCTGAGTATCACTAGTGGAGGATGCAGAACAGCAAAGACTGCTGTGTGTTCCTTCCTCTGGAAGCTTTGTCCCAGAGGGGCACCCCCCAGATGCCAGCCGGAGCTCTCCTGTATGAGGTGTCTGTCGACCCCTGCTGGAGGTGTCTCCCAGTAAGGGGGCACAGGGATCAGGGACCCACTAGAGGAGGCAGTCTGTCCCTTAGCACAGCTCCAGCAGTGTGCTGGGAGATCCACTGCTCTATTCAGAGCCGGGAGGCAGGAACTTTTAAGTTTGCTGAAGCTGTGCCCACAGCCGCCCCTTCTGGCAGGTGCTCTATCCCAGGGAGATGGGAGTTTGATCTATAAGTCCCTGACTGGGGCTGCTGCCTTGCTTTCAGAGATGCCCTGCCCAGAGAGGAGGAATCTAGACAGGCAGTCTGGCTACAGTGACTTTGCCACGCTGCGGTGGGCTCTGCCCAGTCAGAACTTCCAAGCAGCTTTGTTTATACTACTAGGGGAAAACCACCTACTCAAGCCTCAGTAATGGCAGATGCCCCTCCTCCCACCAAGCACCCCAGGTGGACTTCAGACTGATGTGCTGGCGGTGTGAATTTCAAGCCAGTGGATAAATAAGTTCTTTGAAACCAATGAGAACAAAGACACAACGTACCAGAATTTCTGGGACACAGCTAAGGCAGTGAGTGTTTAGAGAGAAATTTATAGCACTAAATGCCCACAGGAGAAAGCAAGAAAGAGCTAAAATCGACACCCTAACATCACAATTAAAAGAACTAGAGAAGCAACAGCAAACAAATTCAAAAGCAAGCAGAAGACAAGAAATAACTAAGATCAGAGCAGAACTGAAGGAGATGGAGACACGAAAAGCCCTTAAAAAAATCAATGAATCCGGGAGCTGTTTTTTTTGAAAAGGCTAACAAAATAGATAGTCTGCTAGCCAGACTAATAAAAAAAGAGAGAAGAATCAAATAGACACAATAAAAAATGATAAAGGGGATATCACCACTGATCCCACAGAAATACAAACTAAAGTCAGAGAATACTATAAACACCTCTGTGCAAATAAACTAGAAAGTCTGGAAGAAATGGATGAATTCCTGGTCACATACACCTTCCCATGACTAAACCAGGAAGAACTTGAATCCCTGAATATACCAATAACAAGTTCTGAAATTGAGGCAGTAATTAATAGCCTACCAACCAAAAAAAGCCTAGGACAAGATGGATTCACAGCTGACTTCTGCCGTAGGTACAAAGAGGAGCTGGTACCATTCCTTCTGAAACTATTCCAAACAATAGAAAAGGAGGGACTCGTCCCTAACTCATTTTATGATGCCAGCATCATCCTGATACCAAAACCTGGCAGAGACACAACAAAAAAAGAAAATTTCAGGCCAACATCCCTGATGAACATCGATGCTAAAATCCTCAATAAAATACTGGCAAACCGAATTCAGCAGCACAACAAAAAGCTTATCCACCACGATGAAGTAGGCTTCATCCCTGGGATGCCAAGCTGGTTCAACATACACAAATCAATTAACATAATCCATCACATAAACAGAACCAAAGACAAAAACCACATGATTATCTCAATAGATGCAGAAAAGGCCTTTGATAAAAATCAACACCGGTTCGTGCTAAAAACTCTCAATAAACTAGGTATTGATGGAACATATCTCAAAATAATAAGATCTGTTTATGAAAAACCCACAGCCAATATCATATTGAATGGGCAAAAGCAGGAAGCATTTCCTTTGAAAATTGGCACAAGACAAGGATGCCCTCTCTCACCACTCCTATTCAACATAGTATTAGAAGATGTGGCCAGGACAATCAGGCAAGGGAAGGAAATAAAAGGTATTCAAATAGGAAGAGAGGAAGTCAGATTGTCTCTGTTTGCAGATGACATGATTGTATATTTAGAAAACCCCATCGTCTCTGCCCAAAATTCCCTTAAGCTGATAAGGAACTTCAGCGAAGTCTCAGGATACAAAGTCAATGTGCAAAAATCACAAGCATTCCTATACACCATTAATAGACAAACAAAGAGCCAAATCATGAGTGAACTCACATTCACAATTGCTACAAAGGGAATAAAATACCTAGATATACAACTACAAGGTTTGTGAAGGACCTCTTCAAGGAGGACTACAAACCACTGCTCAAGGAAATAAGAGAGGATACAAACAAATGGAAAAACATTCCATGCTTATGGATAGGAAGAATCAATATTGTGAAAATGGCCATACTGCCCAAAGTAATTTATAGATTGAATGCTATCCCCATGAAGCTACCATTGACTTTCTTCAGAGAATTAGTAAAAACTACTTTAACTTTCATATGGAACCAGGAAAGGGCCCCTAAAACAAAGACAATCCTAAGCAAAAAGAACAAAGCTGAAGGCATCACTCTACCTGACTTCAAACTGCACTACAAGGCTACAGGAACCAAAACAGCATGGTACTGGTACGAAAACAGAGATATAGACCAACAGAGGCCTCCGAAATAACACCACACATCTACAACCATCTGATTTTTGACAAACCTGACAAATACAAACAATGGGGAAAGAATTCCCTCTTCCTAAAGGGTGTTGGGAAAATTGGTAAGCCATATGCAGAAAACTGAAACTGGACCCCTTCCTTACGCCTTACACAAAAATTAACTCAAGATGGAGTAAAGACTTAAACATAAGACCTAAAACGATCAAAACCCTACAAGAAAGCCTAGGCAATACCATTCAGGACATAGGCATGGGCAGAGACTTCATGACTAAAACGCCAAAGCAATAGCAACAAAAGCCAAAATTGAAAAATGGGCTCTAATTAAACTAAAGAGCTTCTGTACAGCAAAAGAAACTACCATCCGAGTGAACAGGCAGCCTACAGAGTGGGAGAACATTTTTTGCAGTCTATCCATCTGACAAAGGGCTAATATCCAGAATCTGCAAGGAACTTAAACAAATTTACAAGAAAGAAGAAAACAAACCCATCAAAAAGTGGGTGAAGGATATGAACAGACACTTCTCAAAAGAAGATGTTTATGTGGCCAACAAACATGAAAAAAAGCTTATCATCACTGGTCTTTAGAGAAATGCAAATCAAAACCACAATGAGATATCATCTCACGCCAGTTAGAATGGCAACCATTAAAAAGTCAGGAAATAATAGATGCTGGAGAGGATGTGGAGAAATAGGAACACTTCTACACTGTTGATGGGAGTGTAAATTAGTTCAACCATTGTAGAAGAGAGTGTGGCGATTCCTCAAGGATCTAGAACTAGAAATTGCCATTTGACCAAGCAATCCCATTACTGGGCGTATACCCAAAGGATTATAAATCATTCTACTATATAGACACATGCACACGTATGTTTATTTCGGCACTGTGCACAATAGCAAAGACTTGGAACCAACCCAAATGCCCATCAGTGATAGGCTGAATAAAGAAAATGTGGCACATATAAATTATGGAATACTATGCAGCCATAAAAAAGGATGAGTTCATGTCCTTTTCAGGGACATGGATGAAGCTGGAAACAATCATTCTCAGCAAAGTAACACAGGAACAGTAAACCACACAGTGCATGTACTCACTCATAAGTGGGAGTTGAGCAATGAGAACACATGGACACAGGGAGGGGAACATCACACACTGGGGCCTGTCGGTGGGTTGGGGGTAGGGGAGGGTCTGAGAGGGGAACGGATTTAAATAACAGAAAATTAGGAGAAATATCTAAGGTAGATGACTGGTTGATGGGTGCAGCAAACCACCATTGCTCATGTATACCTATGTAACAAACCAGCAGGCTCTGCATATATATCCCAGAACCTAAAGTATAATTTTAAAAAGTATACTTAATTATTGTTAATGACTGTACATATGGTGTTTTATTGTTTCATTATTTGGATACATAAAATTTATTTTCCCAATAGTGTCCAAATGTTGGTGGACATTTGGATTATTTCTAGTTTTTTCACTATTATAACTACATTGCAATGAAAATCTTTAGTTCTCTTGTCAATTTTCATGGAAGTAGGATTGCGCTATCAAAGGATTTTCTGTGAGCCCTAAGCAGATGGCCCTCCTAATTGCCTTCAAAGATTCCAGGTACTTTTTAACTGTTGTGCATTTTTCAGCTGTATGAAATAAGTTGCCCAGCCTGAATCCTTGATTTGTACTGGGCTCAGGAGTCTGTGAGAGGGAGTTTGATTTCAGTCTGCATTGGCTGTCTGGAGAATGAGTTCCTCTAAAGAGCAGAACAGGTTGGAGAGGTGAAGGGTTCCTGATGGATGATGTGTCTAAATGAGAAGAAGACGACTGGGCAGCAGGGCTTGGTGATTTGCAGGCACAGAGGTCTCAGGTTTAGTGTGAAAACTGGCAGGAGTATGGTCCAGAGACCATAGGCAGTGAATGATGGCAGTGAACAGACAGCAGGGCAAAGATTCTGGACAGTAGTTGTGATTGCCTGTGAGGGCGCCTATCACCAATGGAGGAGGGTCTGAGAGAGGAACAGATTTAAATAACAGAAAATAAGGAAAATACAAGATTTCTATTCAAGAAGGTAGATGATCTCTGAAATTAGTAATATTGCTGTAAAAGTGAAACGAACATCTTTAAATATAGGTGCAGCCAGACAGTGTATATATTGCATACATTTTAAATTTCATGGTCATTCCAATTGGCTCTGAAAATGAAACCTTCATGAGTTTATGTTCCACCAGCAGGATATGAGTGTGTGCACACCAAGAGCTGTTCTGGCTGTTGCCACCTTTTGTTCTTCCCTTCCTCATCACTGGTTATGGTCGACGAGAGAATCCCCTTAATGTCAAGTAGCCTTCAATAATATGCAACTAAAGGAGAGGTGGATTCTCAAGCAACTCAGAAACGTTTCAGAGCTGTTCATTTTCAACCCGCAACACTTGTGGGCTCTGCTGTCAGATGTTATAGCTATCAGGTGTGATGACTTGTACTGTGTCACCTTGTTTAGCTGGAACTGCGTTTTCCAGAATCCCCTTCCCTGTGTAGTTTTGGGTTTGAGTTGACTAAAAGAGGAGTTTGCACAGAATTTGTGATTACTCCCTGCAGTTCATTGTGATTAGGTAGTGACAGACAGATGTGGAGATGTTAGCAAGAGGCTCCAGCCTTTTCTTGCTCTTCTCTGCATTGTGTCCAGCTGTTTGTCCCAAGTGCTGATCCTGCTGAGCCATATGGACCCAGGCCCATCCTGAGATGCTTGGTGTCTTAGTCTATTTAGTGTTGCTGTAAAAGAGTACCTGAGGATGGGTAATTCATTTATTTATTTATTTTTAAATTTAATTTTCTTTTAAGTTCCAGGTAATCTATTCATAAGGGATCGTCTCCCGTGACCCAAGCACCTCCCATTAGGCCTGTCCTCCAACACTGGAGGTCAGATTTCAACGAGAGATTTTGTGGGGACAAGCATCCAAACTGTAGCACTTGGCAGCAAGTCCCAAGTCCTTTTCCCCAGCTCCTCCTTTGCCATCCACTTCTCCATCTGGAGGTGCTGATTCCTCTGCTTGGCTGGCTGGGGACTCCTAGGACCCTCCAACCTCACTTTTAGACGTGCCTTTTCTCAGCTCCTCTTGTAAGTGTGCAAGCTTCGATTCCTATAATAAATCCCTTGTCTATAAGTCATAGTAGTTCTGCCTCCTTAATTGAACCCTGGCTGACTCACATCTTTCGTTTGAAAATCAGGGGGAGACATGATTTTTTTATAGCTAGTTTTCCTTAACTTCCTTTAAATACATACACATAATACAGTAGAAATACTTTTGGCTTTCATAAATGCTTTTCATCTTCCATGACTGTTTCCAGCACCTCTTGAAATTACAAGTGTTACACAGGTATTTTTACTGTCAATGTATATCATAATAGGATTGCTTTGTCCTGTAATTAATCAGTAGAGATTTCTTCTGGAAGTTTGTTCTTTTGAAGAAACTTGTATTTTTCTGAAAAACTGTCATTTCTTCAAGTGGCTTCATTTGCAAAAGATTTGTTTAATGTCCTGTGGTTTCATTCTTACAATGTTAGAAATTCTTTAATTAGTTACAGGTGTTGAATGATGTCACATGGGCATTTTTTTTTTTTTTTTTTTTTTTTTTTTTTTTGCCATCAGTGTTAGGGAGTTCTGTCCTAAGGCTTTTTTGTAGAAATATATCTTTTAATATAATTGACACAATGTAAGATTGGCTTACTAGTATTAAACTACATGAAAAGAGCAAGATTGTATCTTTTACTGAGAATAGTAAGATGTTACAACTGAATTGGGTTTTTCTAGAGATAATTTTTATTTACCTTTAAAAATTTTATCACCAACAAAATGTGTATTAACGGTTATGAAAGCAGTAAGTAAGATTAGTGACAAGATCAGAGGAGTAGCCTAATTTATATTACAGATTTTAATGTGGCCCATAATATAGTAATAAATATACAATATTTTTAAGCATATGGCAAATATGAAAAAACTGTGATTTAATAAACTTTAATTTAGGAATTTTTATAGGGACTAAAATTAAAATTATTCCGTCGAAAGCATAAATACATTTTTTGTTAAGATATTATCATTTTTAAATAATCAAACTCTTCAAAATGGCTTTATCATGCCCCCACAGTATCCAAAGAAAGGATTTTTTTTCATAATAGGGAATCATATTCAAAGGGAAGTTTTAGATTTAAAACTTACATGAAAGCCTTATCAGTCAAGAATTTCTTGATTTGAAATAATATCTCCCTGGATAACTTCCTATTTGTATCATAAAATCCTTGTCCTGGAGATGGTTCTATTTCTGTCTTGTACTTATACTTGAAAGTGGCTGTTTTAGACATACACGATTCAAATCTCTGATGGGCAGCAGTCTACTGGAGAGCCATGTATCTCCAGTCTCATTCAGTCAAATGATGTGACCAATGGTGAAATGGTTTATTCTAATGTGCTGTGTGTTTGAAACTCTCTGTCCCAAATTTGAAAAGTCCATGTCAGACATGTTGAAAGCTGAAATAATTATTTCAGTCTCAAAGATGCCTTTTGACATATGGAGAATTATTACAGTATCATCTTATTCCCATTGACCCAGTTACAACTTGAGGAAATATGTGTCATTCTATAGGTGATATCATAGTAATGATTGAAGATTGGTAACTCTCTATTTTTATGTTTGGGTTCTGAAGTCGTAACGCAAACATAGAAGTGAGCTCATTTCCTTTGAGAAATTGGCACCAAGGCCTCTAACTTATCTCTATATAATTGTATATTCTTTATTAAAGTTCATCTTTACACAATACCTTTTGACTCTTCTCTTGCCTTCCACTTTGCCTTCTCCTTGCCTTCTGGTAATAGGTAAATCTGAAATTCTGAAATACAATTTAACTTTCTCAATTAGGAATTCTATCAACTCTCAGGGAAGGTGATTGCCATGCTACATATTACACGATGCAGTTGTGCTGAGAACTGGATATTCCAATTTTGCTCCAGTCAGTGAACCACAGAAATCAGTTTCTGCAAGTCCAATATTATTGACTCCAAATAGATGATCATTGTAGTAGTCATCTCATTGCAGTATCAGTGATACATTTAGCATTTAGGAAAGTATTATAATTTAGAAAAGAGCAATGCTGAATAAAAACCAGCTCAGTAACACAAATAGTTGACTCATCACTGAACTGTTTTTAAAAAATAGTTGAAAATAACTTACTTTTGTCAATATATTTGATTAACATTTCAGACATTTACTATGATTCCTATTATGGCTCTGAAATATGTCTTGTGAGCATTACTTTGTGTAAATATGTTTTCAGAAAGCCATCTCTAAGAAAATTAAGTGAACCACATTTTACAAAGCTTGCTTAATTAAAAATGTGTATTCTATTTAGATTATGCTTTTCTTAATGATTTGATTTTTTTCCCTTTAGACCTACTGCTTCCAAGAATGTTTATTATCTAGCATGTGACTATTGGGGATCTATAAAAATTGCTATAAAACTGCATTATAATTAGAATAACACTTGTGGTAAAGAATGAAAAGAAAATATTTGTAAAAGCATTGTTATAATTCAGCTGATAGACTAAAAAAAGACCACAGAGTAAGGTTTTGCTTAGACTTTTTAAATCGCTCTAAATATTGTTCTCTTAAGTGATACTGTGTTTGAGAGTCTTACATATTTATAAGTTTGTCAGATATGTCTTACAGTGTTTTCTACTAAAATATATGTAAATTCTAATAAACTGGTTCCTATTAAACTGAGTGAAAACCTAACCATGAGTACTGGTTATTTTCAGAAACTCACTAAGAAAGGAACAAAATTTAGTGAAGACGTTGCATACTTAGGCTACTGCGTATAAAAATAGCAATTAAGAGCAAAGACTTTGGAGTTATCCAGACCCAAGTTATACCAACTCAGAGTCCAATAATATAATTATCAATGTCTAGGTTGTTGTCTACTTCTATATAAAATCTATTTTATGCCTGTAATCCTAGCACTTTGGGAGGCTGAGGTGGGCAGATTGCCTGAGCTCAGGAGTTTGAGACCAGCTGGAGCAACATGGGAAACCTCATCTCTGCTAAAAATACAAAAAATTAGCTGGGCATGGTGGCATGTGCCTGTAACCCCAGCTACTCAGAAGGCTGAGGCAGGAGAACCGCTTGAACCCGGGAGGCAGAGGTTGCAGTGGGCCAAGATCACACCACTGCACTCCAGCCTGGGTGACAAAGTGAGACTCTGTCTAAAACAAAAAACAAAAATAAAACCCCAACTCATATTAGAGTTAATTTTTTCCTCTGTCCTTTTAGCTTGTTTTTCTAAAGGATGGTTAAGTCGTCTTATTCAGACAAAAATTGCATTTCATATATGGGATTTTTTTTTCTTTTCTAATACCGTTCAGGATTGGGGCAAGAGGCAATGTTAAATAAAAACAGAAATTTGAGTTTTGGGAGAGATCAGATCTTTAAATAAATAGAAACAGTGACATTTAGTACATGTGAATCAATTTGGTAAATACTGAATGAAGAGACGAGTTACTGTTGAGTGGGATTTGTCATCTTAATTTTCAGCACCTTGAGTAAATAAGCCTTGAATTAAATTACTTCATGAGAGTTTTTCTCAAGATGAGAAAAACTTGCTTTACTTTGGGCTGCTGACTTGCTGACTTACTATATTGATTTAGCACTTGAGATGTAATCAGAAGAGATGATTTTAGTGAACTCATTTTTGGCCTGGGGTGTATGTTGCAGATGTGCGTAGGTTGTTGTCTTTTTCTATTTGTCCTGATCTCTGGTTTCATAGTCTCTGAACTGGTTGCTTGTTCTACCAACACTGTTTTGCATGGAATACTTTGACTGGAGGTCAAATGGCGACACGTTTAATTGACAACACTTCATTGAGGATACAACTCTTTCTGTGTCTTGATGGTTAGTGACTAAAGCTGATCTAATCAAGCCTATGTAGTGCCAATTAACAATGCCCAATTAGGTATTCTCTCTGGCTTTCAAGTTTTGCTGCTGGAAAGCTCAGAGAGGAAAGCATCTCTTCAGGATGACAAGGATATGAAAAATGATAATGGCAATGGAATGCCAGTTATGTAAAGAATTTGAAGTGATCACAATTAAAAATTTGAGTAGACAGCAAAAAGTATTTTTTCCACTTGATGTCTTCCAAAGAAAAACAGGAAATGTCTTCCTGTGTGCCATTTTTTCTTAATTGCTGAAAATTATTATAATGTTGATAGCTATCATATTTTGACTTTAAAAAAATGTGCCAGGCACTTTACTGTATTTCATTTATTCTTCACATCATCCTTACACTGTAGACTTCTTTAATATGACTACTTTACAGAAGGGCATGCTACTTTTACCTTTCTGAATCTCAGTTGTTTCTTCTCTACAAAGAAAGTGATAGGTAGAGTTGGAGATTTTAACCAGGTCTGTTTAACTCCAATATCCTTGCTCTTACTACTGTTCTTGCAGTAAGCTAAATATGCAATGTATTCATTTTACTTGGTTGCTTTCCTTGTGAGTTTCTGACAATTAATTTGTCTTCTACTCAGCTTGATGGAAACCAGTTTATTATAAGACAGGGCTTGACCAATGTTGTGATGGTTCGTATCCAGGGCAGAAATTATTGCCAGAGGGTACACAGGACAGCCTTCTAAGAAAAAACTGTGTTTGCTTCTGAGAAGAAGGTGGGCTTCAGCTTTCTGAGTGTAAGCAAATATAGGAGACAAGAAGACTAACCAATGAAGGCAGTGAAGGAGCCTCAATGGTGTGACATCAGCTGGCTGAATGCCTTCTGTAAAATACTTCTGTAGCTCCCCATTGCCTTGATGATAAAACCTTCCACAGCTCTTTCCGTTTGAACCTTTACCTGCTTGCCTGTGGGTAACAATGATGATGACAGTGACAGTAATAGCTGAAATAACCAAACTTAATGGAGCGCTTGTTAGTTTTTTGGTTTAGCCATCTCTGTAATGATTCCTTTCATTCTTTACAATATACAAAGGTAATAAATGAACTAACTGGTCGAGGCAATAGTTTTTAATTAATCACAAGTTTTCAGGCTCTGGGATAAAGCATTCATGTGTGTTCATTTAATTTTTAAAACAACCCTTGTCATCATTTCACAGTTGAATAAACCGAGTTTCAGAGACATTAAGTAACTTGCCTAATGTCACACAGCTGGGTGAGGGATGAAGGCCAGATTGAAACCTGGGTTTGCAGATTCTAAATCTGGTATACTGAACCAGAATACTCTCATGGCCTTATAGGGGATCAGCTGGGTTCTGTGATTTTAAATAAAGATGACTCACAAACAGAGGATATCAGCTGTGGTCTGCAGTTGTGTGCTATTTGGTTTATTAAACATATTTGATTTGGAGGCAGTTTTTTGTTTGTTGTTGTTTTGTTTTGTTTTGGTGGTTGGGGAGGGGAGCTACCCTGTTTGCTAAAGGCCCCATTTGTCACTGGGCTACTTCATGCACCCAACTTCCCTGCAAGGGAAGATATTTGTGTTAATAACTCTCGTCTAAAAAGTCAAGATTAGAGAGTTCTTTCATTCGTGGAGTGTGATGAGAAACAAAGATTCCACAACCACTTTCCCCCAGGATATTTTGTTACCTTGCCAATGATTTTAAAATATTGCTTGCTTTTAGTTTTAATCCATTTCCTCCTCCCTTTCCCAACCCTATCAGTATATAGAACAACTGCTCAGAAAACTGTTGGTTTCCAATAATGCAGTTATTAACTATGACCTTTGTGTCTTGTCTTTAAACCTTCCCCCGCATAATCCAGTCTTCCCTTTGACATCTCTGATGGTTAGCTCCTCTTACTGGCCAACTGGTGCCTCTGCCACATGGGAGTGCCATTACACAGTAAAATTAATACCTCCTTCCAGGATTTATTTAGCTTCTTCTGACACACTCAAAAGAGCAAGGGAACACATGTCTTGCTTTCCCTTGGGAAGGTCAAGTATTAGATGATTAAACTGGTAGGAAGCATTTGAATATCCTCAGTAAACAAGCTTTGTATTTAGGCTCATAGATGTTTTTTTGAAGTTCTTCATTGCATTTATTTTCAAAGTTAGTTTGAGAGAGCTTTTACCAGTTACTTGGAAGTTATGTGCCATTATTGCTTTCCTTATTGCTTAAAAAACAAAAAAAGAATTTAAAATCAGCTACCAACTCTGGATTTTTCTTTTTCAGATGCAAAAGAAATTGTTTTAAAAGCCCAGATCTTAGCTGGAGGAAGAGGAAAAGGTGTCTTCAATAGTGGTTTGAAAGGAGGTGTTCATTTAACAAAAGAGTAAGTCTGGAGGTTGTTATTCCTTGTCTTTTGGCCAAGCAGTTATGGAAGATCTTGCTCAAGATTGAAAGGCACACTGAGGTTGGTTGTGGTGGGGTAGGAGCGGGCCAAAGCAACTAGAAGAAACTGAAATCATAGGTAGAGGGCTCTGGCAGTGCCCTAGTTTTCCTTCTGCCCCCACAAAATGATTTTTCTTACTAATTGGTGAAAACTTGACAGTCCTTCTGTCCTAAACAATCAATGATTCATCATAAATGTTGGAAATGATACCACTTCCAACTGAAATGCTACTTCCATAATGTCACTCCTCTATTCAAGGACCTGAAGGGACTCCCCATTACCAGTGGCATCTGGGGTACCTCCCCTCTGATAGTCCAAGCCTTCCTTTATTTGAGCCTGTCTTTTCAACTTCATCTCCTGCATCTCCTAGCACTGAACACTTTCCTCTCCTCCCTGTTCCTGTCACACACCTTTTTACTATTTACTTTGATCTTTACCCTCTTCCTTTCCCTCTCATTGTTCAATATCTCCCCAGTTTTCCACTGTCGGATCTTCAGTCAACCCTTATCTGAATCTGGTGTGCATTTCAGCATTCTCTCTTTACTATGACTGTAACTTTTTTGGGTGAAGAGGTCACAAAGCATCTTTTGTTTCATTTATTCATTCATGAACTCACTTTTATTTTGCTCTCAGTGAGCCTCTAGTACAGTGCTAAACACGCAGCACATAAGCAGAAAGACTCATGGATTTTGTGAGGGTGAAGGTGAACCCTTTGCAGTGTAGACATGAGGCTCTGTGTAAGGACTCTCATTTAAATGATTTTCAACAAACATTCATTTTCTGCTTGTTTTCTCTTTCTCTTAGCCCTAATGTTGTGGGACAGCTGGCTAAACAGATGATTGGGTACAATCTAGCGACAAAACAAACTCCAAAAGAAGGTGTGAAAGTTAACAAGGTAATATGGATACTTTGGGTCATTTTCTATATATGTGTTAAAAAATAGAAAAGAAAACCATCCTTCAGTTTTTGACAGAATCTAATGAAGTACTGCTCTTTGGCAGTGTGCCATTTTATTTTTTAAAGCTCATCTAATCTGTTTAGTAAGTAGTATGTCTTGGAGGAGAAATAAAAAGGGCTCTATGATAGTAATATTATTTATTATCATTAGCATTTAGCAAAAAGTGGGTGAGGGTGAGTGACCGAGCAATGGCTTTCCCTCTGAGAACACAGATGCATTCTATTTAGTTGAGAAGCGCTTGCTGTGACAGCCTTATACTCAGTGAGGGACATTCGCTGCTCCCACACAGTGGCCCTCAACCCCAGGCGTGTCTGTCAGAATTACCTATTGTGGTTGTTTTTCTAAATGCCCCATTCCTTATTTTAGGATGACTGTAATTTTGAGCCATTTTTATTGCTGGGGGTATATTGCATTAGGAAGGTCAGCTGAAGTACCCAAGTATGTATAGCATGTGGACACACACCCCTCATCCACACATAGAAAATAAAGCCCAGAGGAAAGTGGCCTGCCTCAGTCATGAAATTGTGAGTGGTAGAGCTGAGACCAGAACCTAACTCTCCCTCCTGCCAATCTACCTTTCACCATCCCTTTTGTGTATCCAGACACTAGAACTAGCTACCTGGGTTGCAGAATCCAGTGCCAAATAAAAAGGCAGGGACCCGTGTTAAAATTTCAAGACAGCTATAGCTAAACATTAAATCCCTTTACAACTACACAGATCACATGTGTCAGCCCTGAAAAGCATCCATGGTTAGAAGATCCTGTCCTAACAGCGAATTAGGGTCCTGCATTTTGGGGTGGCAGCTGTCTGCTCTGTTGACATAGCGTCACAGATCAGTGGTCTCTACCAATGCACCATGCTGCAGGACACTGCAGTGGTGACATCCTGTTTTTACTTTTCAGGGAGAGTTTTGTGGAAAACTCTTAAGTTGTTGTATTTATCAGTATTTAGTTCCATTTTCTTTTGTTAATTTTTGTGGGTACATAGTAGGTGTATATATTTATAAGGTACATGAGATGTTTTGATATAGGCATACAATGTGTAATAATCCCGTTACAGTCCTTTTTCTTGCTATGTAGCAATCTATGATATGGATGTACCTACCACAGTTTGTTTAACCATCATCTGTTGAAAGACATCTGGGTTGGTTCGTTTTTGGCTATTACAAATAAAGCCACTCTAGACATTCATGAACAGGTTTTTGGTATAAATATAAATCTTCATTTTGGGGGATAATTGTTGGGTTATGTGGAAGTTGTATAATTAGTTTTTTTAAGAAACTGATGAATGTTTTCCAGCATGGCTGTTCCATTTTACATTGCCATCAGCAATGTGTAAGTGGTCAGGGTTCTCCACATTCTAGCCCGCATTTGGTGGTGGTGGTATTATTTTAGCCATTCTTATGGGTGTGTAGTGATATTTCATTGTGATTTTAATTTGCATTTCCCTAATGGCTAAAGATGTTGAACATCTTTTCATGTGCTTATTTGCCATCTGTAGATTGTGGTTGGTGAATTGTCTGTTCATGGATGCTATGGTCTGAATGCTCCCTCCAAAATGCATGTTGAAATTTAATCCCCATTGTGGTTTGCATTAAGAGGCAGAGCCTTTTGGGAAGTGATTAGTCATGAAGGCTCTGCCCTCATGAATGGATTAGTGCAGGCTTGTCCAACCCACGGCCCACAGGCCACAGGCATCCCAGGATGGCTTTGAAAGTGGCCCAAGACAAATTTGTAACCTTTCTAAACATTATGAGATTTTTTTTGCAATTTTAGTTTCTTAGCTCAGCTATTGTTAGTGTTAGTGTATTTTATGTGCGGCCCAAGACAATCCTTCTTATGCCATTGTGGCCCAGGGAAGCCAAAATATTGGACATCCCTGGTAGTGCTTTATAAAAGGGCTGAAGGGAACTAGCTTAGACCTGTTTTGCATTTCCACTTTCTGCCATGTGAGGATGAAGCAAGAAAGGCCATATCACTAAATGGCGGTGCACTGATCTTGGACTTCCCAGCCTCCAGAACTGTGAAACAATATATTTTTGTCCTTTATAAATGACCAAATCTCAGGTATTTTGTAACAGCAGCATGAAGAGACAAAGCAAATTTCTTTTGGCCATTTTCTAATTAGATTATGTTTTTACTATTGAGTTTTGAGTTATTCTAGGTACTAGTCCACTGTTGGATATGTGCTTTGTAAGTATTATCTGTTACACTATATAACGTATATATTCATTTTTTCAACAGGGTCATTTGCAGGGCAAAAGTGTTTAATTTTGATGAAGTCCAATACGTCAATATTTCCTTTATGGATTATACCTTTTTAGTATCAGGTCTAAGTCCTCTTTACGTTGCCCTACATAATAAAAATTTTCTCATGTTTTTTTCTAGATGTTTTATAGTTTTATGTTTTATATTTAGGTTTGTGATCCATTTTGAGTTGACTTTTGAATAAGTTGTGAGACTTAGGTCAAGGTTATTTTTTAAGGGGCAAAAGGGCTATGATATTCAATTACTCCTGCACCATTTTTTGAAAAGGCTTATCTTTTCTCCATTGAATTGCTTTTACATCTTTGTCAAAATTCAGCTGGGCATATTTCTTTGGGTCTGTTTTGGGGTTCTCTGTTTTGTTCCATTGATCTTTGTGGCTGTCCCGCCACCAATATCACAGAGTCTTAATTACTGTATTTATATAAATTCTGAAATTGAGTAGAATAACTCTTGTCACTTTATTCTTCTTTTCCAAAACAGTTTTACCTGTTCTAGTTCCTATACCTTTTTATGTACAATCTAGAACAATTTTATCTTTACGAAAAAATCTTGCTAAGATTTTGATAGGAATCTTATTAAACCTGTATATGAATTTGGAGGGAATTGGTTTTTTGTTATGTTAAGCCTTGCAACCCATGAGTATGATATGTCTCTCCTTCTTTTAGGTCTCCTTTGATTTATTTCATCAGCATTGTATTGTTTTCAGCATATACGTTTGGTATATGTTTTGTCAGTCTTACACATACATTGTTCTCTTTTAAAGCAATTACAAGTGGCATTGGATTCTTAATTTCAGTGTCCAACATGCTCATTGTTAATTGGTGTTGATTTCTTTTTAAATGCTTGGTGAAGTTCCCTAGTGAAACCATGTGAGCCTGGAGATTTATTTGTCTGTGCCTGTTAATGTTTTTGGGTTGCTGGCTTCTCTAGCACCCAGCACCCTGCCTGAGATTTATGAGGCCAAAGAAAACATAGGAGACTCACTACCATACGCTTCCTTGGACCTCAAGCTCCCTAGCTAGTCTCCCTTCTTCTCTATAACTTTCAGAGTCACCTTAAGTTTTATGTATATATATGTCCAAGGCTTTTATTTGTACTTAGCGGGAAGAATAGGGAAAAACATGTCTACTCCATCTTCTCAAAAGTATAAGTCCCCAGATTATAGAACCTTTTGATTCTAAATTTATTTCAGAAGCTATTTAAACACATACACACATTTATACACATCAGATATTTGTTTTCTAAGTCTGTGCCAATGTGTTATGTATTCCTGGGGCTAGTACTAGGGCCTGTGAGACAGTGCTACTCATCATGCGGTCCAGGATTCAGTACCAATAGTGGTTACTGCTCTGTAATCAATTTAAAATTCGAGAATGTACTTTTAATCTTCTCTGTTCATGGGTGTGTTACAAATAGTTTGTACGCTAGCACTCATCTCCTGACCACAATTCCAGTAGCATGATATTTTTAAGGAAACAGATTCAGCAGTAGATAGGTCAAAGAAAGTTAAAAAGCTTTCTATACTGGTGGACTCCACAAAGACGATGTGTCAACATATTCTTTGTGTAACTCACAGGTGAAGCTCTTTTGAAATGTTTCTAATGGAGTTGCTCCGGGATGAGTGTTTGTGGATTCCATTTAGATTTCTCTGTAACACTTCCTAATATACTCTGTCATCCTCGGTCATTTGGAAGGCATGACGATGTCAACAAACTGGTCTTTGTTGTATAAAATTTCTTGAATTATCTCTTGATAATTATCATTTTCCTGGTGACATTTTCTTAAAGAGTCATGCATTATTCCTGTGAAGCAAGAGCTGTTTCAGACAGTAGCTGGGCTTCACAAATAGAAATTTGGTGGAATACAGAGCACGTCTGTCAACATTTTTGAAGATTAAGAATAGGACTCTTGAATGACACTTATCCTAAAAAGTTATAATTTTGTGTTGCCTCTAAGAATAACTACTGAAAGTCATTAAGTATTATTCTCTAAACTAACTCTGCATTAGAAAATGAACAGTATTATGCCAGTAGACCTGAAAGCATATACCAAACACACTCCTCATTTTGTATTTTGTGCCAATCAAATTTCTTAAAACAGCTTTCTCTTCTAGAGAAAGTTTTAGAAGAAATGATTATCTTAATTTCTTAAAATGTTTGTATTAATGTTGATGCTTAGAAAGGCAGACTTTATGTTATTTCTATAAACGACAAGTTGTTACTGTATTTTATAAGGAAAGAATAGGGCTAAGTATTTTTGCTTCAAATATTGTCCTACCCCTCAATCAGAAATTCTGAAAGAATTTACGGTTTCAAGCAACCTGAAGACTGGGAGAATTAGGCACTGACTGATGGTTTGACCTTCATTGTTGGTGAGAACAACCAACTTGAAATCAGAATGGTTCTGTGCTAATTCTAACACCATGTGCTGAGAAACAGTTTTTATATACTTATGAACTTCCATTTCTGATAAATCAATATGAAGACCTATATATTTTATTTTTAACTAATGGTAAATTCAACAAAAGTTTGAAAAAGAGGAGTTCTATATTCATTCCATTATAGCTTTTTAGATCATTATATATTTATCCCATTTCATGTGACCTAAAACTTAAGTGTTTTTGTGGTATCTGAGTAGTTAAAATCTAATGCTACTTAATCTGTAACTTTTTTTTGTGGAACCCATCACTAAACTACTTGTAAAAAAAGCAATGTGGCCGGGTGCGTTGGCTCACACTTGTAATCCGAGCACTTTGGAGGCGGAGGTGGGCGAATCACGAGGTCAGGAGATTGAGACCATGGTGAAACCCCGTCTCTACTAAAAATACAAAACAATTAGGCCAGGCACGGTGGCTCATGCCTGTAATCCCAGCACTTTGGGAGGCCGAGGCGGGCGGATCACGAGGTCAGGAGATTGAGACCATCTGGCTAACATGGTGAAACCCCGTCTCCACTAAAAAATACAAAAAAATTAGCCGGGTGTGGTGGCGGGCACCTGTAGTCCCAGCTACTTGGGAGGCTGAGGCAGGAGAATGGCGTAAATCTGGTAGGCAGAGCTTGCAGTGAGCCGAGATCGCGCCACTGCACTCCAGCCTGGGCGACAGAGCGAGACTCTGTCTCAACAAAAAAAAAAAAAAAAAGAAAGAAAAGCAATGTTAGTGCTTTCATTGTTTTCACATCTATTACTGATTATTTATGGGATTGTTTTTATATTCTTTAAACATCCAAGATATCTTTCACTGTTCTTGTTAGGTGCGTAAGTTGGAACAACCTCTCTCAAGCACTTTGACAGTACTTATCAACATTTTAAATATTCACAGTTTAAAACCTAGACATTTCACTTTTAGGATACTTATCTACAGGGATACTAAAAGAAATGAACAAAGATACATGTACAAAAATACTCACTAAAGTAGCATTTTAGGAAAATTGAAGTTCATGTAAATGTCTGTCAGCAGGCCAGGCACCATGACTCATGCCTGTAATCCCAACACTTTGGGAATCTTAGGCGAGTGTATTGCTTGAGTCCAGGAGTTTGAGATCAGCCTGGGCAACATAGCAAGACCCCATCTCTACAAAAAATAAAGCAAAAATTAAGTGGCTATGGAGGCACGTGCCTGTAGTTTCAGCTACTCAGGAGATTCGTTTGAACCTGGGAGGTCAAGGCTGCAGTGAGCCACGATTGTGCCATTGCACTCCAGCCTGAGAGCAACACAGCAAGACCATCTCAAAATGAATAAACAAATAAATAAATAGATAAATAAATAAATAAATGCAGGAACATGGTTAAATAAATATTGTCATATAAATACCATGTAATCACAATGAAGAGAGAAGACCTTAGAAAGATATTTAAGTTGTAGTATTAAGATTTTAAAAAAGAGGCCAGGCGTGGTGGCTTACCTCTGTAATCCCAGCAGTTTGGTAGGCTGAGGCAGGTAGATACTTGAAGTCAGCAGTTCAAGACCAGCCTGGCCAACATGGTGAATCCCCATCTCTACTAAAAATACAAAAATTAGCCAAGCATGGTGGCAGGCACCTGTAAGCCCAGCTACTCGGGAGGCTGAAGCATGAGAATTGCTTGAACATGGGAGGCAGAGGTTGCAGGGAGGCAGAGGTTGTAGGGAGCTGAGATCGTGCCACTGCACTACAGCCTCAGTGACAGAGTGAGACTCTGTCTTTTTTTAAAAAAAAAAAAGATTAAAAAAAAGAAAGGCATCCTGTTGTATATAATGTGCTTCCACATGTAGGATTATTCCATTACTGCAATGCTTGCAGATACATAGAAAAGGACTAGAATGTCAGCAGTGGTTTTTCCTGGTGGGGCTGTTACATGAAATTCAAGTCCTACAGAGCAAAAGGACACCTGGCTGAGGCAGTGAGTCCCCACTCACTTGTGGAATTGAATGACATTCTTCCATCCCACTTGTCCCCTGTCTAGTCATGGCCCTGGCAAATGACCACATATTCCCAGAGGAAGGGGTGCCTTTTTCTAGTTATCACGGAGGTTCCTGGTAGGCTCGTATCTGCCCTGACTCCTGGGGCCCGAGGGTTTATTTGAGGTAGAGCTGTGCAGCAGGAAGCTGCTTTCACTTTCTCATTTATATATTTTTGGTATCGTTTGCATTATTTTTGAACAAGCAAATATTCTTTTTATAAATTAAAAGGAAGTATAAAATGAAGTAAAATATAGTGATCGAAGAGACAGAAATACACAAACATATGAAGCATCAGACATACTGTAAAAGAATCCGTCTGTGGCAATCATGCTTGGTTTTCCACCAGTGAAATCTGAGAAAAGTCAGTGTAGTAATATATATGTGTACTGTTAATATCTCAAATTAAAATAACAGCCACTTCTCTAGGGTATTTCTTAAGTGACACAGTTTCTTGAGGAAGGACAAAAAAGAAGATTAAAGTGGGAAGGTTCCTTGAGGCAAACGAAATACCTGTCACTCGAACAAGTTAATGGGATCAAAATTAAGGAGGTGAAAATGGGCATTGTGTGCACCATGAGAGCAGAACTCTCAAAGCTCTGCAAACTCACTCCCTGGGCTGTAAGAGCCTGAAAATGAAGCCATTTGATTCGTGTAGCAAGTTTGTATAGATTTCCAAGTAGAAATCAGCTTAATGCTGAATTAATTTGACTTTCCCACTAATGTGGTAGGTGATGGTTGCTGAAGCCTTGGATATTTCCAGAGAAACCTACCTGGCAATTCTGATGGACCGGTCCTGCAATGGCCCCGTGCTGGTGGGCAGCCCCCAGGGGGGCGTCGACATTGAAGAGGTGGCTGCTTCAAACCCGGAGCTCATTTTTAAGGTATGTTTAAATTCCGGGCTACCTGCTATTAATTGATTGTTATTGTAGAAGCTGTTAAATATTTAATGGGGAGTCTAAGGCCAGGAGCACTAAATCTGTCTCTACAATTTAAGGTAAGAAGATGCTGAGCCCTTTTTCTTTCTGGGTATCCAGTTGAAAGTTGGGTGGAATCAAGGTATTCAGTGTTCAAGGACTTTTTATCTTTGCTTTTCCCACCCTTCCTTCTTTACTTCTTCCTGCCTTTTCTTCCTCCCTGATTCCTTTCCATCCAATCTTCCTCAAGAATTAACCAATGGGAGAGGACTGCTATATTTTCATTTCTTATGGTTAACTCTCTTTCATTTAATATTATATATGATCCGGAAATTCTCTCCTAGGAGATGAATGAATTCTCTTTTAGCAGATGTGAACTAGAAACTGTCTTGAGTTCTCTCAGTACTCTTGATGTAAACTAGAATCTTTATGAAGTCTAGATTCTATCAGTTTTTTTCAATCCTTGAAATCTTGACTCATTTATTGATATTAAGATTAGTTTCAAGTCAGAGATCTGAGGTCAAATTTAATCAGAGCACAAGTTTCTCAAAGTCTCCAAACCTCATTTTTAAATCAGTAAAATGAACATGGGGTGATTTCTACCATGTGAGATTATAAGGATTAAATGAGGTGATGTGTATAAAGTGCTTCTTAACCTACGTCAGCTATGAGGAGAAAAACATAAGTTTTCAGAACTAAAATTGAAGTTTTTAATCTGGGTTCTTGGGGTCAAAATTACATTACAATTTTCCACCAGAAACATTCATTATTTCTTTTAGAAAATGATTTTTTTGTTTCCCTTTGAGAAGGGGAGATTTTATTTCTTAAATCTCTTTGTCTAAATAATGTACAATAAACACCCACTTAGCATCCTCAACAGGTTCTTGGAAACTGCGACTTGAATGGAAACGATGTATAAGGAAACCAATGTTACCATACATAGGCTAATTGATATAAACAAGAGTTAAGTTCCTATAGCATATTTCTGCTCACAGAACATCACTCAACTCCTAAATAAAGACCAGCACACTTCTAATGTTACACATTAAAATAAATAGGAGCTATATGTACGTTTCAGAAAGATTTCATAAAAACAAGTAAGATAATTGTTTATCCAGTTTTTCCAGCTTAGGGTCTCTGATGGCTGGAGCACAGGGTGCAAGGTAAGAGCCCACCCTGGATGGGACACCATCCCATTGCAGAGCACACTTACACACCACACCCACTCAGACTGGGACTGTGTATACATGCCAGTTGACCTAACATGTACAGATTTGGGATGTGGGAGAAAACCGGGGGACCCAGAGAAAACCTACTCAGACAAGAGGGGAATGTGTAGACTACACAGAGACAGTGGCCTTGGCTGGGAATTGATTTTTTTTTTTCTCAACCTTATAACAAAACGACCTTGAATGAAGTAACGTTATTTGAAGACCTGCTGTACTCATACTGCAGTGATTGGTTTTAAAATATTTTCACTAATATTATATAATAAGTTAATTACCTTGGAAACTGAATTGAGACTTTATATGCAGACTTACCAACAACACCTAGCTGTTTTCAAAGTTCACATTATTTAAAGCAGGCCATTCCATTTGTTAAGAGAATGCATGAAATAATGTATAGTGACAGTGCTCGGTGTCTTTGAGACAATATCATTTTGTAGAGCTAAGGTAACAGTAATAATTATCATCAATAGAGTGTTTAAATCATAAGGTAATATTTAACCTATCTATGACAGGCTTTAAACTTAACTACTAGTAGGCAGGAAAACCTTACTTTGGAAACCTTCCAAAAGATGTCAAAAAATTAACTGACTAAATATTCATCAATGCCATCTGTATAGTAATTAAAAGTGAAAACTGGCATCAGATTTTCTTGTCAGCATGCCACCATGAAGAATTATATAGTTTTTGGAAGGGCTTTTTTATAGATGGTCTGCTAATTAAAACATACCCTACAGGCATCTGCGGTAGCCCTGCTCAGAGATCTCTGGATAGATGCCACACTTTAATTACTCATTTGCAAATAAATACTAAGCATTTTCTTTTGAGGTTGTAAATCTTCTCAGTTGACTGTCTGAATTTTGTTTATTTGATTTATTTTTACTAGGAGCAAATTGACATTTTTGAAGGAATAAAGGACAGCCAAGCTCAGCGGATGGCCGAAAATCTAGGCTTCGTTGGGCCTTTGAAAAGCCAGGTATATAAGCCATTGGGGGATGGTGTGTCTGACTTGTTTCAGAAAACATTTGGGAACTTGCTTCATTGCCTCTAGTGTTTGTGATTACCAGGAAACAGGATTATTTATTGTTTTATAATTTTTTCCTCCAGCTGTTTATGATGAAGAAAAATATTTCCCTGATGTTTTAAAAGAGGATGTTTATGATGTGTCTTTGAATGTGTTTTGGTATGTGTGTGCATGTGTATTGCATGTGGACACATACACTTCATGATAGATGGTAATCTCTATTTTTTCTGTAGCATTGCTGGTACTTAGCCACCTGGCAGGCATGTGATACAGCTCATTCGAACTTTAGTTTCATCATCTATAAAATGGGAATGATGACAACTCCCGAGAGGCTTATTGTGGGGATTCAGTAGAATAATGTGTAAAAGTCCTTATTGTACTGCTCCATAAAGGTCTGTTCTTAATGGTATTAATATTAATAATACATGTTATTTAGCTAATTGCTATTCTTTCATAGCTAATGGGCATTTGAAATGAATATTGATGGCATAAACTTGATATTTTATTGAGAACAGCTTAAAATATGCCAATTTTGTAATAATATCCCTTGGCTTCAAAGACCAAAACATTGGCCTCAGAGCTGTTGAGGGACAGAATCTGTCTTAGTATCGTCCCCTGCTCTGCCTTTGTTCCAGCCCATGGCACCTGATTATGTGTCTAGTGGGGCAAGCTTCCTAGTCCCACAGCTAAATCAGATAAACTTACTTGTTCCTTCCTCTGTTACTCAGAGAGGCCACCTTAATGGCCCTAGATTGTGTGTATGTGTGCATGTGTGTATGTTCTCTGGCCTGGGGCTTTATGAAAAGGTTACAGAGTATGTCCTTTAATTTGGTTGGGCAGCACTATTCCCATAAGACAGTACATGATGCACTCTTTTCTTTCTGTCTTGTCTTTTTCTTTTGATTGACTCTCTCTGGAAGTTTAATGGCAACAGTAGGCAAGTCAAAGAGGGATAAAACAGAATAAGGTTTTAAAAAATATATATGCTTAAATGAAGGGAAACCACT
Organism: Homo sapiens; assembly: GCF_000001405.40. Lineage (NCBI taxonomy): Eukaryota > Metazoa > Chordata > Mammalia > Primates > Hominidae > Homo > Homo sapiens. The sequence goes on along the minus strand of NC_000003.12, from coordinate 67,517,191 downwards.
TACTTGAAAATGAATAAAGGCTCACTTTGAAAGCAAAAGATTGAAGATGGTAGAATGGAACAGGGTCATCTGGAACTAAACCTCAGGATGAGAGAGAAAGGGCCAGGATTCGATGGACAGTTAGAGGAACTAATTGCCATTTCTGAGACTAGCAAAGAGATGCCAGGAAAGTGATCTGTTGAAAGGAAGATCCTGGAAGATTCCTGAATATGTGCTACAGTGGTTGGTTTCACCTCCTGAGAATGAGGATACCAGCTACATTAGCCATTCATTTGATGTTTATTAAGGGGCTTCTCCTGTAGCAGTGGTGGTCACCAAGAGCCCGTTTTCCATACAGCCACTGTGGTCTAGCTGCACTGTCTGGCAGTCAGCTCCAGAGTTGCACAGTGACCCTGTCTGCCTCCTCCATATCACTTTGGACATCTGTATATTTCTCTTATTTATTTGCAGTCACCTTTGCTAGATCCTAATCTTTACCACGGCAGGGACTTTGTCCATCCTACTCACTGCTGTGTTGCCAGCAGCTGGCAAAGTGCTTGGCATCTATTTTTATTGCCCAAGAAACATTTGTCATGTGCATGACTAGGTGAAACAACACTTCTAGGTGTCCACTTTGAAGAAGTTCCTAGAGGCTCAGCAATAGGTGGCTTTTCATGGCAGATAAATAAATCTGGAGTGGGCAAAATCTGCTGACCACATATTTAAAAGCTCAGGAGGTGAACATAATAGAGAGTTCTAGAGAAGTTAATAACAGTATAATGTACATCACAAGATACTGCCCCCTCACTACATATTATACGAGAAAATTAAGAGTTATTTACAGCTCTTAAATGGCTTATTCTTGTTTTCCTGGTACCTGAAACACTCTAGGTTTTAAATGAGTTACCTATGGAAGGAAGACGAATATGTGAGAACTGAGGGATAAGTAAGTGGCCATATTGTCAGTATACCTTTGAATTAATTTATCGAGGAAAGGAAATAAAATGTTTTAATTTGTTTTTTTCTTTTTTCACTGCTAACTCCATGAAAGGCTTTAAATCTTCATTTTCTCAGCAGCTTGGAATGAGCACTGATAGGGTGCTGCTCAGTCTGCTGTGCCTTGGGGAAAAGAGACAATGAAAAATAACCATTGTTCCTCAGGGGCTCACAGACCGGTAGATATCTGCCTGCTGGCTGAGAGGATACAGGAAGAGGGACGGATAAAGGAATGTGAAGGAGAGAGTGGGGGAGGGGGCAGCGGGCAGAGGGAGAGAGAGGTTGATCTCAGCTGTAGACATGTTGGAAGTTGTTCATCTAGGGACACCTGAGTGTATTTCTACAGTAGAAGGGATATATGGCTTGGGATCCCAGGGAAAGCTGTGCATTAGAGTTGTAGGCTTGGGAATCTCTGCTTTATGGGGCTTGCTCAAGCTGTGGGGATTAGTGAAATGCTCTAGAGGGCCAGTGTACAATGAGCAGATGGGACAGTGTAGAAGGGAAAACATTTAAACAATCATCAATGATCTTTTCCTAAGGAAATAGTATCTTAGAGGTACCTTAGGTTCAACGTGACTTTGAAAGTTAAGTTACTTAATTTTCATCTAGGATGTGGTTTAGGCATTTGGAGGTACCTCACTCATGGTTGAATATCATATAAAATGATAGTCTTATAAAATTATTAATATCTTTCCTGTGACTCATGCCTGTTGTCTCTAAAATGTGATGAATATTAGACATAACAAAAATAAAGATGATACTTTGCTTTACATAAAAATTACCAGTGTTTGTTCCCAACCAAAGTCTCTTTCTGTGAGAATTTGTTGAAAAACGTTAAGACATAGGAAAGCTTAATATAGTAGTTCCCCCTTATCTGTGGAGGATACGTCCCAAGACTTCCAGTGGATGCCTGAAGCTTACCTACTACCAAACCCTATATATACTCTTTTTTTCTGGATATTCTAGATATTTATACTTAGGATAAATTTTGACTTATAAATTAGGTACAGTAAGATATTAACAACAGTATGAAATAGAACAATAGCAATATACTGTAATAAAAGTGATGTGAATATGGTCTCTTTCTCAAAATACCTCATTGTACTGTACTCACCCTTCTTGCGATGATGTGAGATGATGCAATGTCTACATGGTAAGACGTGGGGTGAGTGATGTGAGCATTGCGATGTAGCATTGGGCTTCTCATGACCTCCTGGCAATACTTCGTGAGGGACATCTACTTTGGATGATCCTGGATCATCAAACCATGGGTGTCAATGGCTGGATGTCAGGAACAGATGATGTCAATGGTCAGGGATCCTGGATAGCTGAAGGTTTTTCACCACAACCTTTTAGAAGAACATCATAATTAGAAGTTTGTCTCTTTCTTTTTAGGTCATCTAAGTGTGGCTGTAGAGGTTGTAATCCGTCAGTGACTTTAGTGCTGTGTTCCATCCAAGGATCTTATTCCATAATTTTGTCCTTTCCATTTAATAACTTGGACCTCAGTAGACCATGGGTAACTAAAACCACAGAAAGGGAAACTGAGGATAAAGGGTGACTATTGTATGACTGAAACTTACAAGTTTGTCAAGTGTGTCTTAATTATCATCTATACTGTTCATTTCTGAAAACATGAGTGCCACGAATTGTCAACATGTGCCTCTAAGGTTTAGGCTGATGAAAAGATCGGATGGTCCAAGTCAGTGCAAGATCACTAACACCTCTTGAAGTGGTTTGTACTTCTGGCTAGATTTGAGAGGCGTACGTGAATATTGATGATAATTTCTGGAATGCAAGAAAAATATTTAAAATTCTTAACCTGTTGAGATTTTTGTTTGATTAATAGACGATTTATTTCAGCAAGAATACACATAGTCATCATTGCCAGACTTAATATGAGATGTTAAATGTTTGATCCAATTTTCCTTCCTGGATAAGTTTTTCTTTCCTATTCCTGTCAGTTTTGAATACATCATACCAGAAGAACAGGTGCCTAATTCCACACAAAGCTCCCAAGAGTGAGTTTTTAGGGGTGAAATTAGGATAGACATTTGCTGATCTTGCATAGGTCCAACAAATCAAGGCAGGATCTTCAATGAGCCGTCAGCAGTTAGGGTCGTTGTACTGAAGCAAGTACTGCTGTTTCAGCTGTGCTCTTATGGCCAACCGCTCGGCTTGCGCCTGCTGGGTTTCCAGGGATATGTCGTATTCCGCTGGGTAGAGGGTCGAGGGTGGAGTGGCCAGGCGCGATGGAGTATACTTTGGGAATGGCATCTTGGCGATGCAGCGCACAACTGTGCCTGCACGATTCTGAGGCCATTCCTCCTTATGCTCCTTTTGAGACATTTTTAAAGATTTTTATAAACTTGTCAGATTTTCATGTACGTATATTTGATTTTACGAATTTTAATTTTTAAAAATTACTTAACAGACAAAATAACAATTGATGGCAAAAGTGCAGAAAAACTTTTTGTACGCAGTGGTTATGAGCTGAGAAATAGATGGCAGTAGTAAGCGACTGACTGCAAGTTGACCAGGAGAATGTTTTCTTTGACCTGTGCTTATTTTTAACTTTTGTAGAAAGTGGGAATACTAATCTCAACTTGCCACATGCCATGCCATTCCCTGTTACACCTGGTCACACACATTCTGTCTGCTTAGCCCTTATAACCATTTAGTGAATAGCCTCTGGAATAAGACATCTTACAAGGGTTTGTCATTGTGAGATCTACAAGGGAGAACCAGCTTGGTTTGGAGATGTCTCCAAGATCAGATTATGTTTTAGTCTTGCTCAAAAAAATTATGGTCTGCCTTTGTGCAACAGTAAAAATTAAAACAGAAAATATCCCCAAAATGCTGTGCTAATGTATAATTACAATGGGATTAATGTGCAGAAAATGCAGCCTTGTACTAAGCAAAATTGGTGTAGGCTTAAGAAGTTCTGAAACAATTTAAGTGTGTATCTGTGGATGAATGGATAAACAAAATGTGGTATATACTATAATGGAACTTTACTGAACCTTGTAAAAGAAGATTCTGACACATGCTGCAGTATGGATGGGGCTTGAGGACATTATGCTAAGTGAAATAAGCCAGTTACAAAAAGACAAACACTGGATGATTCCACAGGTATCTAGTGTATGTATATATATGCATATCTTTTATTTTATGTATGTATGTATATAGAGATCTCTAATATCTCTATATATCTGGTATCTATATATATCTATACGTATTATCTATATACATATATATGGAGATATATATGGAGAGATATATATGTGCGTATATATAGAGGGGGGTGTGTGTGTGTGAAAATATATATATATATGGAGATGGAGAGAGAGGCAGAGAGAGAGATGCTATCTAGAATAGTCAAATTTATAGACACAAAGTAGAATGATGTTGCCAGAGGCAGTGGGAAGAGAAGAACGGGAGTTTGTTTAGCGATACAGAGTGTGAGGGAAGATGAAGAAGTTCTAGGAATTGGTTGCACAGCAATGTGAATGTACCAACTTGACCCTGCAGAACTGTGTAGACAAAAATGGTTGAGATATGGTGAATTTTATGTTTTGTATATTTTATCACAATTTTTTAAAAAGGAAGTTTTGAAGTAGCTGGATTAGATTATACATATATATATATATGTGTACCCAGAAGTTATTTCTATTATGTAGTCCCCACTTAGAACTGAATTAATCTTTAATTCAACCGATATTTATCGAGTGTTGACTCTGCAGAGGTTGTATCACTACAGTGGATGCCAAGGTGCCCAGGATACATAAGATGCCTGCCCCATGCAACTCACATTGCAAGGTCACATTGATGACCTAGAAAACCCCCTAAAATACAAAAAATATTCCGCAATGAAGTATTTGCTGGCTTCGCACTTTAACTCAAATTTTATTTGGATTAAAAAAATGGAAGAAATTATAAAGAATACTAGAAAAAATAATGGGAGAATTTTTAAAAATACTCTCAGAATGGGACTAGCCTTTTAAAAGTCTGACACAAAGCCAGAAGCCATATAAGAGTGACATTATTGTGAAATTTCCATGTGGCAAAAGTAACAAAAGCATGTTCAAAAGGTAAATGTTAAAGGGGCTGAGACAAGAGGATTGCTTGAGACCAGGAATTCAAGAGCAGCCTGGGTAACATAGCGAGACCCCCATCTCTAGAAAAAATTAAAATAAAAAATTAGCTCAGCCTAGTGGCATGTGCCTGTAGTCCAGCTATTTGAAAGGCTGAGGTGGGAGGATCATCTGAGCCCAGGAGTTCAAGGCTGCAGTGAGCCATGATTATGCCAGTACGCTCCAGTCTAGGTGACAAAGCAACACTCTCTTGTACACACACACACACCCCCCCACACACGCACACTCACACTCTTCCTATAAATTAATAAGGGACCAAAATCTCAATAGAAAAATAGGCAAAATTCACACAAAAAAAATAAGATGTCTCTTAAACTCATAGAATAATGCCTAAACTCATTCATAATAAAATAAATTCAAATTAAAACTATATGTGAGTGTACTCGTCTGTTCTCACGCTGATAATAAAGACATACCCGTGACTGGATAATTTATGAAGGAAAGAGGTTTAATTTACTTACAATTCCACATGGCTGGGGAAGCCTCACAATCATGGTGGAAGACGAAGGAAGAGTGAAGGGACTTCTTACATGGTGGCAGGCAAGAGAGCTTGTGCAGAGGAACCCCCCCTTTATAAAACCACCAGATCTCGTGAGACTTACTCACTATCATGAGAACAGCATGGGAAAATCCCGTCCCCATGATTCAGTTACCTCCCACTGGGTCCCTCCTGCAACACGTGGGAATTATTACAATTCAAGGTGAGATTTGGATGGGGACACAGAGCCCAACCATACCAGTGAGATACCCTTTTTCACCTAACACACTGACAAAGATACAAATGGCTAATGATTGTGAATTGGAAAATAGTGTCTCTGATAATTTTCACTTTTTAGGAGTGGAAATCAGGGACAGCTTCTATGAAGAACAATTTAGGCCGGGCGCAGTGGCTCATGCCTGTAATCCCAGCACCTTTGGGAGGCTGAGGTGGGCAGATTACGAGGTCAGGAGATTGAGACCATCCTGGCCAACGTGGTGAAAACCCGTCTCTACTAAAATATAAAAAATTAGCCAGGCTTGGTGGCACACCTGTAGTCCTAGCTACTCGGGAGGCTGAGGCAGGGGAATTGCTTGAACCCGGCAGGTGGAGGTTGCAGTGAGCTGAGATCGCGCCATTGCACTCCAGGCTGGCAACACTGCAAGTCTCGGTCTCAAAAAAAAAAAAAAAAAAAAGAACAATTTAACAGAACCTTTTGATGTTTAAAATGGCTACATTCCTTTTTGCTTCACTCTGGGTAATTTATCCTACAAATGTTTAATCACATGTATGTTAAATATACAGAGATAAATAAGGCAGTGCTGTAATGTCAACCTATTAGAAACAATGCAGTTGGTCATTATTTAAGTGAAAGGTTAAAGGAATTATAGCATATCAATACAGTAAGATATTATTTAGTCAATTAAAAAGATATGATTGATCTACCTGTGTTGCTGATGAAGTGTCTCTAAAATTCTGTTAAGTAAAGAGGTATTGGAACAAGTTTGCTTTTTTAAGACAGATGAAGGAGGAATGCGTACTGTGTTAGGCATAGACTGTCTCTCATATGAAGGCTAAATTTATGAGTTGGCTGCCACTGGGGGCCTGTGTGGTTGAGTGGTACAATCAGGGAAAACCCTTAAGTTCTTCGGGAATTTTGTATCATATACATGTATTATCTACCTATGCAAATATTTAATATTAAAAATATTTAATCATACTCATTATGTGGGTTCGTTTATATCTACTAGCCCTCAAATTTGGATTTAAAAATGTTTGTAGGTGTTTATAAAATACATTAAGATAGCATGAATTAAATCTGGAGTTCTTCAGTCAAATCTGGAACCACTTGCAATATTTACACCAGTGGGGATTTACTTTAGGGATGTGTTTCATAGGCGCTGCAAGAGCTGAGTACTTTAAGAGTTGACAGAAAGGCAACCTAAAGCATATCCAACCACATGCTCCAGGAACAAAAATGAGGCAGTGGTGTTACTGGACCTTGTATACAGAAGCTAGAGCCCTGGTGGGCTTCTCCAGTGGGAGCAACAGCCAGAGGAGGAGGTGCTGCCCAGATAGAAAGAGAGGAGTGGAAGTACCCTGGCTCTTCCCTTCTTCCCACCTCCATCTCTCACCACTGCTTGCCATTGGCTGACCCCAGCTGGAAACCAGCTGACCCAGGAACCTAGAAAACTCAGCCTGTAAGAGTCACCTTCTCTGATATACAGAGTAGAGTTGGAGAACTGAAAACGGATCTGCTGCAAGTAATCCGAGGCTGGCACAATGAGTGAAATGTGGCAGTGGGAAAACTTTGGCTTGGAAAATGGAGCTGGGAATGAGACTGATACCTAATTCTTCTCCACGATCCACCCTCTTGCTCTGTGCATCACATGCTCCTTTTGTTATTGCCAGGAGCTTTCCAGGGTAGGGGCATGGCTCATTCATGCTCTTATTTCAAGCGCCAGCTCACAAGATACCAGCTTGCTGTGTCATAGGCAGTGGAGAAATGTTGGTTGAAAAGAATGAATGAATGAATGAGTGAATTTCAAGCAGAGGTGAGAAAAATGAAGTCAGGGCATAACAGGGCAACCTTGGATATTCTTGCCCTTTGTGGTTAATGCCTTTGGGACAAGCTATTTTCAGTTTGAACTTGTGCTGTTCAGTAACTACACTATTAAGCACTTTCATCTTCCTGTTTTGCAACAATTTTCATTAGACACTCAGTAATTGTTGTTTCACAGATTATGGGTTGGATTGATGAATATAATAACTGTTTTATTTCAGCACAATAAGGAAAACCTAGTCATTATAAACTCTCAAAATCATGTTTACCTTTTACTTAAATGGAGCTTGTTTGTATTAATGATTGTAATTTATATTGCAGCATAACTCTGCTAATAGAGACATGATAATTTACAAAAAGATTAACAACGTTTTAGGCCGTACTGAAAATATTTTCTTTTCTTGATAATGGTCTCTTCTGGTGTCTAGAGGAGAGCTGAGCAATTCCTTTTAATGAATAGCAGTGGAAATTAAAATAATTATGCTTTTCTGTTTTTCCCTTCAGAAAACCTAACTGAAAATAAAGACATAACTTGCTATTTTTAAGGTTTCATTAATCCAGCAAAATAAATTTTCTTTTACTGCTTTGGTGTAATTCTATTTCACTTGATCACATTTAGGCTGCAGATCAAATTACGAAGCTGTATAATCTCTTCCTGAAAATTGATGCTACTCAGGTGGAAGTGAATCCCTTTGGTGAAACTCCAGAAGGACAAGGTAAAAAAAAAAAAGAATTGAGAAAACAAATGAATGTATTATAATTATTTATGCAAACTATAAATTGCACAAAAGACTGTAGCAGCAGCTTTGCATAAATTTCTTTCAGTAATTTAATTTCTGCCATAGTTTGAAATGCTCCCATGATGCAGTTGAACATTTCAGCACTTAGGTTTGTTTGTAGCCAAATGCCAAGCCTCTAAGGAAGCTACTGCTTGTTTTACTTAAAAACATTCAGGCTTGGTGTGGTGGCTCATGCCTGTAATCCCAGCACTTTGGGAGGACAAGGCGGGAGGATCACTTGAGGCCAAGACTTTGAGACTAGCCTGGGTAACATATTGAGACCCTGTCTCTACAAAAATAATAATAATAATAATAAATAATAAAAGGAAAGAAACATTCGTTCACCTCTTTCTCTCCACCTTATTTTTTTAGGCCCATCACTGCTGCTACTAAGGTAAAGATTTGTGTAGAAATGGGAGCCACACACTTGGGTGTAATGAAGGCATATGCCTTTATGGAACTGGAACTTTTCGAACGTCTTTAGTTTGCCTAAATCTGTATATAATTTCACCTTGTGTTCTGGGCTGGATTTATATCACCTTGGTAAAGCCCCAAGTCCCCCCCAGTTGAACTCTTTCACCTTACTTGGAGAGCAGTTTCTGCTTCAGGCAGGAGGAGGTGGCATTTTTGTGGTGAAGGTTTCTCCTATCCATCAGGTAGTTGTAGAGTATAAATAACTTTTATATATCAGTACCTACCACCACTGCACTGTTTCTTGCATACAGCAAATATTCCATAAGTTCTTATTAATTTGATAGCAAAAGCTTGTAAATGTGTGTGTGGTAAGGGGTAAAGTGGAGTTCTACACACAAATTCACAAGCTTTTGCTGTCAAAACAGTGGAATGGCAGGTGGATAGGATAGGGATACCAGACTGTAAGCACCATGAACCTTTTCTTTTTTAGTACATTTCACCTCCGGTGTCTTGCATGTTGTCTAGCTTGTTACAGTCAGTAAATAGTAATTTGCATTGAATTGTTAACTGGGGTGAATCATTATGTGTAAACACATCAACTTTTGGACCAAGACGGATGAGACAATATTTTCTCCTTAGCACATTTCAGAGATTCTGTAGCTAGACTCAGAGAAACTACACTATCATTTCCTTCGAACCCAGAGAGGCCTAAGTATAAATTCTGTATCTGCCATGTTTTGGCTACGGATCTGGGCAAGTTATTTAGCCTGCCTAAGTTTCAGGTCTTTTTTTTTTTTTTCAATCTTTTCAATCAAATAAGTGGTAGAAATGATGTCTAGCTCATAGAGTGTTGTGAAAATAAGATGAAATCATATATGAGTATGCATGCAGTGTCAGATACAAAATAGGCTAGTCCCTAACATTCATAAAATGAAATTCCTCTTCTCAGGTAGTCTCAGAGTAGCCCAGGAATAGTATAGATTTCAGACGAGAACAAGCAAAGATTTTATGTTTAGGAAGCCATTGAAGATAATATATTTCATGATTTATACAGATGACCATCCGATAGAAATCTGTGCTTGCTCATTTATAAACAAGCTACCTTTATTCATAAATATTTTTTTTAAAGTTGCTATGGCTATCAAATTGTGTGTATTTTATAAAGCTAAGAAAGGAAGGGGAAGAAGCTGTTTCTTGAGCTTATATGCCAGACACTGTGATAAGCTTATACCTATATTCTTTCATATTGTTTACCACAACCCTGAAAAATTAGGAGTTGTTATCCCCATTTTATAGAGGATTGAGAAACCATTGTGACTGTCCCAGGGGCTAGTCAGAAGTTACAAAAGCTGGGATTTGAACCCATGTCCCTCTGAGTCCAGCGTGCATATTGATTCTGATACTCCAGACTCAACTGCAGCTACCTGCCTTTTCTACTTTCTCCCATTTAAACTACTTATTTGCTTTCACGTACATGACCTAGAAGTAGTCTCCAGTTTGGCAGGGAATACCAGTCAGAATTCATGTTGACAATTAAATCCAAGAAATGAAGGAGAAGGTTTAACAAAAGTTCTTAAAGGTCATATATTGCTTTTTCAACTAGTATACACAAGCAGCCTGGTTGCTTTGCATGAAGAAAAATGGAAATGTAGCTGTAGCTATGGAGTGGGATAAAAATGGCTGCAATACATTTTTTATTCAACCCTTTGGGAAGCAGTCACGAGCTGTGTTCTCGCTTCAGGGAACAGGGGTATGGGAACCTTTTCTTAGACTGTGTTTATAAAACGTCATGAGTCTGAAGTTTGATTTTTAATTATTAAGAGAATGGAAGAGTCTTGAGATTTTTTTTTAAGGGAATCATCATAAAACATTATATACAGTTCATTAAAACATAAGTCTTATGTGATATTTTTAAGAGCAAAATTATCTTTAGTTATTAATTTGTTCATTGTACCATAAAAGTTCAGCAATTGAATTATAATCACAATTAAATGAGTATGTTGGTTTATAACTCTAATGAGCAGTAGTCAAATTAAACCCAATTAGGAAATGGTGATTAATGACCAAATGTACAAATTGATCTTCATCATTATCACAGTCCCCTCAAGCTATCTTTTATTTAGAAGCTGTAAAAGCAGTCATTTATATTTTAGCAATATTGATAATCTTAATATTTATAATCTGAGTATTTGTTAGTTCTGTTTAGATCAGTAGTAGCAGAACATTTCACGGTAAAATTTCCACATTGAAACTTTGATTTAATAATTATTCTTTAAATTTAAAAGTTTAAGGAGCTCAGCATCACATTGTACCAGCTCTTTTTTGTTGTTGTTGTTTCTTTTTCTTTTTCTTTTTCTTTTTTATTTTTGAGACAGGGTCTCACTCTGTCGCCAAGGCTGGAGTGCAGTGGTACAGCCTCAGCTCACTGCAGCCTCCACCTCCCGAGTTCAAGTGATTCTCCTACGTCAGCCTCCCGAGTATCTGGGATTACAGGCGCCCACCACCGCGCCCAGCTAATTTTTGTATTTTTAGTAGAGACGGGGTTTCACCACGTTGGCCAGGCTGGTCTCGAACTCCTGACCTCAGGTGATCCACCCACCTCGGCCTCCCAAAGTGCTGGGATTACAGGTGTGATCCATTGTGCCTGGCCTGTACCCACCTCTTTGTAGGAAACTTTTTTTGACCTTCCATTGGTCAGTGAGTGCTATTTTTAATAATTCAGGTTATTGTTCATATATTTGTACAACAAGTGATGCCGTGTTGAGTGAAGAACAAGGGCCTTGATAACATCTATGCTGCTAAGTCACCCATAGGGAATTTTTGACACGGAGAAAGAACTGCAGTCCAAGAGCTCTTTTTTCCTATGTGATTAATAATCTGATTCAAAAAATATAATTTGACACTACTAACTGCAATGTAGTTTAGTGACTCTTAGCTAGGATTATAATGGTTGCTAATGACAGAAAGTTATATTAGCTTTGTTTTTGTTAAAAAGTTATATTCCTGTAACAGGGAAGTCTAAGGTGTGGACTGGCTTAAGGCCTGAAGAGAATCAGGGATTTGCTGGTTCTCCAGCCCTGCTTGCCTCCAAATTGGCTTCTTTCTCAGCCAGGCTCTCAGAAGCTGGCAGCAAAGATGGCTCCCAGTGCTCCATAACTCTCCCTCAGCAGCCCCATAAATCCCTTCAAATGATTCTCATTGACCCTGCTTGGGTCACATGTCTATGCCCATGCCAGCCACTGAGCAAGAATCATATGGTATAGGAGACATACAGTTTCTTAATGGAAGAAGGGACACTGAGTCAAAACATGCCTACCAGAAAGATGCAACCTTATTGAAACAAAAATAAACTGTTACTTAGTCAATAGAAATTAATCGTTATTTTCCTTGTTTGTCCAAATGCAGTGCCAATTCATTCATTAATTCTGCAGCCAAGCAAGAAGCAATGTTTTATCATTATTTATTTATTTATCTACCTGCGCATTCATGTATTCATTCATTCATTTTGCTAGCCACTGTGAAATTTCATGTCATATTTCTTCTCACCTTCAGCCAGCTCTATCTGTACACAGACTCCTTTTTCTGATGTCTTTAAAGCAAGTTGTACTCCATGGGAAGGGTGGGCATTTTGTCCCCCAGGGAACATTTTTAGTCATCACAACTTGGAGGCTATGCTACTGGCGTGGATAATGCTAAACTACAACGCACAGGATGGTCCCTGTTCACAGAGAACGACCTCACCCAATCTGTCCATAGTCTAGAGATTAAGAATTCTTGCTTTGGGGCATCTTCATCAGTTGGAAGCTGAAATCCATTCACTGGGCCAAAGGAATGAGATCCAATTTGAAGCAGTGACTATCTGGCTAAGATTCCGTGAGAATTAAAGCTGGGTGATCCACAGTTAACTGGCACATCAAATTCCTTTCTTTCTTCGGATTGATTTCCCTAAATAACCACCCCGTTGCTTCTTGTTAGCAAGTGCCCATGTTGTTGGTGGGTGTTTCTCTGTTTCTGTCTTTATACACAAGACTCTATTTTCAAGAACATTTTCGGTTCTCTACCTCCCCCAACCCCCCTACCCACCCCATACCTATTTTCTCTTTTCACAGCCACTAAAAAAAAGTTCTAAAAAGTATACAACTCTCAGAACATCAATATTTAATGGGAAGTGGGACTAATTTGAAAGTATCAGCATTTTAAGGCCATTTTGGCAAGGCGTGTTTCAATAGTACATTATGGTTATTTATCACAAATCAAACGCAGTACGTTGCTTGAAGACAGATTATTTTTCAAACTAATTATGATAGTCTTATTTCCTGCTGTTTTATGTTCCTTTTATGTGTAAGTTTCCCCTCTGAAATGTATTCTTCTTTTGTTTAATTCTGTGACACATTCTTCTGTTAAAATTCTAGGGTCAGAGGCCTCTAACTGCCAGTCATGTTTTCTATCGAGATTGTTGAATTAGCAGCTCACAGAATCTCACGCCACTAAACAAAACAACAAAACACCCTATGCATATAAGTACCACAGCTTTCTTTGATATTCGTTCAGAAGGAAAATACATTTGTATAATCTATCAAGCATGTAACAATGTGCTTTTGATGGTGAAAATTGTTTTATAAATATTAATAGGTATGTTTCTTTCACCCACTTTGTATAAAAAATGGCCTTTGTTCAAGATGAATTTTCTTTAGAATTGAGTTTCATTAATGTGACGTTGACAATCTTAAGGTCCGGACCAAGCTCAGCACCTCTGAAAATGCATTTTGTATTGTTTGTTGTTTTATTAAATGAGAAAGCTAAGGGTTTAAGCAGGCAAGTTTATTTTATCGCCCTGCTGTTGACATAGACATCAATCCATTTTTAACACGTCAATTCAAGAAGTGCATTTAGAAGCGTCTTACAGGAGGAAATAAGCATGTAAGAGTCAGTTAGTATTCCAGGATTAATCTACTCCTTTTGCGTAGCCACAGGTTTTTATTTATTTTCTTTGTTATTTTACTTTTTTTTTGGTTTTCATGTTAATGGAATGCACTTTTTCTAAGTTTCTCCTTCACTATAAAATATGACACCTGTGTATCTATCACTTGGTTCACACAAGTGGATACAAGTGTGAGAACTGTGACTTAGCAGGGATTGGCAAACTTTTTCTGTCAAGGACCAGTTAGTAAATATTTGGGGGTTTGCGGGCCATACAGTCTGTATTGCAACTACTCACCTCTGCTTTTGTCTTGGGAAGGCAGCCATAGGCAATATGAACGAGGCTATGTTCCAATCTGTTATTCATAAAAATAGGGCTGGCTTGAGGGTCTTAGTTGCTACCCTTTGCTTAGATCTTCATTTGGAGCTATTCTGTACCAATCTTTAGCCTTGGCCTTATGCACAGGTGTGATGTGATTTGAGAGTCACCAACAGCCTATTTTACCCTTATCTTTTAGCCAAAAATCTTGTTTTCTACTATTTATGATGCCTAAAATGCCAACTATTAATATTCTTCCTTTGGGAAAATTCTTATTCATTCAGAAGATGGCTTTTTATTGAAAACCATGGGTAACCTGTACATATGTAAACTATGGGAGACATTTGCTTAGATTTGCTCTAAACAGAAATCTCAGATTATAAAGGAACAGATAATTTTTATTGTTAGGAAGAGAGGAGAGTTCTGTAGCCTGGGCTACAATAATGGGAAGCTCTTAAGTATAAAAAAGCATGTGCATATTAGAGGGTGGTGTGGTCGTCTAACAACCTGCTAGTACCCACTGTCTAGGAAGCTAAGCGCTTTGCATACAATCTCTCCTGCCACCAACACCTAGAGTAGAACATACTCTGATCCCCATTGTATAGACAAGGCTCGGGTTTAAGAGAGGTTAATGTGCTTAAGGATAGCTGGCTAGGAAGTGCCAGGAGTTGTCATTTATACCCTGATATTTTTGATGCCAGTCTATATTAAGTGGTCAGGTTCAAGGAAAATCATTTAGATGGCACAACATTGTAGATAGTAAGATAGGAAAGCACTTTGTTTGTTTGGTACTATGTATAATAGGGAAAAACAAACATTTTTCTCCTACCAAACTCTCAACACAGAAGAACACTTCTTGGACCAGATGTGTGAGTTTTTCCAACACTGACTAATCTCTGACACTAGCTAGGTATCCTATGATTCAATTCAATTCTTTTACCATCTACCTGGAATTAGAGTCAGATCCCATAGGTTAAGGGGTCAGTCTTATCAGACTGACTCCACTTTGGATGTCATTTGTAAGACCAAGCCTCTGGTACTTCTGATGAACCAGCTGTAAATTGGGGGTTCTTAGGACTCCCTCCTTGTGCCCCATCATTTACTAGAATGGCTCTCAGAACCCAGGGAAGCACTTTACTTACTACTGCTGATTTATTATAAAGGTTATTTTATTTTTTATCTTATTTTTTTATAAAGGATATTTTAAATGATACAAAGGAATAGCCAGATGAAGAGGTATATGGGGCAGGGTATGCATGAAGGGGTGACAAGCTTCCCTGTACTCCACAGGTGAGCCACCCTGTAGCACCTCCCTGTGTTTGGCAACCTGTAAGCTCTCCAGTCCCCTGGAGTTGAGAAATTTTTATGGAGGCTTTATTACATAGGGATGATCTGTTATTCTTTCTGGAGCATGGAGGTGGGGCTGAAATTTCCAAGCTTCTAATCATAGTTTGGTCTTTCTGGCGACCAGCCCCATACAGAAGCCTCCACCAAGACTTACCTTAATAGAACAAAAGACTCTCCTATCTCCCAGAAAATCCCAAGGGATTAGGAGCTCTGCATCAGGAATCAGGGTCAAAGGCCAAATGTTAGAACACAAGATTCTCCTAGCACCCCTATTGCTTAGGAAATCACAAGGGTTTTAGAGCTCTATGCTAGGAATTAGGGATGAAGACCAAAATAATATATTTATTATAAATCACAGTATCACAGACTACTTTTAAAATATAAAACAGGCGTAACAAATATGTGTCTGAAAGAATCCCTTTACATCCTTAAAGTTTTTCTTCCCTTACCCACTAAGTAAAGACTGGGGTCTTGAAGGTGGCAGTTCAATTTGAATCCCCTTTCTTAAGTCCTAAGTCCTCTAAATAAATTACTTCATATTTAGGTAGTGTTTTTAACTTCCCAAAACACTTAGACATACATGCAATGATCCAATTAGGTTGTTTAGTTTTCTCTACAAATTAACAGTCGGCACAGGACCGTTGTAGATATACACCCCTTTTATCCCATAGTCACCATCTTGAAGCTCTGGGTTAACTGCAAAGTTCTGTCAAGATTGTTCCCTGGAGAGAACGTCATACCACAGAAAAACATCCTCTGAAAATCTAGCTTTGCAGGCATTTAGTTGGGATTGCCTTTTGAACTTTGAATACATACCCATTAATTATTCTCTCTCTGAAGCAGCTTGTAACTGTAGTCTTTGTAAGGAGCAAAGGTCAGCTTGAAACTATTTTGATTTACTTGTTTATTGATCTCAACCAAGAATTCCTTTATTTGAAACTCTTCCCTTAGGAAGTCAATTTGATAACCTTAGCCCATTCATTTTGAAGGTGTCAGTTATAAGTAGTCTTGCCAATGAGTAATGGAGGAGCTAAAATTACTAATAAATTAATTAGAATGCATTTATAAACCTAGTGGAAAGCCATGTACGAAGTTGCTTTTTTATTGATTATTATACCAGTCATTAACTGCTGAGAAAATTCCCCTGTAGCAAGCAGAGAACATTGGCCAATTCGTTTGGTAATTGTAGGATTCTGTCAATAAGCTTTCAATATTTTGGAAAGTAATTACTCATTCACTCCAACCATTCACAATGTGTGGACAAAGTGGTTGGGCATTTTGGGGCAAGACTAAGGATTTAAGCAGACATTAACTTCCATATAAGATTCTCTCTTGTCGCTCAGTGCTACTTTAAGTCATGTGCGGTCTATATATATACTTATAACAAGTATTCTTAGATGTTAATATGCTGGTCTACACAGATTTGTATCAAAGTGCTTGAATATTGTGGTAGGGAAACCCTTGGAGAAAACCCTCTACCTGGGGTCTCTAACGCCAAGATGCCATATACAGCCATGTTTTATTTTCATAAGAAGCAAGTATAATTAGGAGATTATAGCCACTGCTTTTCAGTGAGTGAGAAATGTTCTGTGGCTGTTTCCCTTTCAAGAGTCAGGTGCCTGTCAGCAATGCTGGAGGAGAATAGGTAGTATCTGTAAATTATTGTTCAAAGATTCCTGGCTATCAATATCCCAAGTTAAGTAAAAGAACATTGGCCAGGTGCAGTGGCTCACACCTGTAATCCCAGCACTTTGGGAGGCTGAGGTGGGCAGATCACAAGGTCAGGAGATCGAGACCATCCTGGCTAACACGGTGAAACCCCATCTGTACTAAAAATACAAAAAATTACCTGGGCATGGTGGCACATGCCTGTAGTCCCAGCTGCTTGGGAGACTGAGGCAGGAGAATCGCTTGAACCTGGGAGGTGGAGGTTATAGTGAGCCGAGATTGCGCCACTGCACTCCAGCCTGGGCAGCAGAGTGAGACTCTGTCTCCGAAATAAATAAATAAATAAATAAATAAACAAACAAACAAACATTATGATGACATGGCATCACAGAACACTAATTTCTACACTAAGAGAGATAATAAAAGGGGTCAGATACCCAGATACCAATAATGCCACCCTCTCCACTGCAGTCTCTCCCTGATTGTATGTATAGGAGATCTGTAAATCAAGGAAAGTGCCCTGTAGTCTGTCTCCTATTATGGAATGAGTTTTGCTGGGTCCAGGAGATTTCCACCAGCTCCAGAAACTAGAGACAATTGTGCTAATAATGCCTGGCATCCTGGCTTTGTGACTGACCAGTCTTGGTCTTTTCGTGTCTTATAACTTGAATCTGAAGCACCATAAGATGGTCCTGCACGAATCAAGGGCATGGCCCTTGTTTTAAGGATTGTTATTGCCATTTTTTCCAATTAAAAAACCAAGGCCCAGAGAAGAACTAGGTTATTTTATCAAGGTTACAGAGTTAGTAATGTATGCTGGAAATTGCTAAAAGTATATATTTTAAGTGCTCTCCCACACCAAAAAGAAAAACCAAAAACTATATGAGAAGATGGATGTGTTAATTTGCTTCAGTGTAGTAATCATTTCACTGTGTTTAATTATTTCACTGTGTTATATGTATATCAAAACATGATGTTGTATGCTTTAAATACACAGTTGTCCCTCAATATATGCAGGGAATCGGTTCCAGGAATCTCAGATATACCAAACTTCGTTCATATTGCACAATTCCTGCAGTTGGCCTTGCAGAACCCATGTATGTGAAAAGTCGACCCTCTGGGGCTTTACATCTTGAGAATAAAAATCCAGCTATAAGTGGACCCTCACAGTTCAAACCCATGTTGTTCAAGACTCAAGTGTATACAATTTTTATTTTTAATAAATGTTACAGAGTTAGTTAAGGATCAAATAAAAATCGAGCGATTCTAGTCTGGCATTCTTTCCACTAAATCTTTTGGAAATACTAGACAGGATACTGATTCAATAAAAATTTCACTTTACCATATCAAGAAAAGGACAATAGGGGACAAAATAATTAATAATATTGTCTAGTCTCTCTTTACATAGAAGAGAAAGGTGATAATTAGTGGTTAAATACTAAAAATATATAATAAAAATAATGAATCAAAGCTGTATCTATGAAGCTGTGCCAGTCTGTAACTTTTAATGGTTGATGGCAACTTTTGGGGTTATTCTATTGAAATGAGAACAACAGGTAGAAATTACTATGTTCTTTACTAGAACGTAAGTCCCTTGACAACAGGGACCAAACCCTAAAATTTAAAGGTCAAGAAAGCCAAAGCAGCCTCTCCTGCCTGTAACATGTGAAAAAAAATGACAGTACTTAACTTTCCCTTCGCTTGTGCCTACCAGCCTGAAGAACTTAATTTATAGATCCTCAAGAGATATTCAAGTATGATTGTTTTCTTCTTTATTTAGTTGTCTGTTTTGATGCCAAGATAAACTTTGATGACAACGCAGAATTCCGACAAAAAGACATATTTGCTATGGACGACAAATCAGAGAATGAGCCCATTGAAAATGAAGCTGCCAAATATGATCTAAAATACATAGGACTAGATGGGAACATTGCCTGCTTTGGTAAGAAGCAGTTATATCAAAAGAATGCTTTGTGGATTCTTATAGAATTTAGGAAACCTTGATTTCTGAAATGTCACTTACCAAGAAGAAGTAAGCACATAAGTTTTTTTGTAGCTGAAAAGTCTTAGGAAAGTATCCAAGTTTCTTCTCAAAGTTGTTTTGATTAATGGTCACTGGTGTAAAGCAGAATTTCTCAACTCTGGCACTATTGGGAGTTTGGGTGGGATAATTCTTTACTGTCCTGTACATCATAAGATGTTTAGCATCCTAACCTCTAGATACTACTAACAACCCCCACTTGTGAAGACAAATAAACCCATGTAAATCAATAAATTAAAATAAATGTCTTCAGACAGTTCCAAATGGCTGTGGTATGCAAAAATCACCCCAACTGAGAAATATTGACTTAAAACATCTCAGTTAAACTTTGCTTAGTAAAAAATTAGAACCTTTGCTGCTCAACTCAGTATTAATATGCAGAACTCTTCTGAAATTTAGGTTTAAAACAAAATTCCTTTATCAGAGGAAATAGAAGAGGACATACACTTTAATCACGTTGCTAAAGTTTCAGGTTCTGTGATAACCAAAGGATGAAATGTTTAATCCATTATGCTAGTTTATTAATAAAACAATTGATTTTATCACACTCATCTAAATTTGTGAAAATGGCTTCTTCAGCTGAGATAAGAATGTCTGTAGAAGCAATACAGTTTCTATTATTGTTCACAGCTTATAGTGCTCAGATTTATATGCTTCTGACTTAATTGCACAAGACTGTGTTTCTGGTAGAATCAATTCATTGTACTGGAAACTGAGGTCTTAATCTTAATGGAATTAAAATAAAAATGATTTGTAGCTCATTAAACCAGCAATATCATTGTATTCAGAACTGAAGAGACCTCATCCAAGAGGTGGCTGTTCAATACAATAGAAAATGACATCCAATTACAAGTGATACCAAAAGCTCTTGCTTTGTATTGGAGCAATAACTATAATGTACCAGATCACTCACATCATTCTGATCCTGATAAGCTAATGCACTCTCAATATTTGTAGGCATTTAGAAAGGGGAAAGGTATATGGGTTTAAACCAAATTAAATACAGATTATTTATAGCCTCTGTAGGAATGTGCATGGTTTGACCACATAGCAGCCTCAAAATCTATGATTTACACATTTCAAATTGTTTTAAGATTCTGTGTAAACCATTTTTATTTTAGTTACTCCAAATTTAATTAGTCACAGTCATAGGCTTTTCTAGGGAATTGGAGGGTCAGAAAAATGAAAGGTACTTTACCTTGTGAGTTTCTGCTGTGTTCTGGAGTTTTTTTTTTCTCTCTCAAGGAAAGTAATTTTATATAATTAAGCTTAAGAAGCAAAATAAGTGCAATTGATCAATAAAACTTAGCTCTGGAAAACAAGACTTTTGATATTAAAACTCTCTACCTACTTTCTTAAGAAAGGCTCCTAAGATGTTGGCACATTTTGGTTCCAGTTTTAACGGTTGGGTTGCTGGTGAGCATTGCTTATATTAATTTGAAAGAGGAACAAGGGGATAAGAATATTGTTTTTGTGCAGTCATTTGTTCATTTGTTTCTAAGTTTATCCAGGTAACATTATGTAAACATGTATGACTGTACTAAGTGTAAAAAAGTATAAAATCCCACTGAAGTTGGGAAGCCTGTGGTTCAATCCCACAGATGCCACATTCAAAGGACCATATTCTCAGCAAACAAAACATTGAGAATTCCATTCTTTACTCCTGTCTCTTAAAGTATATTAAAAAGAATGTAATTCATAGGTCCTAGCAACTTCCAATAGCTTGTTTCTCTGCCTCCTGATTCTCTTAAGCTTACACTTTGCAGAACCTAAAACTTCCTTTTTTACTACTGGCCCAAATCGGTTACTTACTTAAACCTTTCCTTCTTTCTGTTTTTCAGATTGATTTAACTTCCCAATACATCCTGTTCCTCATTCCTAAGTCTTTTTTGTTTCATTGTTTGCATATACATGTCCTGATTCTTTATCCTAAAAGTCTATGAACTAATCTGGTTTAATGGAATTCCAAACAGGATATAAATTGGCCTGGCAATGACAGAGTTCTCTCTTGGCAATATGGGGGAGGGAAAATGTTTATGGACCATTTCATGTTGCTAAATGTAGCCTGTCTTGTGTCCCATTTGCATTTCACAGTGAATGGTGCTGGGCTCGCCATGGCTACTTGTGATATCATTTTCCTTAATGGTGGGAAGCCAGCCAACTTCTTGGATCTTGGAGGTGGTGTAAAGGAAGCTCAAGTATATCAAGCATTCAAATTGCTCACAGCTGATCCTAAGGTAACCTTTCTCTTTGTAGGGAGATTATATGCCAGTTTTAATTTCTCACCGTCAAGAGCTCACTTGTTCTTCCTGGTGAGAGTTGATAAGTCAATATGTGTACTCTGCAGCCCCAGATGCAACTTCTATCTTTTTTTTTTTTTTTTGAGACGGAGTCTTACTCCGTTGCCCAGGCTGGAGTACAGTGGCGCGATCTTGGCTCACTGCAACCTCCGTCTCCTGGGTTCAAGCGATTCTTCTTCCTCAGCCTCTTGAGTAGCTGGGATTACAGTCACACGCCACAACGCCCAGCTAACTTTTGTATTTTTAATAGAGACAGGGTTTCTCATGTTGGCCAGGCTGGTCTCAAACTCCCTACCTCGTGGTCTGCCCGCCTAGGCCTCCAAAAGTGCTGAAATTACAGGCATGAGCCACCGCGCCCAGCCCACAACTTCTGTCTTATATCACATTGGAATACGTGATGATTTAACTCGTTTTGGGTAAAAGGCTTGGGATCTTATTTCAGAGGTTGTGTGTACAGTCCTGAGAGGTGGAAGGAAATAAAAAAGATACAGTGTGCCAGTCGAAACATTGGTTGGCATGAACTTTATTTGGGTAATTTACACAGAAGTGACTGGTCCTATGCTTACATGATTTAGAGGGAAGAGTACTATGATTCCTTCCATAAAGATGCTGAAGGTATTACCATATATTGGAAAATTTTAGGGTTATGGGATCAAAAATCACTGGGAAATAATGGCCCCACCTTCTTTTGTATGCTTTCTAATTTTTATCTCTGACCATTAGTTTGTAACATATGTACTAAGTAGCAAATAACTGTACCTGGTTTCATAGTTACTATTGCTGCTTCATGTGCATCTTTTTAACTTGAGGGTAGCTAACTAGAATGTAGCTACCACACCCATGCTAGGGGCAGTGTGGGCATTCAATTAATATTTAATCAGCTAGTTTAGTAAGGAAGTTAAATATCAGTATGCTTTGTTTCACCTGTAGATACTCAGTTGACTATAACATGGTTTAGGTAGATGCTTGTTATGTAGAAAGACCAAAATATTTTGAAAGTCTAATGTACACGGTTTTCATTCATTCTTTTAACAGGCCTGTGAAGTACGTATATGCCACAACAATTTGATATAAAACTTTTTCTTTAATTTTTTGATTATTTTTTTTTAGAGACAGGGTCTCGTTCTGTCACCCAGACCGGAGTGCTGTGGTGTTATCATAGTTCACTGTAGCCTCAATCTCCTGGGCCCAAGGTATCCTCCTCGCACAGCCTCTTGAGTAGCTAGGACTACAGGTGCATGCCACCATGCCTGGCCAATTTTTTTTTATTTTTTGTCTTGCTGTGTTGCTCAGGCTGGTCTCAAACTCGTGACCTCAAGTGATCCTCCTACCTCAGGCCCTCAGATCTTGGAGATTACAGGCGTGAGCCATCACAATTGGCCTAAACTTTTATTTGAGAATCATTGTCTCAATATTGTTAGAGTATCTAATATATTGAGTTGGTTACTAAAATATCTGAAGATGTGGGAAATCTGAATTGTTACTAAGAGAATGATAAATGAAAATAATACCAGATTTTTTAAAAAAGAAATGTGGTCTGAACTAAATATGGAAGCTTCCCATTAATAAATATACTGGCAATAGCCTGTTTTGTTTTGCATGCATAAAATTTTGTCTTATATTGGTAGTACACTTGTCTGTTTTCCTCATGACTTACATAGTTGGTGGCCTTATGTTTTTGCTTGTCTTTTCTTCTGACTCACAAAACAGACGGCAAGGTATTATTAGCACTTATCTTCAGTTCTCCAGTGCCGTTCAGGAATAGCCAAGTTATTGAAGTTCAAAGGCAGCCAGCCATAAGGAAGGTATTCGCAAAAAGAACAATGTTTCCACTTACATAAGCACTTTGTTTTCATTGGTTAGGTAGAAACACCTATCAGTGGCTCTCTAATCATGTATTAATTCACTTATTCTTTCTTCCTACTGCTTTCTAAGGGAAGAATCATTTTCCTCCCAGAGATTCCCAAACCAATTGAAATCTGTAAATACCGAGACACACAGCTCCTTAAGCTGCTTGAACCACACAGTACCCAGAGGACAGACGATTGTAATAAAATACTGAACTTTTAGCGTCTACTGAAACTCTGTGCAAAGGATAATAGAGAGCCACTGAGAGATGAAATCTACCAGGACAATCATTGGATTTCGTTGAAATAGCTTTTCTTAGTGGCTCACCTCAAATTTTAATTTTGTAAAACCTGTAGGATGGGGAGGGATAGTGGAAAAATTACTGTCAGAGCCATTTTTCTTTTAAAAAAACCACTCTCTTCCAAAATTTTGACTTTATGGAACATTTTCAAATGCTTGGATTATTTCAACTTTTTTTGAGATTAACTGTCATCTTGGGTAGATAAAGGTATGTGGGAGTTATTTTATTTTTCTCATGCTATATCAGGAAAATGAATGCACAGCTCATCTCACAGTACTTTTTCCAAATCTTGAAATTTCAAAACCAGTTAAAAAACATAGAAATGTAATGAGTATTTTCAATCCTGGCTTCGTTTCACAAAATTTAGAGAACAGAACCTAAAAAATAGTATAGATGAGTTGATGTGATTTTGCAAGCAAACTGGCTGTAGTTTTGGCAGTAATTATTTCGTGTCCACCTGCCCAAAAGTAGAGGTTCCTGAGAGCCCAAAGCTAATTATTTCAAAGGTGTCAATTGTCTTGTTAGATGTAAGGATTAGTTAGTTGAATACACAGAAAGTCAAAATTACAGAACACCAGTTTTTGTTAAACTTTTATCAACTGATATTTACAACTGCTTATTTGCAGTGTGTCTAAGATAATTCTGTTTAGTAAACACGTCATTCAATAAAATTATTACAGGTTGACATATATTTCCACTCATGATGTCAGTCATAGAGCTGAAAATTTTAGTTATTTTGCTTGACTGTTAACCCAAATGCTGATTTTCACTTGGACCTAACACAAGTATCTCTACAACTAATACGTTTCTTATTATTTTATCATATATATGAAATGAAGTTCCTCTACCAAGCTGAATAAAACAAGAGTCTTTTTCAAGATAAACTCACTTACTGAACTGAATTCATATAAAGTATATCATTAAATATTTTATAATTCTCTTATTTTCCAGCTGAGCTTGAGATGAGAGAAAAGTAATAGAGTTTGTTCTGCTGGTGGTCTTCATCATTTTGATTTAAAGAATTCTAAGCATTAGTATTCTTTAAATCATAAAGAGCAAAAATGTATAAAATAGGAAATAGAAGTAGGGTTTTGTGGTTTTCTGTTAAGAATTTAAAGACATTTAAAAGAAAAGCACTATATAGAATGTTAACCTTGGGTTTTTGTTTTCCAAATTATACTCTGGTTTGTATTTTAATTCTGAACTTAGAATTCCAAAGGTGTAGCAAATGTAACATCTGGAATATGTTGTGTTCACTTACACAAAACACCTAGTGTTCACTTACACGAAACATCTTGTGAAGTGAATACAAGGAAAGGACACTTGGCACGAATCTCTCCATGACCCCAACTCTGTTGGCCAAAGATAAGCAAATCTTTTGCTCTCTGGAGGCCTAGTTTTGAAAAGCAAAAGTACACGATTGGCATTAGTAAAGGCACCTCATTGGATTTGATTGTACTTCCTGGTTTAGATCCAACTTTGAATCATATTTTCTAAGCCCTTGAAATATCTAGGAAGAAATGTGCTACCTAAGCACCAAAGACAAGTTGAAGAATGGAAGGGACTCTTAGTGGGATTCTTATGCCAGACTGCCTGGGTTCCAGTCTTGTCTTTACCAGTTACTGGTTGTGGGACCTTGGGCATGCTATTTAACTTCTGTGTGCCTTGGTATCCTCGTTTATAAAGTGGTAATAATAGCAGTACTTACCTCAGAGGGTTGTTTTATTACACATATTGAGACACACACGCACACTTTTCATTTAGAGGGAAAATAATTTCATATGACAGTATCATTTAAAAAATTTAATAAACTTATTAAAGTATAATCTCCATACAGAACAGTATACAAATTTTAAGTATACAGCTTGATGAATTATTACAAAGTGAACATATCATCTAACCTCCAGCCAGATCAAGAAATAGAACATGGCTGGATGCGGTGGCTCATGCCTGTAATCTCAGCACTTTGGGAGGCCGAAGTGGGCAGAAGGTCGGGATTTCAAGAGCAGCCTGGCCAAAATGGTAAAACCCCGTCTCTACTTAAAATGCAAAAATTAGCCAGGCGTGGTTGCAGGCACCTATAATTCCAGCTACTTGGGAGGCTGAGGCAGGAGAATTGCTTGAACGCAGGAGGCGGAGGTTGCAGTGAGCCGAGATTGTGCCATTGCACTCCAGCCTGGGAGACAAGAGCGAGACTTCGTCTGGAAAAAAAAAAAAAAAAAAAGTAAAAGAAAAAGAAATAAAACATAACAGGGATCCTGGAAGCCTCCTCCTCATGCAGTCCCCATCATTTTCCTACCCTGCTTTCTCTCCACAGGTAATTTCTTTTCTTTTCTCTCTTTTTTTTTTTTTTTTCTTCTGACTTAGCCTCCTGAGTAGCTGGGACTAAAGGCGTCTGCCACCATGCCCGGCTAATTTTTGTATTTTTAGTAGAGATGGGTTTACCTTGTTGCGCAGGCTGGTCTCAAACTCCTGATCTCAAGGGGTCCTCCCGCCTGGGCCTCCCAAAGTGCTTGGGTTACAGGCAGTAGCCACTGTGTTCGGCCCTCAAAGGTAATTTCTAATATCACAGATTTGTTTTACCTATTTTTAAACTTAATATCACTGGAATCATGTACTGTATACTCTTTTGCATTTGTTATCTTTTACTTTACTTTTGCTACTGGTTAGTCTTTTCAATTTTAGTCATTCAGGTAAGTATGAGGCATTATCTCATTATGGCCTTTCTGTCATGACTAATGAGGTTGAGCACCTTTTCATGTATTTATTAGCCATTTGAATATACTCTGTAAACTTGTATTACCTCATCTATAGACATGAAAATAATACCTTAAAGCATTGTTTTAAGTACCAACTTGCAAACCTTTCTAAAGCATAGTGAAAACTTTGGCTTTTTATATTTTCTGAGTGTTTCATTCCATTATCACTTCCAAAACTTAGATTTAGAATAAATGCACATCTCAGAAATGGGAGGTGTCTGATACAGGTTCAGTGATAATCAGTGTTACTTCATGTGTTGTTTTGAAATTGATGGAAGGTGTAAGTGACTCAGCTTACAATGATTCTCTACTCAGACAACCAAGGAAACAGTTAATAAAGGGAGGATTAAATTCATGTTTGAAAGAAGAACAAAATATAATTTGTTATAAATTTGAGAAGAGGCCAGCTCTTTTTGTGCTCTATGGTATATGTTTCAGAAACTTTAGAATGTGAAGCCAGAGAAGTAAAACTGCATGCCATATTTTCAGAATCAGGTATATGCAAATGCCTTACGTTTTAATATATTTTAGGATTCACTTGTGCTGTCTCATATTTTTAAATTATTGCACATTTAGAGTTTATTTAAGTACAAAGAAGAATATCCTGTTTTCTTTCAGATACATGCGTATAACTGAGGCACAGAGCTGTTTAAACTTAAACTGAGGTGCCGTAAAATTGTCAGGAGTTGATTTGAATAACCAGTGATTCACGGATTGAGCAGCTCCAAACCAAAAGTGCTTCCAGGGCTCCATCAAAAGAATGTGAAGGGAAGACTTTTATAGGGCAAACACGAAAGTAAAGCAAAGAAAATACTGGATTGGTTACAGTTATACTGTTGCCTTATTTGGTCTATCCTCCTGGAAAGTTCTAGTTATGTAACCATAAGTTAGATAACTAGAACTTTCTGCTTCCAATTGGTTAGCCTTAAGTTTCATTTTTCTGTAACATAGGCATTTACAAGAAATAGCTCAAGTTTTGTTTATGTCTGCAAATCAAGCAGAGTTAAGATCACTTATGAGGCCTAACTGGCTTTGTCTGCTCAGAGATTCTTCAGGTCTGGTGTCCATTTTAATTTATTGTAACAAAGCAAAACCCATTTCATTACACACCACATGTGTTTGCTGAAATACCTTATCTGCAAGCGACTGTTTTCTTTGTAGGGAAGTAGAACTCTTGTAGGAATTTATTTTCGAATATAGTGCTCAATACTTTATACAACACAAGCATTATTTTTGAAATGACTACCCTGCATTTCTATTCTTGCAGGTTTGCTTGAAAATATGTATTTTTTTCATATAGAGTGGAAAAGATTAAAATTCCAGGCAGCCATTCTTTCTAGTGGTAGTCGACCTGATAGTCTAGTCTGTGGAGAATGATTAATTTTGTGTTGATCAGCTGGTCATTTAGTCTCCACTTCCACTTAGAATAGCTCTTTATTTAGGGAAGTCACTCTGCATAAGCTAGAGGATGGAAAACCATCTACCACTCTGGGCCCTTTTCTTTTTTCCCCCGGCAGTAGTTTTCCCAGTGTGAGGAATTCATAAATGTTGATTTTTGCATATCTTTTCCTGATGTCTAGTTAATTAAAATTTCCAAGAATATCTGGCCCTCCTTGCCCACCTCACATTTGTTCCATTTTACCTGCCAATACTTCTCAGTAATAAGTGGGTCCTGGTGACTGCATTTGGTTTTGTGTCTTCCACATGATCGGTGTATCTGCTAGCTACCACATTTTCAAACCATCCCTAATAGAACACTCAAAATCTATTTACATGCTCCTCACTGACATACCCTCAGAAACAAGCCAAAAATAAGATTTTTACTCTTTACTCTGTCTTCAAAATCCAGGTTTTAATGCAACCTACTTTGTTTTATGGTAAGTGACTTGAATAATTTAACAGATTTGGGGCTTAGTAAATTTTGTCGTTAGTCCCAGCAAGCTCCGGAATTGATTACGAGTCCTCTGTGTAGATGCCTTTGTAGAGTGTTAAAGAGAAATGGACCATGAATCAAAGTATAATGCCATATAGTTTGGAAAAATATATAATTATTAGAAGAGTTAGGGTTGTTGTTTTCCTTAATGTTATTGCATAGAGAAAATGAAGCATTGAATGCAACAATTAGAAAACAGTGCATTTCTCAGCAAGACAATCAATAATGGTCGGGAATAATGTCAAGAATCTCTGCATCTTAAGAATAATCTTATGTGGCAGGGCATCTGAAAGTTGTACTATTAGTATTTTTGAGATGTTACTTTAAAATTCAGATAAAGCCTGGTAAAGGCATCATTAGATGTGGGTAGTGAACTTAGGAAAATCATTCAGAAGAACAAGGCTGAAATCCTTTGGACTGATTCCTTTCCTGTATAGCAGAGGTGAGATGTAGTCTGGTGGGATGTGCCCCATGGATTCAGGAGATTGCAGATACTGTGAATCCTTTTTTTCCTCTTTCCATGCTGCCCCACCCACTGTCAGAGAATTAGGAATTAGGAAAGATGGTCTCATTCCTAAACGAGCAACATGTCCATATGGGCTTGCCTAAGAAATTGGCTCGACTTAGTAGTTTGCTAAATAGTCTTTTGTCCTTATTTTAGGTTATTTTATAAATAGTAGTCCCTTTTCCTAATTATTAAAATAAGGACAAACAAAAGAGAAAATTATAAAATAGATTACACAGATATATTTATATATACCTTTTTAAAAAATATATATATATACACACACTAGTTTTGACAAAACTAGACTTATATCATATAATTGACAATATTATATAGTCTGCTTTCTTTCTTTTTTTTATGTGTTTTGCCTGTCCTAGTACAGTTCTCTATAACATTTTCAGTGGCGGAATGGTATTTACTTGTATGGATATACAAGTTTACTTAACCTAGTGCTCTGTTATTTGATATTCAGGGTGTTACAAATTTAAAATAATGCCATGAACCTCCTTGTTCTCATAACTTTACATAAAGCTGGGATTATTCATATAAGATAAATTCCTAGAAGTGTAAGGGTCAAAATGTATGCACATTTTAAGGTTTTCACATGCATTGCTGAATTACCTCAGTAATAGTTGAAGGACTTGTAGAGGGCTAACATCAGTGAGTTGACTGCCCATTTATTTTCCCATGTCTTGGCTATCATTGCTGTAATTCTTTACCAACAGGAGAGGTAGCATTTTTAAATTCTTTTTCTTCTATTCAGCATTTGTAATGCCTCTTTATGACTTGCCTTTTCTTTTTTTTTGTCTAGTTTTCCATTATTACATAATTCTCACAGTGATTTAGAACACAGGACTCTGTGTGTGTGTTTGTGTGTGTGTGTGTGTGTATATGTGTGTTTGAGATCAAGGGAATGGGCAGTTTTATTTATGTCATCAGTCATGTTTTCCCACATCTTGACTCTTGTCTTTAAATTTGTTTATATAAATTTTGATGTCTCACTATAATAAAGTATGTACACTTGAAATACTATTGTGTAGAGTATATTGAGATCACCTCATGCATGTTAGTGTCTTTTACTATGATTTACTTAGTTTCCCATGAAACTTGTTTTTAGAGTTTTAAAATTTGTGATTTCATGAATCAACATACCATGGTACAATTTCAAGTCAAAAATGGTATTCCCCCCACCCCTCCCACAAAGGAAACAGTTCTCCTGGTCTGTTTAAAGCAAGATGAATATTAGGATCAGAAGTGGCATGTTCCTCTAGTTATTAATAAGATTCTTTTTATTTCCAAGGAATGCTTTTAGAGTGTTGGAGGAATTTCACTGTAATCTAATCTACATTGTTTTCTCTTAGTATTCTTGGTATAGTTGATCATTATTTGCTTGTTCTGTATTTGGAAATTCGCCTGTGTGCTAAAATTAATTTGTACTCCAAAAGTCATTTGTAATTCCACAGCACTTTCAAGGTCATTCAAGGCAATGTGCAGAGTGGTGAAAAATTTTAGTCACCCAATGCACATGTTCCCAAATGAGATCAAAAAGGCAATCCTCTGCCTTCTTGTTTCAGCTTTCATACTGTAAAACGTGTCCTTTTGCAGTCTATTTATGGCCATGTTTTTTGCATTTTTGTCCTTTTTTGTGTGTATGATTTCACTGTTGGCCCCCAAGCATAGTATTGAATGCTTTCTAGCATTCCTAAGTGTCAGAAGCCTGGGATGTACCCTACAGAGAGCATACAGGTGCTAGATAAGCTTCATTCGGCATGAGTTAATAATGCTGTTGGCCATGAGAAGCAACAATATATATTAAATAAGGTGTCTTTAAACAGAAGCATACTTAAAACAAAGTTAGGAATTGATCTGCTGATGAAAATATTGTGACTAGAGGCTCATAAAAATGTAACTGTGTTTTTCCGCTAAGAACAATGGTTGAGTATTTGCTAATTCAGTGGTTTTAGTGACTGTATAGACCATAACTACTGTGGATAATGAGAATTGCCTGGGTAGTGTTTTGGATAATTATGAGCAGCTTTTCATAGATTATATGATAGAGACACCTTTTCTTTCTCTTTCTTTCCTTCTTCTTTCTTTTTCTTTCTTCTTTCTTGACTGTCTTTTCTCACAGGGTCTCATTCTGTCACCCAGGCTGGAGTGTAGTGGTGTGATCACAGCTCACTGCAGCCTCGGCCTCCTGGGCTCAAGAGATCCTCCCACCTCAGCCTCCTGAGTTGCTAGGACTACAGGTGCATGACACTGCACCTGGCTAATTGAATTTTGTTTTGTAGAGACAGGGTTTGTTGCCCTGCCTGGTCTCAAACTCCTGGGCTCAAGCGATCTGCCTCTTAGCCTCCCAAAGTGCTGGGATTACAGACATGAGCCACAACGCCAAGCTGAGACACTTTTAAAGAAAGGACAATCAGAAACCCCCAGTCTAAATGTAAAGTAAAAAACTTTTCTTATCATAGTTTACTTGTTCCCCTAAAGGAAGGATTTGATTATGAGAACCTTTAGAATATGCCAGTAATGGCTTTTTAGACATACTGCCTTTATAGCTATGGAATGATTAAAGTTTGAGGAAATTTTAGTTTTTCAACGTTTCAGTTAAGAATGCTTTCCTTACAAATTTAGGTTATTTTCACTTTATGTTTTTGGAAGTTTTTAAATATTAAATAATGATCGCTGTTTCACCTTTACGAATTTACATTTCCTACTAAAAGTGTGATATTTTAAAAAATTTCCTAATTGTATTCCTGTAATACAACCACTATTATCATTTTAAAAAATTTTCTTCCAGCATTATGTGTCATTGCCTGATGAACATCTTCTCATGTTGTTAGTCTTCTTGATCATCATTTTCCTAGCAGTATAATGGACCTTTTAATTTTAGATATTTATTTAAAGAAGCCTAACATATAAAATATCTTTCAAAAAGCATGTGGAACTTTGTAAACCAGATTTGCTTAAAGCAGGGAATTATACAGTCAGAAATCAAATATAATAGTAACAAGTATGAAGAGCTTTGTTTCACAGTAAGCCATAAGACTTAGGAAAGAAAAAGAAAAGCTTTGGGGGTACATAACAGTTTTATAACAATAAAAAAGGAAAATTAACATAATTCAGGACCAAGCTACATATTTTTTATGTATTTTATACAATTACTACCTCTGTGGACTTCTAATTTGAGTTAGTTTTAATTATCTCAGAATTAACGGCAAGTCATTTATTAATATTTGACACAGTCCCTCTAAGTTGCTGGGATGCTAAACTACCTAAGAATTCCAGAGGTGGCTGAATGCACCTTCCGAGTTTTTCAGTTTAATATCTTCCTGTTCAATGTCTTCCTGGTATATTCAGGTCAGTGAGGTTAGGAGGCGTCAAGAATGAGACTTGGTACTGGTCAGAAAATGAACTCACCTTTATTTTTCCATTCTCTTTCTTGCTAGAATCCTCAAATGATTTATTTTACCAAAAACCTCTTAAGATTCCACTGATTTCTCTGTGCATTCCCACCAAACTTTCTGTCTTTGTAAAGGAGCAACATACTCCAGGTGAACTTCTAAATTAAGCGTCTTTTTAATCTTTATAACCATCATCAGATGTATCCTTGGGGATAATTTGTGCCTATCTCCTTTTTCTTTTTCATGTGATATTTACAATTTACAGTCCTCACCGCTGAATAATCTCTTTATTTATTCACTTCTTTTTAAAAATTCTGTAAAATTGCTCAGAAATATTATAGTTTGTTTGCCCCCTTCCCCATCCCCACATTTCTTGTTGCTTTTTGCTCCATATTCTTTAAAAATACCCAAGGTATAGAGCTTTCCTGAATTTTCTCCCCATTCAAGGTTTTTGTTTTATGCAACTATTGTATACTTCATTATCTGTAGCCCCTGTAATGGTACATAGAACATGGTAGATGCCCCAAAAATATCTTTTTAGAACAAACTCATATTGTCAGCCTATTTTTTTATTTCCATATAAGTCATCTAGCTGAATATTCTCAGCCAGGAAGAAAAGCGTAATAAGTCAATGAGTTGCCCTTCTGAAACGATTCAGTTTCCAGGCTAGATGCCAATGCCATGTGTCTGGCAAGACTGTAATACAATGGGGCAGTCTGGTGGGGGCCATACTCTAGGACTAGACTTGTTCACCAGAGTCAGGCAAGCATTGGAAGGAAGGACTCTTTGCAGAGAGTGGGATGAGGTTCCATCCAGCAGCCAGAGGCAATGCGTACAGGAAATGGTTGGTTGTACAGGAAGGATTGTGGCAGTAGGGAGGGGCCTTACCTGAAAGCAGCATGTTAGAAGATAGCCAGAGCACACACAGAGGGAGGCAATTCCCAAACAACATATAGGTAATTCTTTTAACAAATAGCCAGTACCACCAATCCCACACTAGTGCAAGGGCCAAACTCCATTCATGGCAAGCCTCCTGTAAGCCAAAGCTTGGTTCTAGGGAGACTCAAGTACCAGGCAGATAACTAAGCCAGGAACTCAGCCATAGGTACAAGTCAGGGTGTCAACCATGAGCTCAAGATTCATTCCACAGCAAGAATGACTTGAGTAGGTAGGGGGGTGTTCTCCAGCATGTCAGGGGGCAGCTCTGCAAAGACCCCTTTGTGAAATCAGTTACTAGTTCCTCAGACCACAGAATGACTAAACTGGATTAAAAGCCATTTAGAAACATCAGCCAAACAAGAATATATTAAGTGTCATCCCTGCCAGGCATTCTTATAGGCACTGAGGATAAAGCAGTGAGTGAAATACATCTCGTCTTGTTCACTGGAGGTGCCATTTTAAAGAGGATAGAAAATCGTTTACACTGGTGAGTAACTAGTAAAAGAAAATTATGCAATATATCTGCTGGTGCTGTCTGCTAGTTTGAAATATAAAAATGAAAGGGGGCTTGAAAATGCCAGGTGTTTGTTATTTCTGATAGATTTGTCCAAGCAGACCTCTCTGATAGTTGACCTTAGAGAAAGAAATGTCATCGCCGTTCCATGATTTGGAGTTGGAGTTTGTGGGTAATGACATGAATGCTATCAATGAAAGAATCTGCCCCTCGGAGTTGTCCTCCTTTCTCTTGTCTTGACCTACCAAAGTGTTCTGAGCAATGTTGCTTGCTTTATTACAGATTTTTTTTTTTTAAGTTTTGTCCACTTAAATAGTTTACGCAGCAACTTTACCCTAATTTGGGTGGCAACTCTCTCGCAATTAGAGGTCCTTTCTGAATATCAATGGATATTTCATCTGCATACCCAGGAACCTCTCCTGAGAATGCTTCATTTCCACCTTTGAGGTCTTCTGAAATGGAGCACTGCAAACACACATATTAGCATTCCCAAGGGCCATCTGGTACAAATCCGAGTTAATTATTTTTCTTCCAGCTTATCTGTGGGTTTTTTCATTAATTGTTATCTCTAAGTATTCTGGACACATCCTTTTTTCTCAATTAGAACTCAATAGAAAGTTTTTGAGCAAACGTTTAGGTGTCTGCTCTAATACTGAAAGGCCTGAAGATCGTAAACAGCAAGCAGAAAATCCATTTGGAGCTTTAACCCTTGACCTTCTAGGTTTCACTTGCTCGTTAATCCCAAGTAGCACATTTCTCTGAGAGGGAGACAAAAGTGACTTAGAATCTTCCGTGTGTCATTATGATCCAAGAGTCTTGGCATTTGGGTAGCAGGTGTGAGAGAAAACACCAAAATCACCTCATATTTAGATGATTTCTGATATTTTCTGTGTTTTATAACCTGTGATCAGTAGTTGCATTTCATGAGTGGAGCCTTCTTCTCCATTAAGCTGAACGACCAAATAGTTAATCCAAATGCTGACAGTGCTGACCAAATTCCAAAGAATAGATATTTGGTATTCAAATAAGAAGGGTGAATGAAGCTAAAGTAAAAAAATACAAAAGTATAGAAACATGAAGAGAACTTATACTGAAAGAACAAATTCTTTGATTCAGTTTTTCTATACAGGTACTTCCTTAAAGGCACTGCCAATTGAAAGTTGCACCAATTTATCCTACAGTGTGAAATACCTTAAATAAGGTATAGGACGGAAAGTGAAGCCCCATCAGCATACTATATTTCTCTTCTAGTGGTTACAGCTTGGTATTTCTGCATCCAGCCTGCAATCAACAATTCTTTCTTCCTTCCCTCCCTCCCTCTCTTCCTTCCTTCCTTCCTTCCTTCCTTCTTATTGAGATAGTCTCACTCTGTCACTCAGGCTGGAGTGCAGTGGCATGATCTTGGCTCACTGCAACCTCCACCTCCCAGGTTCGAGGGATTCTCCTGCCTCAGCCTTCTGAGTAGCTGGGACTACAGGAGAGTGCCACCATGCCCAGCTAATTTTTGTATTTTTTAGTAGACACAGGGCTTCGCCTTGTTGGCCAGGCTGGTCTCAAACTCCTGACCTCAGGTGGTCCGCCCGCCTCGGCCTCACAAAGTGCTGGGATTACAGGCGTGAGCCACCACGCCCTGCCAACAATTATTTCTTGAGCACCTACTATGTGTCAAGTTAGGAGCTAATCGAGAAAGTAGGAAACCATCCGATATTTGATGCTATTGGTTCCAATGGGGCTTTCCTTATCAATTTTTTTCTGATTGTAATAATCTCTTTAAAGCAGAGAAAGGTAGGTACCTGAATGACAGATGTAGTCTTTTCTGCAGTCTTTTTAAGGCTCAATAAAAACCCAGTATAGAGCAATATTATACTTAAGGTCACATACCAGTCTCTAGGTTTACTGAGATTTGTCTGTGAAGGCTTACTAATCAGAATGTCAGCCATGGACTGTCAGTGTTGACAACAATTTTTAAGCTGTTAGAAATGCACAGTCTGTGTTTTCATGGGATCTCCAGGTGATTGCTGTGCACGTTAGAGTTTGAAAAGCCCTGGTCTAAAGTAGGGACAGACAAACTACAGTCCATGGCCAAGTCCTGGCCAATGCCTGTTTTTGTAAATAAAGTTGTACCGGAATACAGCTGTGCTCATTCACTTTCTTAAGGAGTTAAGAAGTTGTGACCAAGAAGTCCTGGTCCACGTGGTCTAGAGCAGTAATGCTCGAAAGTGTGTGGTTGGACCCATGCCAGTTTATGTACCAGTGCCTGTTTGTGAGCTGTTTTAGGTTTGTGATAAGTACAGATACTGAGAATAAGCATTTAGAAACTTGTATTGCTAATTACCCTTGCCATGACATGCAAGAGGAATATCAATTTTTTAGTAATTTGCATTATTACATTTTATAATAATACAAGTCAATGAGTTAGGGAATTATTTTTAAAAATTCATTCATCATCACAGATTATGTAAGAAGCAGCACTCTATGAGTGTAGATGATATGTTTGTAAAAAAAACAGTGTCATAAGTGAATGTGATTGTACATCTTGATGCCAAAGTGAACTTCCTTATGGGCTGCGGTAATCACATTGTCCTATTCTTTGCTCACCCTGCTTTTCCATGAATCTTCCTCTTGTCTCTTTGGGGATACTTCCTTGACCTTGGTGATGCTGTAAAATGTGATGCCTTCTTTCTCTCTGTATGTCTTCACTTGGATCCTGTCTTCCCTAGCTACTGCTCACAGAGTAAGCTTTCGCCCAGGCCAGGCCAATTGCTTTACTGCATCCCTGCCATTGTAGGTTACTTTCAGGGATGGTCTCTGGCCACAAGTCCCTCAAGCTAGTTAGAACCTTCCCCAGGGGTTTTCTGTGGAAGCTCATGAAAGAGGCCACCTACCTCTGGGATCATGAAAGAAAATAATGTGGCCCAGGAGGCTACATTCCCTAGTAGCTGGTGAAAGCCTGTGTAAGCTCCAGGAGCAAAGCTCCTGCCATGCTATGATGGAGGCTCCTGCCATCATAGGGCTTAGTTCCTCTAGCCTAGGTTTCCATGACTCCATGGTTTTCAAAAGTGTGGTTGGACTAGCAGCATCAGCATCATCTGGTAATCTGTGAGAAATGCAGATTCTTGGGCTCCACCCCAGACCTTCAGAGTCAGAAACTCTGGGATGAGGCCCCGGAATCTGAGTTTTAACAAGCCTTCTAGATGATTCTCGTGTTTGCTTGCATTTGAGAATGTCTACTACAGCTCTATAGCTCCTCCTTATTTCTGTGAGTTACTTTAGCATCCTTCCCAGGTGTAAGCCAACTGGTTCCCTTTAACCCCTTAAATTAGAGTTGATTTTCGGTCACTGACAACACAGAAAGTCCTGTTTCACATACCATGAGTACTATTCTTAACCAAACCGAGAATATGCCTCAGCACACTCTTGCGTCCTATGGTGGCCCAGAGCTCACCTCTGTTAACACTTATTTTTATTTCCTTCCCCATACGCTTTATAACCCCTTATATTTGAAGATTTTTATTCTCTTCTATTTCTGTTTCAAAATCTGTCCCTGAAATGCAGAGGACTGTATCCATTCTAAAGTGACTTTGTTACCCAGATGAGAATTAAGGATAATCTTCCAGATAATAGGTAGAGTTCATCAATGTGGTTTGTAAATGCATTTTTCTAAAGATCAACTCCCTCATGGAGGACTTTTATTTTCCTTCTCTCCAAAAGTAGACTACATCAAGTTGTGTAATTTTTAAGTGACTTTCTATAAACTTTATGAAATTACCTCATCTTGAGCTCAGTCATCGAGGTAGATCTAATTCATTTTTGTCCCCGTTAAGTTACCATCAACTGCTTCTTTTCACAAGAGATTTCTTTCCTATTACTGCTCTTCGTGCATTTAATCACTCTTAGCGCTTTCTTTCCGCCTCTTGATTTATAAGTGTTTTGCTGTGATTCAGTCTCCTGTCTATTCTTGCTACAGAGTACAACCTTCATTTGTTATCTGTGTTCCTTGTGCTGTCTGGGGAAAAGGACAGTGGTCAGATCTTTCAGTATTTGACAAACATCGTGATAATAGAGTGTTTCAAGATGGAGATGTTGAATCAACTTTGATGTTTGGTCAAGAAAATTGATTCATAATGATATGTGACATAAGGTCTTTGCTGAGTTTTTCCTCGGTATGTATGAGGAATGAAAAAACCACTGCTTTTTTTAAAAATAGAATTTAATGTTTTCTTTTGTTGTTTTTTTTTTTTACTTTGATGGCTCTTTGTACAAGCTCCTTTTACAGATTACTCTGTGGTCAGAGAATCAGCATGTGACTTTTTCTAGATATTGGATAAATAGTCTTTATGTCAACTACCATTTGGGAATTGAGATTTGAATGCTTTTCTTTTATTTCATACGTTCACTATCAAGATGAGACTTCATTGCTGTTTCTTCCACCTCTGAGGTTATATCATGTTATTGGATGTTCATGTCTGTCTTAGAGAGTGGGCCAGAGAAGACATGACTTGAGCTACTTTTAATTCCCATTTGTAGATCCTGGGCATCTCTAGCTCTGTGTAGCCACTGCACAGTGGTGTTACACCCTATATGAGGGTGAAGGTCTAAAGACAGTTCTTAAGGCACAACATATTTACTATCATCATTAACTTTGAAAATTCTTTAAGTGACCCATACATTTTAGTGCCTTTAAGCACAAGAGTCCCAGTAGTATGGTGAGACGCTGACCCGATGAGGGTATGTAGAGCTCATTCTCTTCCTTCTGTCTCAGGAACTCGTGTACTTTGAATGGAATAGCAGTTGCAACCTCCCACTAGATTTTATTCGTTAATTTTGGTTCTTTCCCACTCACTTACTTGTTCTGTCTCTGTGCCTGAATAGTTGGATTTACATAAATTAAATGTGTATGTGATGCAACTTTGACGTATGATACTACATAACATGTTAATGAAAGTACGGAGAGAACAGTGAAAACAACCAGGGATCAAGGAATTGTTGAAGGGTATTCTTGTCATGCATATTAGTTTTCCATTTTTAGGATTTTTCATTTGTTTGTTTAATATTCAATTATCCAACCGAAAGGGTCATTATATATGTTGATTGAGAGCTTGCACTTCAATGACAGACAGAGGTCTGTTCAGTTCCTTCTCAGCCAGTTTCTGGCTTTTTGACCTTGGGCAAGTTGATCAGAATCTCTTCACCTCGCTTGTTTGGTCTGTACGATGCAGTTAATCCATTATTAGAGGAAATAACACGTGAAGTGCTCAGCAGTGTCTGGTACTTTGTTGTCATTCCATAAAATTGTGGCCGTGGTGGCCGTCTTCAGGGCTATGGGTATTGTGGTCATTTATATGGAAGGGGCGGTTAAGTGGCCTCTCCCACCGGCCAGGCATTGTTGAGCTAGCTGATAAGAGAAGGGATTCTAGAGCCAGGTTGCCTAAGTTTGAATCCTGGTGGCTCTGCCACTAACTGCTTGGCCTTGGGCAACTTAATCTATGTGTGCCTTAGTTTCTTCATCTATAAAGTAGACATGATAATAGTACCTATCGTAGGTTTGTTGTGATTAATAGATGTGTTAATATTTGTAAAGCTGTTAAAACAGTTTCTGGCAAACAGTGTCTGTGTAAGTGCTAGCTGCTGTTATTTTTATTTTTATTTTTTCACTGTAGATCAGTTAATTTCTTTTATTCCACAAAATAAGTATTCATTCTGTACCATATTTCTGCTGCTCTTTGAGGAATGGGGATGTGGTGAACAAAAGAGAGATAATTCCTAATTGTATGGAGCATACAGTGTCGTGGGTCAGACAGACTTAGTAAAACCTCCACTAGTTTTCTTTCTTTTTTGAGACAGAGTCTTGCTCTGTCACCCAGGCTGGAGTGCAGTGGCTTGATCTCAGATCACTGCAACCTCTGCCTCTCGGGTTCAAGTGATTCTCCTGCCTCAGCCTCCCAAGTAGCTGGGATTACAGGCACCTGCCACCATGGCCAGCTAATTTTTGTATTTTTAATAGAGACGGGGTTTTGCCATGTTGGCCACCCTGGCCTTGAACTCCTGACCTCCAGTTATCTGCCTGCCTCGGCCTCCCAAAGTGCTGGGATTACAGGCATGAGCAACCACACCCAGCCTCTCACCAGTTTTCTAATTACAGACTGATTGTGAGAAGTACTGTGAAGAGGACACTGAGAATCAGGAGATGACTAAGATCTAGAGTTTGCCTTTAGGGGAAAAAAAAGTCAGCCAAATGGTGGAGCTTGTACACATTAGAAGCATCTGAGGGGAGTTTTCAGCACTCCACATACCCAGACCTTACTCCAGAGCAATTAAATCAACTTCTTGGGATGGGGGAGGTAGTGAGGCATCGGGACTTTTGAAGCTGTTCAGGTGATGCCACAGTGCGGCCACTTTGAGAAGGAGTGATACAGAGGGTGATAACCCTGAGCATATGGGAGGCAGGTACAGATAGATACAAGCAGAATTTACATATATTTGTAGATTCAAGAATCATGACAGTTGTTCAGGGGGTAATAGATAACGGTTATTCTGGCTCCAGAGACCTCCTCAAGGTTATCACAAGAAAATTTTCATGGCGTCTCCACAAGACCAGAATCAGAGTTGGAATCAGCTATCCCTGGTTTTGCTAAGTATGGAATCATGTAGACGCCATTGATTTAAAATATCCACCAGTTTCCATTTTTTCCTGTTATCTTCCACTGCTGCAGTCTCTGGAATTATTAACTCATGCCACCTGAAGTTTTTGGAATTAATGAATTGCCTAGCCTGGTAGCTACATTGTTAGGAGAATATTATGAGACAAATCCAGTTCTTATCTTACATTATTAGTTCCCAACCATTTTGGTACCAGGGACTGGTTTCATGGAAGACAGTTTTTCTACTGAGTGAGGGTCCAAGGGTGCAGGGTTGCGGGGGAAGAGGTGGTGATTTGGGGATGATTCAAGTGCATTACATTTATTGTGCACTTTGTTTCTGTTATTATTAATTGTAATATGTAATGAAATAATTATACAGCTCACCATAATGTAGAATCAGTGGGCACTTTGAGCTTGTTTTCCTACTAGATCGTCCCATCTGGTAGTGATGGGAGAGAATGACAGATCATCAGGCATTAGATTCTCATAAGGAGCGCACAACCTTGATCC
The DNA here is from genome assembly GCF_000001405.40 of Homo sapiens. NCBI lineage: Eukaryota > Metazoa > Chordata > Mammalia > Primates > Hominidae > Homo > Homo sapiens. Next base: position 67,476,380 of record NC_000003.12, on the reverse strand, counting down.
CTCACATGCACAGTTCACAATAGGGATCATGCTCATGGGAATCTAATCCCGCCACTGATCGGACAGGAGGCAGAATTCAGGTGGTAATGCGAGCCATGGGGAGCAGCTGTACATACAGATGAAGCTTCGTTTGCTTGCCCACTGCTCACCTCCTGCTGTGCGGCCCAGTTCCTAACAGGCCATGGACCAGTACTGGTCCATGGCTTGGGGATTAGGGACAGCTGTATAACATGAATGTGCACCTGACTCTTGGTTTCTCAGAATCAACATATAAAACATTAAAGGTTAACATTGTGTTTATAAATTAGTTACACATAAATTGAATCCCATTGAAATTTTATTAAATTGATAGGCAAAATTAGCTTGTGAGAGAGAGAGAGAGAGAGAGAGAGGGAGAAGGAAAGGGAAGGAATACTCAAATTCTGTGGTTTTAAATTGGCCTTTCTATATCATACTTCAATGATGTTATCCTTCCAGGCAGTATTTCAGGTTTATAACTGTACACACTTGCAAAAGGGAAACATTTTTGTTGGGCATGGTGGCTGATGACTGTAATCCCAGCACTTTGGGAGGCCGAGGTGGGAGGATCATTTGAGACCAGGAGTTTGAGACAAGCCTGGGCAGTGTAGCAAAACTCCATCTCGCTCTCAAAAAAAAAAAAGGAGGGGAAGGAAAATCAATTATGGGGCAGCGGAAGCGAGGTGAACACATAAAAGAAAATGCCTATGTAAAGTCGGTATGTCATAGTGGGTGATAGCACCTGAATGCTTCATGCTCAGCAAATCATTTGATTTAAAGGTTTGGACCACAAGACATGTCTTTTGATTGAAAACTTATAATAGGACATTTCATTGGGCTGGCAAGTTACAGGATCTCTTTGGAAATGTTTAATTTCTGCATGTCCCTTAGAGGCTGTCCCCTTGAGTGCCTGCCTCTTTGGGGATGTGCTCTCAGAATTGTGACAGATTCGCCTTTAATCAGAACTTCCAACCAGCACAGCTTTTCTTAGGTGGAGTAGAAACTCAAAGTTTCCTTGCCATTTTTGCAATGAAGAGAAATCACTCAGTTTTCTTACAAATGAAAAACATTTTCTTTGGTGAGCCCTTAATGTCTTGTTTCAGTTAGGTAGGGTTTAATATCGTTTTCATTCTTTCTGTTTTGCTAATAGGCAGTTGACTTAACTACATTCTCCTACAGTGTCAGGAGTTGCCAACTCATGATTTGGGAACTCTGAGTTGTATGTAGGGTAATATTTTGTTGATCACTTATGCCATTCACTTATGTGACACTAATACAAAAGATATGACATTAAGACTACAATGCTTGCATTTTTATTCATTTCTGGGAAGCATGATTTTTCCTCTCTTTTTTTTTTTTTAGACCAGGAAAGGAAATAAGGGTTGGAGCTGGACACTCACACCTTGTTGGCATCATGAGTGAGCAATTCTGAGGGTTGGGAAAGTAGAGCCTACTTATGTTGGTGTTGTAGGGACCACTATCTCCAGAGCTAGAAAGAGATGAAGGCACAACCCATACGCCTGTGGAAAGCTGGGAATAGGGCTTCCCTAAGAGAAATCTCTGGAGTTTAAAAGACTTGTAAGAATTGTGAATGCCCTGGACATGTGTATGGGCATTTTTTAAAACTGCAAATAACCAGGACAAAATTCAGTAAAGATAAATTAAAGGAAGGTTGCATTCAGCCAGTAAAGTGTGTGTTTAAATTTAAAGTGAAGCTTCTTAAAAAACTATTTTAAAACTTTATATGTAACAGTATTTTAGAATTACATGAGCCCTTCTAAATGTGAAAGAAAGCAATATCATAATGCAAGTTAAATTTGAGCAAATATAGGAAGACTTGGCATATTCTTCTGAAAGGGGGCCAAGTCATTTATAGTCACCAATCAAATCACGTCTTGTCTCATCTCTGTCAGCTACTTGGTATAGCCACAGAAATCTATAGAATGAGACCGGCGAAAAAGTAGCAAATAAGCTTCATTTGGGGGCATTATTTTGCGGCATTTTATCACAGTAATATTCATCTCTTCAATATATAGAAATTAAGCTCTAGAAAATGTTAGTCTGTTAGTGTATTCTTTTTCTTTCTTTCTTTCTTTTTTTTTTGAGATGGAGTCTCCCTCTGTCACCCAGTCTGGAGTGCAGTGGCGCAATCTCGGCTCACTGCAAGCTCCACCTCCCAGGTTCACGCCATTCTCCTGCCTCAGCCTCCTGAGTATCTGGGACTACAGGCGCCTGCCACCATGCCCGGATAATTTTGTTTTTGTATTTTTAGTAAAGACGGGTTTCACCGTGTTAGCAAGGATGGTCTTGATCTCCTGACCTCGTGATCATCCTGCCTTGGCCTCCCAAAGTGCTGGGATTACAGTCGTGAGCCACCATGCCTGACCTGTTAGTGTATTCTTTAAACTCAGTGACCACAAGAAGATGATGTTGACCTTGTACCCGTTTTCCATCACTAAGGATAACAGCAGTAGCCTCCTTCAGAGAAGAGCTGAGCTGGCATGATAAGAGAAGTTGGGAGGTGATGTGAATGATAAACTCTTACTCCATTTACTTAAAGCAAGTGGTTTTAATTAAACACAGTTTATACCTTTATCGCTGCACTTGGCAAGTTTTGGGAAGTTAAAGACTGGTGGTACTGCTACTCGGAAGTTATCTGTAGAAAACAGCCTTAAGTCTTTTCCAAACAAAATATCATTTTAAAATGAAGTTGGGTCAAAATTCAAATAAAACTCCCTCTAAAATGAAGTGTGCAATATCCACTCTTAATGTGTGTTGTATCGTGTAGTCAAAAGACTCTTAATGATTGCCTGGGAGGTTGGTACAGAAGGGATTTTTATTTTTAACAGTCTCTAAAACACACCTTTTAATACTCATTCTTTTTGGAATTCTAAGTTAATTTCTATTCTTCATCACTGGTGCTTTTAAAAAAAAAATCACAAATTTCAGAATTAAGTGTCTGAGGGATTTATTTCCTAAATAATTGAGCTCCATAATGTAATCCTTTACAATAGTCATTACAAAGGATTTGGAATACAGAAAAGTACACAAATAAAGTCATCAAGCTAGGTGGGAGAAACACCTTAGTCCGGGAGGTCAAGGCTGTAGTGGGCTGAGATCACACCAGTGTACTCCAGCCTGGGCAACTGGAGTAAGACCCTGTCTCAAAAAAAATAAATAAAAATAAAGTCATCCATAATTCCTTAGCTCAGAAATAACAACTATTAAAATTTGACTTATCTACTTCCAGTATTTTCTTTTCATTTCTGTATAAATGCATATTTTTAAAAATTAAAGTCTAGATCATACTGTTTTTTCCACTTAATAACATACTGAAGTCATTTTATGACATCATTAAATATTTTTCTGAAACAAGATTTTTAGTGGCCATTTTATTTTCCATTATATGATTACACCCTTATACTTTTAGTCATTTCCCCATGTTTAAGATACTTAGCTGCCTTCCTGTCTTTTTGCTGTCACCATCATCTTAGATACGTTTAGTAGTATACATTTATAAATGGAATTTGAAGTATATCATTATCCCCACTCCAGCCCGCCTTGGAGACATGGGACTACATTGAATGTTTGTTTTTTTAACCCTACACCTACAAGTTGGAAGAATTTTATTTTTTGCTATCCTTCCCTAAAATAGTCCTCTGGTGACCATTTAGTTAATTAAGATTGATTGGCTTCTGTCATCTGCTGAACAATGCATTTTGCTAAATGATCCCAAATATTAAATAAAAACCTATTAACAAGTATAATAGATATTTAGACATTAACAGATGGCTTCAGAGGGTCTGCATATAATTAAAGTAAATAAATCTAAGTGTAATAGTGACAGTTGGGTAAAAATAAATTATTTTCATCAAGAATATTTCATTATAAGATAACCCAGAAAACAGCCATTGTGATAAAATGTAAAAATTATAGAGTAAAATCCAGTATATCATGTAATATGTCTATGATTACCAGATTCCTAATCTAGATCTAACACATGACACTTTGTGGTTGCTACAGACTTCATTCACATCCAGCATGAAAGGAAACATGGTCTTGTTTTTTAAAAAAATATTTTTTAATGTACAAGTCAGTAGTAAAATATGGACATGTGAATTTTTTAGACATCACCTTTTCCATGTATAGAATAAATGAACATCACTGTGTTAACAATGCCTCAAATTAGAGTCCAAGAAAGAAGTTGTTTGCTTGTTCCTATTGGACTCATTTTATATGTCTTCATGGATGGACAAAGTAGGAAATCAAGATGAAACTAGATTTGATTTTTTTTTCAGTGATTTTATCCATTTATAATGTAACATCAAATTATTTTTAGTAATTTTATGAAAATAATTGTCTTAAAACAAGGTCATTAAGGACTCTAAACATAGGAAGGTGTATGCATATATCTAATATGTTTTCTTTAATCACATTGTGGCCTCTGGAGGAAACAGTTCTTTGTGTCTACTTGTTTTCTCACCTCTCACGAAACTACTACAAGGATGAGGAGAGTTATGGATGTGGTTTGCTCCATGAAAGCATATTTAGTTGGCCTTGGTGAGTGGAGCTGCTGGGTTTGGTTAAGAGATCCAGAGCCCAGCCATGTTGTCCGTTCTCTGCTACCCTCAGGACCTGGCTGAGGGGTAACACAGACCAAGGTTCTCCCCTAAAACTGGCCAAATTAATTTGCCGCCTTCTTCTTCTTCATCATCATCATTTCTCTCCCACACCTTTTTGTATTCTCCCCCAGAGAAGGCTAGGTCAGCCTAGACCAGACCAGTTTTAGCCGTTTCTGGAGAGTTCTCTGTCTTTCTCTCTGGCTACTTTCCCTGTAACTGTAGAAGAATGAAGTTTTCTGGTTTCAATAGAGTGGTAAGTTAAGGAGCTTGAATTTAGAGGGGCTGCAGTTGGGTCATGGAAGTTGAAAAGGCAAGTGTGATGTCCTAATGTCATTAACTTAACTGGGTAAAGAAGCCCTCAACCCAGTTATTCTGTCTTACAAAGATTTGGATGCTCTCACCTCAGCTGATAATAGAGGTCATATTGCCTAGCCTCACTTTGCTTGTACATTTATTTCCCTCATCACCCTTGTGTGGCAGCCTCATAATCACGGCTGAAGCCTTCAGACTTCCCAGGGTTCTCTGGCCAAATGCCATTTGAATACCATCTCAATTCACCAGTAATGTGATTTAAATAATCATTTCTCCAATAACTCTTTCTTATCTAGAGGATACACAAAAGGAAACAAAATTGAAATGAACACCACTCTGATCCCAACAGTGTTAGCAATATTTTCTATCTTCTCCAAGTTTTTCTCTTTGCAGTGCTCCTGTGGGTTCTTGCTCTAGTGTCCCTTTTTGCGTAACCCATCACCCTCCCAGTTAACAGGCATAACAGAAGAACGGGGTATTTCAGGTCTGTAACAGCTGTGCTTAAAAAGCAGCAGCTCCCCCATTTCACCTGTTTGGTTTGTAGGGCAAGGATAGAAAGGATGGCAGTGGGTATCTTTCTATCTAAGTGGTGGCAACTGAGAACTCTGAGGCATTTATCTTAACTCATTTTCTGCGGCTATAACAAAATAGCACAGACTGTGTAGTTTATAAAGAAAAGAGACTTATGTGGCTTACAGTTCTAGAGGCTGGGAGGTCCAGGAGCATGATGCTAGCACCTGCTCAACCATCTGGTTAGGGCCTACTTGTTACATTATCCCATGGCAGAAAGTGAAAAGGCAAGAGAGTGTATGAGACAGAGAGAAAATGGGGGCTGAACTTATCTTTTTATCAGGAGCCCACTCCAGCTAACCAACTTTTGCAATAAAGACATTCATCCATTTGAGGATGGCTATGCCCTCATGACCTAATCACTTTTTAAAGGTTCTGCCTCTTAACACTGTTACAATGGCAATTAAATTTAAACATGAGTTTGGGAGGAGACATTCAAACCATTGCATCATTGTAGAGAAAAGCATGTAAATAAGAAAATGCAGTTACAGACTCAGCAGTCTGAAGTATACGAGAGAAATAAGCAGAGGAATAAAGCAGAGGCTGAAGTATAAGAAGCTCATTATGTGCACATTTTTGGCTAACTTGGGCCTGAGAATACCACATGAAATGTGAAAAGTTGATTTAAGTTTCTCATTTGAACTGTGTCATTCTTTTTTACATTTTTTTTAGTTTATTAAAGTTAGTTACATTCTATTCCCTGAATTAGATCAGATTTATGTATAGACCATACAATTAAACTCATTGTATGAGATGTAAAGTTTGAATTGAGAAAGTTAATTCCTTGGACAACATTTTTTTTTTTTTTTTTTTGATATGGAGTTTCACTCTTGTTGCCCATGCTGGAGTGCAATGGCGTGATCTTGGCACTTTGCAACCTCCACCTCCTGGGTTCAAGTGATTCCCCTGCCTCAGCCTCCTGAGTAGCTGGGATTACAGGCATGCACCACCACACCCAGCTAATTATGTATCTTTAGTAGAGATGGGGTTTCACCATGTTGGTCAGGCTGGTCTCGAACTCCTGACCTCAGGTGATAGGGCTGCCTCAGCCTCCCAAAGTGCTGGGATTATAGGCGTGAGCCACCGTGCCCGGGCCATAATCTTTTTTAAAAAATTATTATTATTAGTTTGAGACGGAGTCTCATTCTGTCACCCAGGCTGGAGTGCAGTGGTACAGTCTCGTCTCACTGCAACCTCCGCCTCCTGGGTTCAAGTGATTTTCCCACCTCAGCCTCCCGAGTACCTGGGACTACAGGCACATGCCACCACACCCAGCTAATTTTTGTATTTTTTAGTAGAGACGGGGTTTCACCATGTTGGCCAGGCTGGTCTCGAACTCCTGACCTCGTGATCCACCTGCCTCAGCCTCCCAAAGTGCTATAATTACAGGCGTGAGCCACCGCACCCAGCCAAAAAAAATTATTTTAAAATAAAGTATAGCTAAGAACTTCCTAGTCATGTGAGGCCTAGGGTAAAGGTTGAGTTTCCCTTCAGGGTATCCTCTCCTTGATCTTTAAGAACTTATGTCCAGTTAGGTTCCCCACTGATTTCTCCTGAATCTCTCATGACAGTCACAGTGGCCACAAATCTTTCTTCCATCCCTTTGTTTAGCTCCCGCTGCTTTTGGGATACAGCTCAAAATGCTTACCACAGCTTATAACTCTGTATGAGCTAGCCCATGCCCAACTCGCCAGCCTACCTCATGCCCATTTTATACATCTGCTTTAATTTGGTTACTAATCTTTTCTCCCTTCCTAGAATGTATGAGGGCATCTCCATCTTCAAGACTTCGACTGAGCTGTTCTTTCTGCTCCAGACTTTCCCTTCTCATGTTTTTCTTTCTTCAGCTTACTCTTCAGGTCTTAGCTGAATGTAATTATGCAGAGAGCCTTGTACGCACTCCTTACACCTGATTGAAGGCAGGGGCATGTTCCTCGTTAGGATTTCTCAAATTATACTCTTTCTTGTTTGATTATGTAGTCATACAGGTAATTTTGTATTCAGCTCTGTTTCCGTTATCCATTGCTTCCTTAATAAACCACCCCGAAGCTTAGTGGCTTAAAAACAGCAGTTTATCACTACCTCTCATGCTTCAGTGGGTTCACATGACTAATCTGAGTGGCCCCTGCTTGGAGTCTGCTATGCAGCTGCAGTCATTGGTGGATGGAGCCCGAGCCGTGTGATGACTCAATTGGGCTGGACACACAAGATGGCTTCCTCATATGCCTGGCATCTCATTGCTCCTTGGCCCATCTCTTTTTCTTTCTCTTCACATTCCATCTGATCTCTCTGTGTAGTTTGGCCTTTTCATAGCATGGTGGTCTCAGAGTGATCATATATAGTGAATGGCTCCCAAGAGGCAGGAAATGGAAACTTCCAGGCCAGGACTGACAGTGTGCCATTTCTGCCATCTTCTGTTAGAGCAGTTACAGGTCCTGCCCAGGTTCAAGGAGCTGGATGGATTAGAGAAACAGACCCCATCTCTTAATGTGAGAATGGCAAAGTTGCACTGCAGAAGAGTGTGAAGCAGAAAATATTACAGGACCATCTTTGAAAGCTGCCCTACTTTTTCTGCTAGACTGTGCCCTTCATGAAGACAGGGTCCATGTCTATACTATATTGGCACCTAATAGGTGCTGATAATTTTTTGGCAAATTCCTAACTCCAGGGAAAAGTCTTAGACAAATTGAAGATTCGCTCAGAAAACAAGTTTGAGTGAGTTCGATTTTTTTGCCTCCTCAGAGGCCAGACTCCCTGCTCTACCTCCTCAACCCACACATCATACAGAATTTGACACCACCCGGCCTGCTTTTATTTCACACTTTTGCCCCTCTTGTAGCACTCATTTGGGCATCTGTATTATGGCTCTTTTCTCTCCTATTCATTTTCACAATAGCATTTCTCGACAGCATGCATTATATTATTCAGGGTGCTTAGTTTGGTGTTAGACCATGTAGTTAAAAACATGAGTAAGCCTTGATTGGAATTCCCGCTCTGTTTCCTCTTACATCTGTGACTTTCCCAAGTGAGTTAACTCCTCTAAGTCTCATTTTTTTTTTCCTGCCTGTGAAATGGGTATATTAATAGAAACAACTCAGCAGGGTTGCTATGAGTATTAAATGACAGGATAAAACATATACGTCTCCTACCATATTACATATTTAATTATTATTCATTTCCATTAACTCTTGGTTATGGTGTTATACTGATCTGGTAGTCATTTATTAGATATTTGTTGAATGAATAAATATTTTATAGTTTTCAAATAATCTCTTTAAAGGATATCCTATCCTATACTTGTTCAAGGTAAAATTGCAGTTTAAGTTTCCAAAGACATCATTCTTTTACTAAAACCCTATTTGAAAAGTCTGTCATTGCAGGCCTTTACATTTCATCTTTTTTCCACGTGAAGGCAGTGGAGCAGCTTTTTTCTCGCTTCACCTGTCAAAGTTGTTCTCTCTAGAGATTAAGCAGGTATGACGTGTGCTTTGACCAAACCCTTTGAGCTTAAGAAAATTGTGAGAAACTGAATAACTTCCTATTCCTCAATATTTCAGGTGAGAAAAATATACTAGAGCTGCTGTTTTGATGTATGAGAGATTGTAGCTAGTATAGTAAAAGATTTCGGAGGATAGTTATTGTGTATCTAGGTGTGTTTATATTATCAATCTCAAGAGGTAAGAGAAAACACAAAGTTGTAGAGAACATTTAGAAATTCTCCTGAAGACTTTATAGGCCAGAGGTCATTAATTAGTAAGGAAGGTCTTGGTTTCTGTATTCATATCATAGTGGAAGTTCCGATTCTCAATTCTTAATTCAAAACAAATTAAATATTCCTACTTGTCAGAATCCTGACTTGTATCTAAATGTTCTATTGGACTAGATGTAATATACTTTTCCCCTCCAGGGAAAGATAGTCAAGGATTTATGTGAGAAAGCAAACTTCCTAATGGCTGCCTCCCTTTGTAAGCAGTAAAGCATGTTATATCTTTGTATCTTGGTTGTTCAGCTGGTAATATTTCATACCTTACTGTCCATACGTTTCCTGATAGTAATCAATCCATTTTGTCGTTATCACACTTGCTTGCACTGTGGCTGGGCAGCCACTGTCTACCAAAACAGTAGCATTTCCTCCTGGAGATGAGAGTACTTGATCGAAAGGGAGAAAAGGGAGAACAAGACCCAGGTTTTGCCATATAAAAATCGATAGCGACAAACTTCAGTGTCATCTCATCTTGCCGGATGCCATCTTGATAGCATGACTGCTTTTCCATGTTAGTAATAGCACAACATCAGATTAAGCTTCCCTCACAAGACAGGGGATACACTAAGTTTATTTTTACTGCCTAAAAAGCTACAAAGCCAGTTAGATAGATGGAGGCAGTCAGCCTTGATCAAACCAGTGTTCTACAAATTCCTTCAGTTTACCTAGTATGTTAATGCCCATTTTATTAAATCCATCTTTTTAAATGGATGTAAAAATATGACCAGCATAAATTCTTTTTTTTGAGACAAAGTCTCACTCTCACCTAGGCTGGAGTGCAATGGCACTATCTCAGCTCACTGCAACCTCTACCTCCCAGGTTCAAGCAATTATCTTGCCTCAGCCTCCTGAGTAGCAGGGATTACAGGCATATGCCACCATGCCTGGCTAACTTTTGTATTTTCGATAGAGACGGAGTTTCACCATGTTGGCCAGGCTGGTCTCGAACTCCTGACCTCAGGTGATCCACCTGCCTCAGCCTCCCAAAGTGCTGAGATTACAGGAGTGAGCCACCATGCCTGGCCAATTTTTTAAAGCAGGGTATTTAAGCAGATACAACGTAAGGGCTGTGTGTGTCATTAAAAGAGTACTGCTTGGTGAGAAATGAATGGGAATTCTTACAGCTGGGTCCTGATTCTTGCTCTGACTATAATTAACCATATAATAATAGGTCATTGTTTCTCAAACTTGAGCATGTCCCAGAACTGCCTGAAGGGCATGGAAAATGCTGATTGCTGGGTGCCACACTAGATAATTTTCTGTGGTACTAAGAAGATAGTAAAACAGGATGATAATAAATATGCTAGGGTCCCAGATGCCATCAAGACAAGATTAAATGTGCAAGGATTTTATCAGCAGAAATCCCTTTGAAAGAAAATGAGAAAGCAGCCAGGAGAGGCTGGCCTGGCCATCAGACTATGATGCAGGTCTGACTCTGAGTGAAGGAGAGAGGGAAGGAAGATTGGATGCCCCTACTCGGCTGGGAGCAGCCCAGGGGAAGCATAGCCTTGCCCCCAGTGCAGCCAGTCATGCTGCCTGCAGTTCAGAGTGTGAGGTGCATTCTCAGGACCTTAGCAGTGAGACAGCAATTGCTGTAGATGGGGTGGCCAGAGAGGGATTCTCTGAGGAGGTGACATTTGAGTGGAGACCCGAATGATGTAAATGAGTGAACCTTGTTGATTTGGGGCAAAGTGAAAAGAGCAGCGGAAAAGCAAAGGCAGGAGAGAGCTCTGAGTGTTTCAGAGCAGAGTGAGCGAGAAGGACTGAGGAGGCGCTGAGAGTGAAGCTGGGCCCAGCTCTGAAAGGACTTGCAGGCCAAATCAGGAAGTTTGAATTCATTCTGGATAAAATTGTAAGCCTCTGAAAGGCTTTAAGCACCAGAACAATGAAATCTTAGACAAAGATAGGAGTACGCATTGTGGAAAAGGAAGAGAAAACAGAGACTAGTTGGAGACTAATGGTATTAGTCTAGGTGTCTCCAAATTGCCTCCATTTGAATTACCTACTTTTTCTCCATGCCTCTGGGATCTTGAAGATACAGTGGCTATCTTCTTATATCAGGGACATAACCACAGGTGCCCTGCTTTCTTTTGCCCTGTAATGTATTTCAGGCAATCGATTGTCAAGCCCCTCTTCCGATTCGTCCTGGCAGCTCTCACTCATCATATAACCCATGTCACTATGCCATGCCCTCTTTGAGTTTTAGCACCATGCTGGCAGCTTTCATAGACTTTTACCATCACCTTCAAACCAGTTGAAGACTGATCCACCAATCTCATTTCTACTTCTATATATTGTCTCAGAGATTACAAGCAACTGATTTCTAAAAGACAAAGTAAAGTAGGGCATCTGTTAATATATGGAGGTCACTTTTAGAGAAAAACAAATAAATGGAATTTGCCTAAATGTGATTAATAAGAATATTTTCTCGTTGTGACAGTTCCTATGCTTCCTTTTGCCCACATTTTTCTCTCAGAAGAGTAGCATGTAAGAAAGTGGAATTATAAGTTTTGACTTGGAGTTGAAGGAGTGTAGACATCTGCTTCTTTTCTGACCACTCTGGTCTGCCTTGATTGAGGGAGATCTTTGAGACTGGCTTTTTGCTGTGCATTTTGATTGAGTTTTCAGCAGCACAGTGAGTATGTAAAATCATAGCCATGATGGTTGAAATTTGGAATTGGGGATGTCCCATTTGAAAGAAATGCCAGATCAAAAAGCGCTATTCCCAGGAAGGATGCATACACACGCTTGTAAAATTGCACACCCATGAGGGCTTCTTACTTTCTTAGAGCTGTGAATTTTTCTGTTTTTGGGCATGTGAGGTGCTCTTGCTGTCCAGAAGAGGTTGGTGCTTATACTTTAAGTAAAGTGCTGATTGCCCTGTCAGTCAGAGCATGGAGGAACTGGGAACTTCTGAGATTGATGCTTGACAGAATAATTAGAAAACCGTCACTTTCAGTAACCATTTGAGGACTCCTAAAAGGAATGGGCTTGGGCCAGGTCTCTGCTGTCCAAATCCAGAGGTTAAATGTTCGGGAACACAAAACATAGTATGTCACAAGAGAAAATTGCTTCAAATGCACAGAAAGAGATGGCCCTCCAACTCCTAAACAATGATGCTCAATTATCTGGGCATTCACAGATGTGTTTCCCTAGCCCTGCTGCTGTTTTCATACCTCCTTGAGATTATTTCTCCCTCTGTCAGTTGGTTGCCTTGAAGTGAGGTTTGCAAACAGCTGTTGAGATGGCTTCCTCCTTGACCTTTTCACAGGATGACACTTTCTTTCTCTTTATTTCAAGACGGCCCCCGGCCCTGGCATAATCTCTGGTTACCAAAGCCAGGGCCTTTTCCATACAACCCCAGTCAACTGGATTAGGGCAATATTTTCCAGGCTAACAGTATCTAAATTAAATATAAGTGGGGTACCAACAGGAACTCTTGAGAGAGAACAGGAAAAGCATGGCCCCATAAACAAATTAATTCAAGAAAACATTTTATTTAGATACTCTTCTCCTTATTTATTAAGAAAGTATAAATTAGGTAAGCATTTATAACAAAATATATAAAGATAAATGTTTCTGTTATTCTACATCCTTTGTCATAGTTTCCTTTTTAAAAGATAAATTTCTGAAAGAAAATGATTCTCTGTGTCTGCACATCTGTATGTATGTACAGATATTATTAACACTTCCAAGGCACCAGGGTTCCTTGGGCCATACTGAGAAATGCTGACATCAGCCATCAGTGCCCCACCCTGCTTTAAGACAGCCAGCAACAAGAATGGTAATAATAAGGAATTAACATTGGTGAGGGTACTCTGTGTGTCAGGCAATGTGCAGAATATTTTCTCTGTGTCAGTGTATTTCTGTTTTAAAATCCAGAAAATTTTCAATGACATTCAGCCACCTTGTTAAGAAGACAGTCTCAGAGAGGGCCTGTAATTACTTCATCCCCTATTTTTCTTTAATTAAAGCAATCAAATGGCAGCAGCACACGGTCACACTCAACTCATAGGACTTGCTTTTTGTGCATTTTACTGCAGTTTCTGCCCACAAACTTGATCCCTGAATGGAAGAACACAAACTGTATTTTCTCTATTTTCACACCACAATAGTCAACACAGAAGACTTCTGTGATCAAATGTGTGGGGGGTTTTCCCCACCAGTAAGCAAGCAATCAATTCTGCAGCAGACACTAGCTGGGCATCCTCTATCTAAATTCAGTTCTGACACTCCACCTGGAGATAATCTCAGATCCCACAGGTTGAGGGCTCAGTCCCACAAAACCACGCCTCACTTCCGATGCTGATTGCAAGCTCCAGGTTGTTTTACCTGTGTTTCTCACCAACCGGCTATAAATTGGGTTTCCCATGACCTCTTCCTTGGGTTCAATTCATTTGCTGGGGTGGCACACAAAACTCAGGTAAATACTAACTTATGCTTACTGGTTTATTATAAAGGATGTTACAGAAGATACAGATAAAGAAATGAATAGGGTGTGGTATGGGAAGGGGCTCAGAGCCTCTAGCCCGTTCCTGGGCATGCCGCCCTACAGAAACCTCCATGCATTCAGCCGTCCAGAAGCTCCTGAACGCCATCCTCTTGGACCTTTTATGGAGAGTCCATTGGATGGGCATGATTGACAGCCATTTTGAAATGTGACTAGACAAAAAGGGTATGATCTAATGCTAGTAGACTGAGTGGGAACACCCAGAAAGGCCTGTCTATACAGATGCTTCTTGGCCTCTCTGTGCAGCATTCCTTCTTCTGAGGTATGACACAGGACCCCTTCGGAAATGAGGGTCTAATGACCCATAATCAGAAAAGTGGGGGGAGATTAGAGTATATTTTTAGTTTCTAAAGCCTGCTGTGGGAAGAAAAAGGAGCAGGTGAAAGGAAGGCAGGAGAATTTCAGAGAGAGAGAGAGAGAGATTGTTTTTTGAGGTTTGCTTCTGAGACCTAAAGTGCCCCAACATTATAACAAAAGGCTGTAACAGGAGCTGTGGGAGTTATGAGCTAGGAACTGTGGACAAAAACATACATATATATATGTAAAATAATACCACAATCCCCATTTCCTGCAAACTAAATTCTGAATTTCTGAGTCAGAGATTCAGAAGCTTGTATCATCCGGCCCCGCATGACCTTACCTCCCCTTGCTGGCATGATCTCTACCATCTGTTCCAGAGACCCTTCTCCCAGAATGTTCTTCCTCTCCCTCCTCACTTTGCCTGCCTGTTATCCCTTTCTCCTTGGAAATCTTCCCAGGTTCTGTGAACTGGGGCGGGATGGACCAGATCAGCTGTTCTCAGCTGGGGGCCATGCTACCTCCCAGGGGACATTTGGCAATGTCTAGAGACATTTATTATTGTCATTTTGGAGTGGGTATGCTACTAGCATCTGGCAGGAAGAGGTCAGGGATGCTGTTCAACAGCACACAAACAGCTCACCATAACAAGGCATTTTCCAGCCTAAAATGACACTAGTTTCCAGGTTGGGGACCCCTAGATACTAGATGAAAATTCTAGTACTAGTACTAGTACTAGATGGAAGGTCCTCCTTTTCTGATTGATCTCTGTTTTCCCAGTACCTGATACATAATATATGATTCCGAAAATATTAAATGCACAAACCCCTTCCCCCTCAGAATGCCATCTTTGTGCTTCTTCCAATACCGTTATATGGAATTCGAATTACATTTTATGTTTTTACTTGCCAGAATACAAGAATCACTTAAATATATAATCTATACTTTCAAGACTTCAAGCAGATTTATGGAGTTGGCAACAGAAAATGAGAAATGAGTTGGCTTCAATGCACTGTTAATGTTGAGAACCCTGAGTATCGTTTGGAGCGTTAAACTCATGCATGCTGTGGGTAAATTGTTAATGGTCGTATTTCAGTTTTCTTTATCTCAGAGCTTGGAAGAGAAATTTTAAAAGGCATTTTCTTAAAAACTCATAAAAAGAAAGAGCAGTCCCTTGTCATAGAGTTTTAAATCCTGCATGTAATTGGAATGTCTTTCAGCAGGAAAGGTACGACTCATGAATGTCTTGGGTCAGAGAGTACACTGGGCACTTGGGCAGTGAACCTGAGTGCTGGCTCTGTAGTGCAGAGACGTTAGACAAATTATGGAACCTCTGTCTCTCCACTTCCCCTCCCCTTCTTTATATCTTATCAGATAAACCCCAGAGAATGCTCACTAGAATGTTTGCATTGCCTATATTTTCTCCAACTGGTAGTGTTGGGAATGATTTTTTACTCTCTTCTTTACTGTATAGTTTTAATTTTTCCTTCCCAGTGGGCCTGTATTGTTTTTACTATCAGATCAAAATCAGTATTAAAGTATAGAGCGAGGATGAGAAGCTAGATTTCCTAAGTCCTTTTCTGGCCCTGTTAGGATTTTTATAATAAAAGTCCTACCATTGATTCAATATTACAGTGAATTAAAGCACTCCGATAATTTGGACCTCAGTTTCCTCAGCTGTAAAATGTGATATTAATGACCTCATCAGGGGAATGATTAACACCAGTGTGATCAAGAGGGCTTTGATGGAATTGCAGTTCTGTTTCCCTCCTGAAGTGTATGACCTTAGAAAAGTCACTTCCCATCTCTGAAGTCCATGTCTTCATAAAATGGAGTTAATGAAAACCTCACAAAGTTGATGTGAAGATTGATGAGAATAAGGTATTATAGCACTCAGCACAGAATTTGGTGTTTAATAAATGACAGATACTGCTGTTAATTTCTGCTATCATTATTATTGTCACTTTTATTGTACTATCATGTGATTATTGTGTGAACCAGATTGTAACTTTTACATAGAAGTTTTTCAGATTTAAGGTGTTATTACCACTGTTATTATTCTTAGCTACACTTCTACTACTGGAAATAATAAGACTTCAATCAGTAGTGATTTACTACCAAGAAATTAATTGGTATAAGGCAGGGCCTACTGAGATATCCAATATCAATTTTTTTTTCTTCCTTAATAGTAGAATCTCAACAAAATGTCAATTCTATGATATTGTTCCACCTCCCTTTCAGCTGGGTGGAATCACGTCACTGCTTTCTGGCCAGTGATATGTAAACAAAAGTGTAATGTGGGACCTCTGGCAAGGCTGTGTTTAAGAAGCTGAAGCAGCTGGGAAGGGAGCCCTTTTCCCTGCTCCTCACTGTTGCTTGGAATGACTTTACAATGGCAGGGGCTCCAGCAGCCCTCTTAGACTGAGAAATAACCTTAGAACGGTACCATTGCATGGTAGAGGAGACAAACCAAAGGCATCTGAGTTCCTGATGGACTCCTGGTAGCATCCTACCATCCCAGGCCTATCTACCACCAGTGTTCCTTTATGTAAGAGAATAAATCCTTGTATGTTTAAGTCCTTATATTTATTTCTTTGTTCCTAGCATCCAAATACAATTCTCAACTAATTTATTTAGTCTTGGTGCGAAGAGCTTTGGCATACTTTCTCTCATTTACCATGGAGTACTTCCAATAGTTCTGTTCTTCCCTGGTAAATTTCTTTTTCATTATATCACAAATAAACAAACTGACCCAAATTTAAACTTGACCCTTGAGCAAATCACCAAGCAAAAGCCTTCATAAAAAGAGTAAAGAAAGACACATGGATGTTTTTCTTGACATGCATTTTAGGCTTGTTTTGAAGATGGAATAGTTTTAGGGAATGGGGTAATTGGCCTGGGAAGTAGATTTGCTGCCTGCCTGGTGTTTTCCTTCCAACAGTTGGTGATAGCATGAATCTTGTGGGTTTTCTGTGTACATTGACTCCAGAAAGGTCATAGAGAATGTTGTTATTTCAGAATACAAAGAGAACTAAGTGTGTTTCCCTCTACTTAAATGTGCTTCGTCAAGCAGGCCACGTTAGCTTAAATAGTTGAGAATGAGGAAAACGTAAAACTGTGATAACGAATTCATATTAAAACACACACACACAAAACAGCTGCCCTTTGAATGGTTCACTGGTCACCAAGATCAGAGGCAGGTTGAATTAAGAGCATTTGGATAATTGACCTTCCATGTGAATGAATTAGAATAGATTAGATTTGATTGACCACATAACAATTTAAATCATAAAAAAGCCCCTTTTCTCTTTCCAGGCTACTTTGTTATATTGGGTCTCAAAGGTGATTAACCATGTGTTTTTCTTGTTGGAAGACTTTCCTGAACACAAATTAGCAGACTGAAAAAGAGATGGTAATATTTACATTTGCCATTTCTTTTTTAATTGAAAAACTCAAAGGACCATATGACAGACTGAGTTGTTTAACGATATTCCAGAAGGGCAGCATACTTGGAGTGTTTTAATATGCATTCAGCCGTCTCTTCCTGACTGGTGGGGTGGTTCCTGTTACTCAGATGGCCTGGGCAGTTGGGATGGGATGTTCTCAAGGTGCTTTTTTCCCCTCCGACCTTTGCTAGTGTGTGTGATGTGATGTGTTGAAAACCACTGTATAAACAATAAGCACCGGCTACTCATTTAGAGTCATGGAATTTCAGAGCTGAAAAGAATCTTAGACGTTCAGTGAGTTATTGACTCTCTTTACTTTAGAGATGATGAGACACAGTCAGTAATAGGAAATGCCCCACCCTCAGATGAGAAATGGAACTGCTGTGTGTTTGATAATATACAGAATTGTTCTCATGCAGTAAAGCCCTACCCCCTCGACTTATTATAGGAGGCGTTATTCAAATTGGATAAATGCTTCTGTAGAAGGATGATATTATTAGTGCCTATTTCTTAGGGTTGTTGTGAGATTAAAATGAGTCAAATGTCTATAAAGCACTGTTTTGGTTATTATTTCTGCATAGCAAACCACCCCAAAACTTGATAGAACCATTTTCTTATGATTTAGCAATCTGGCCTGGGGTTAGGTAGGCCATTCTTCCACTGTTCTTGTCAGTGTTCATTCGTGTGACTGCATTCAGCTGGCAGGTTCTGGGAAGGCGGGCCTCTTCCCTCATCCCCAGTTGTTGAAGGCCCCTCTGTCTCCATGTGATATCTCCAAAGGGCCCCTTCAGCAAAGTAACCAGCCTCCCTATGTGGCCCTTAAGCATCTGAGAGGGCAAAGGCAGAGACTCCCAAGCCTTCTCAAGGCATTGGCCTGAAACTGGTTCAGCATCTCTGCTGCCACATTTTCAGGACTAAAGCAAGTCACAGACTCAGCCAGGATCCAAAGGGAAGGGACTATGCAAGGGCATTTATAAACGTTGACAAGGTTCATTATAGAACACCATTGTAATGGACTATCCCAAGCATGTACCACTGTGTCTCATGCATGGTAAAGGTCCCATAAATGTTATTGCTCTCTTGCAGTATAGTAGTAATAGTAGTGGTAGCTGTTTTAGGAGTAAAAACAGCTAAAAAAAAAAAAAAAAAAAAAAAAAAGCTGCTTTTGTTCTTTTGTTGTTATAAGTAGATATAGATGGAAAACAATTTATATAGTTTTAAAAAATGAAATAATTTTATTTCTGTATCTCTTAGTTTAAATAACACCACTATCCACAGTTTTCCTCGGGCATCTTCTGTAAGTAGGAGGGTAGAATAAATTCCTTTAATCAGTAATTCCCCAATAAGTTCCCCAATTCCCCAATTCAAGCAGGTCTGAGTTAGGGACAGAGATTCTGTACTTCTAATAATTGTAACATTGAGAATCATAAAATTGATATTATTCAAGTTATAAAGTTAATTTCTGCACATGTTTCCCACCAAAATTGTTTTACATTTCCATGTATCACTTTAGAGCATGACATTTTTAGGAGAAGGAAATTGAAAATCTGTTCTTTTCTTTTGAACTGATTGCTTACCTGTTTCCGGATACATTTAATGCTGAAGATCTGGAGAACCATACTAGAGTCTACAAACTCAGAGGCACAGGTCTTAACCATTAGCAGCACCCAAAAATGGAGATTGGAGAGAGGAAGG
This sequence comes from Homo sapiens, assembly GCF_000001405.40. NCBI lineage: Eukaryota > Metazoa > Chordata > Mammalia > Primates > Hominidae > Homo > Homo sapiens. Next base: position 67,457,147 of record NC_000003.12, on the reverse strand, counting down.
ACCATTCTTTCATTAAGAGCAAGTCATTAGATTGTCTTATGGAGGATATTTGGGGTTTGCTTGTGATGAGCCTTCCATGTCTAATGTTCATACAATGTTATTATATGATGACTTGAATGTTTTTCTTTTTGCTAAAGCTCTTTATCTGTCTAATTACAAAAATTATGCATTCATAATTTAAAATTTTCAAAAACTACATAAAGGTATAAAGAAGAAAAGGAAAATAACCTGGAGTTGTTTATGTCCACATTCATATTTTGGTGTGTATCATCCCAGACTTCATTTTAATATTTTCCCCCTAAACATGTTTTTCTCTCTGGCAAATATGTGCATTTGCTTTTAAATATTCAGAGCTGAATATCCTCAAGAAAGTTTCAAGTTTAGCTGTTTTGCTTGAGAGAGATACCGTGATGTATTTTTGCTAATATGTTTTAAACCTTGCATTATTTATAGTTTCTCCTTAGAAGCTTGAAATTAAAATTTCTTTTCTAACTGATTTTGATTCTTTCCTGTCTGGCTTACAATTGATTTCACCTCGCTGTGTTTCTAATGAAGCCTGAAATTACCATACCCTTGTTTGAGTTGAATGTGTTTTTCCCTATGCCCTCACATACCATGGATCACAGGGCAACTCTGTTCCTATTATCAGCTACATCTTCCTTTACTATCTATATTCAATTCAGTGTGTTCCAGTAAATCTTCCAATGAGGGCTTATACCGGGATTGAATAGACAAACATGTTTTTCAGTTACATTTGAGGAGCATTGATTTTCTCCATAGAGGGACCTATTTTTTCCTTTCGCTTTGCTGATATTCCCTAAGACCTGCCTATGTTATAGCCCTTGCATATAATGGGCCATATATTTTTGACCCAATTAATTTTTTATTTGATTGGTAATAAAGGAAGAGAGTCCTATGCAGTATAATTTAAGATATTCATGTATCAAGGGAGGAGGAAGGCCAGGCTGAATCCCGGAAGTCCCACCTCACTACCCAGACAGCAATCACATGATTCCAGGTTGAAAGGGATGCTGAAAAATATTATAAAATTGACATTCTGTTGAGATACTGCCACTAATGAAAGAAGAATTAACACTTGGTATCCCAATAGTCTCTGCCTTATACTGATCAATATCATGGGAGTGAATCACCCCTGATTGAGGTCTTACTACTTCCAGTGGTAGAATTAAATATAATAACAGTGGTAATAATACGTTAAATTTGAAGAGCCTTGGGCACAACAGTGCCCCTTACCCCACATATCCTTAGGGCAGGGTGATGGAGGTAAAGACCTGGAATATTGTGGTGTTCTTGCCGGGATTGAAACACTGGGTAGTAGAACAAAATGGAAAGGCCTACCCTTTCAGATACCCATATTTGAAAATCTTTATTCCTCATGCTTTTTCACTTTCTCTGCCATATTCCCTAAGAAGATCTTTGTCCCATCAGTGTTTTTTTTTTCCTCCACCCAGTACCTAGAGCACAGTACAGTGAATTTTGATTATAGTGTTTGTGCTAACATTGAGAATTACAAAATTGAAATTGTTTAAGTTAGAAAGTTAATTTCTGCATTCTCTCCCCATCAAAACTATTTTACATTGCCAGTATATATCACTTTCAAGCATTCCATTTTTAGGAGCAGGAAGAAATTTAAAATCTCCTCTTTTCCTCCAGTCTGATTCTGGAAAGTAGGCTCCCTTTTTAGTCATGGGATTTAAACTGAGTTGGTTAGGCAAACATGAAAGATGCTTATGGTGATTTATGCCCCACATCACAAGTGTATGTCAAGAGTGAAATAACGCCTGATGTGCAGGAGGATGGACCAGAAGACCCTCACTTACTCAAAGTGTGAGGAGGATGGGCCAGAGGCATCTACAATGTCCTTTTTGCCTTAATCCACAAAGCTCAGTTTCAAGTTATGGATTTGAAAATACTTGCTACAATTCAGGGACAAATGGACTAAAATATATATAGAAATAGAAAACTTGAAATAAGTAAATCTAAAACACTGAATATGTGAAATAGACCCTAAGAACTACATGCAATGTGTGAACTTTGAATGGATACTGCTTTGGGTATGTGTGTCTATAAAACATTCTTGGGATAACTGGGAATATTTCACTGCAGGCTGCATATTAGATGACAATAGGGGAATTGTTCATTTTCTTTTTTTTTTTTTTTTTTTTGAGACGGAGTCTCACTCTGTCGCCCAGGCTGGAGTGCAGTGGCGCCATCTCTGCTCACTACAAGCTCCACCTCCCAGGTTCACGCCATTCTCCTGCCTCAGTCTCTCAAGTAGCTGCGACTATAGGTGCCCACTACCATGCCCGGCTAATTTTTTGTATTTTTAGTAGAGATGGGGTTTCACTTTGTTAGCCAGGATGGTCTCGATCTCCTGACCTTGTGATCCACCCGCCTTGGCCTCCCAAAGTGTTGGGATTACAGGCATGAGCCACCACGCCCGGCCCATTTTCTTACATGTTGTAGTGTGATTAGGACAATGTTCCTATTTTTAGGAGATGCATTTGGGAGTGAAGTGTCATGATGTAGGCCACTCAGTATGAAATGCTTCAACAACTATCCATCTATCTATATATGTATAGCTACATATATCTCTATAGAGATAGATATAGAGAGGAAGAGAGGGAGAAAGCAAATATGGCAAATCGTTAAATACTACTAAAGGTAGGTAGAGGATACATGGGTAGGCTGTATAATTATTTCACCTTCTATTTTTTTTTTATATATTTGATGTTTTTCTTAGTTTGAAAGGTAAAAAAGTATTGCCTTGTAACCACCAGTGCGACCACAACCCTATCCTTTACTCTGTTCCTGGATCTCAAACCAATTTTTCATATTATTTATTCAACAATTACTCTATATACCAGCTACTGTTCCAAATCCTGGAGATATATAAATGGGTAAGATGTCGTCCCTCGTCCCTGTACTTAAAGAGCTCATGATTTAGAATGTTTCTTTTGCAATTTTTGTGCAGCTCTGTCAACTTCTTATCCAACATTGGGAATGAACATAAAAATTTACATCCACTTAGGCCTAAGAATATTTTAAGCAATTTATATTGATATAAGGCTGTCATCAGTCAGCCTATTAACTTCTAATTTTCTTGAAAAGTTTTATGTAAGAACAATAGGCAGTAATGGAATATTTAAGCCATTTGCACACACATACACACACACAAAATGCACGACAACGACAACCTTGGGGGTTTGCCCAAGTACATCGTGGCATTCTGGTTATATCTAGATATATTTCTGGCATACACAGCTAGAATTATGTTTCAACTGGATGGTCACATTTGTAACTGATACACATGTGACCAGTGAACACAGTAGTTTTCAAGAGGCATTGCCTTCTTGGGAGCCAAAGGCTTGATGTGGCCCCTCTATTAAGGAATATCAAGAGTTTCCCACTACTTGAAAATAACTGCATTGGAAGATTGTTTTCTTACTTCCTGATTTGTAGCCTGGTAACCAGTAAGGCAATACATATATATATTCATGCTAAATAATTTTGTTGTGTTCTGAATGTTTGTGCCCCTCTCCCCACCATTCGTAAGTTGAAATCCTAACCCTCAAGGTGATGATATTAGGAAGTGGGGCCTTTAGCAGTTGATTAGCTCATGAGGGTGGGCTCTCATGAATGTGATTAGTGTCCTTATGAAATAGGCCCAAGGGAGCTCCTTCATTCCTTCTGCCATGTGAGGACACAGCAAGAAGGTGGCACCACCTGTAATCCAGGAAACAGGCCCTCACCAGACATCAAATCTGTTGGTGCCTGGATTGTGATCTTTCAGACTCCAGAACTGTGAGAAATAAATTTCTGTTGTTTATAAACTATCCAGTTAATGGTGTTTTGTTTTAGACTATCAATAAGAATTAAAAGAAAATACTCATAAAAAAAAAAGAAGTCTGAATGTACTGAGGTAATTTTCTTCATATTATTCCTGTGAAAAGGAAAATGCTCATATAACTCAAAAATCATAATATTTGATATTCAGTGTTGTAGTCCTTGCTAATCAGCTGCAGGGTAAAGAAGAGAAATATGCTGAAGATGTTGGGCACGCAAAAGAGATGCATTTCAGGGTTATAATTAAAGAACTTAAAGGAGTTCAGAAAGAGAATGGGAAGGTCTACTTTAGACCTTCATCTATGATTACATTGAAAAGAAAATAATACCAGAGGCTCCTTTAAAACGTGCGAGATTATGCAGTTTCAAAAGGCAGTGCAATGGCTAGAAGATTCTTATATGTGTTACCAAGATCTGCAAAATTAAAATGGTATTCATGACTTGTAAACAAAGCTACTAATTGAACTATAATTTAGAAATGCGGTCCTGAATACAATTTCAGTCACAGAATGACAATTAGAGGAATTTATTAGATGTTATCTCTGATGCAGGGGAGTGTCTTGGGTTGGATTTAGTAATCTACTTGCTAGATGCTCAATAAATATTTGAGAGGGAAGGGCGGAAAGGAGGAAGAGTGGGAAGGGAGGAAGAGCTAAACTGGATGTGGATTGTTTAGTAAATTTGACAAGGAATTTGTGGTAACTTGAGCTACTAACTGAAACTTACCTGTTTTCTACATATTAGAAAGGGTTTAATAAAGAAACTAATAGAAGTAAAAGTATTCTTAGTCTGTTAAAAGTATTAATCATTACTGGCTCATTAAGCACCTCAAAAGCACTCATTCACATAAAATCAATGCACTAATTACAAACCAGTCTCGTCTTTGTAAAAGCAGGCCCAAATTTTTAGAAAATATTTCAATAGGCATAATTCATGGCCACACATGGAAAATACTTGAAACTTACAACCTTTAAAAATATTATGATAACTTATGCTTTTTATTAATGTATGTTTTATTCATTCCCCAAGTTAATATAAAGGGATGAGATTTTCTTACTAGGCAACATAAAATTGGGGAAAAGAATTATGGGAGTTCTGGAACTTAGATATTTTAGAAGCACATAGAGAGTTTTTGTTTTTTATTTGTATTTGTATTTCTGGAGAGGAGTTAATCACCAGAAGTTATTTTTTTATTACTCTGGTGTGAGGCTTGGCAAAGTATCTTTCCACAATTCCTAGATGATTCTAGGGAGTTGACAATGAATAGATTACATGGAGTCAGTTAACCTGGCTTCTAATGCAGATGCTCACACATTTTTCTGTTACCTTCAACAACTCTTTCAGTTATCCTGGTCCTCAGAATACTCATGCTTTCATTGACGGGGTTGGGCTATGGAAATTGGCAAACACTACACATCAGGTTCTTCCCCAGCCCCCCTCTTCCCTTGTACCACTACATCATAGATTATATTATCTTTAAAGTCCATTCAAACTTTAAGGCTGTATAAATCAGTGATCCCTTATTTCAAAAGTAATTATATTACAGACATTCTGAGATATTTACCATCTTTTAAAATTAACTCCAACTATAATTGCCGCCCCACCCCCACCAGAAGTAAAAAGTATAAGAAAGGGGATGAAAATTTGTATCTATGAAAATAGTCATTGTGGTAGAATATCCTTCCATTGATGATTGAGCTGAAGAACTCAAGACACCAGAAAAGAGATAACTGCTAGGACAACAAAATGTGAATTTGCCTGTACCTAGCCTAAACATGGTGGTGTACCTCCCTTGAGGATTATTTAACATCTGGTTGATTTTTGTTTTGTCACTCTTTTCTGACAACTGTACGTGAGAAATAGTCTCATTTTGGTTGTCTTAAGACTTACTTACGAAAACGAAGACCTAATATTTCAGTTAGTTTATCAAATGTACATTTTGACCTTGCAAATATCGATTCATTTATTTAATTCTTAAAATACTTGAGCATGTCTCATGGAGGAGGTGGCATTTGAGTTAGGTCTAAACAGATGAGTAAAGTTTGGATGAAGGAAGTGTAGGAAATGTATTCAAGCAGCCAAAACTACAGATTTAGAATTGTGAAAGGTGTTAGAAGAAATGTACATGGGCTGAGTGGAGGCCACTGCAAAAATTGGACAGTGTGTTGAGTTGTTCAGTTATAAGACACTGCTATCACTTGGTCACCTATAAATTGGGAATAATAGGAAGGAAGACCTTCCTCATAGAACTGTTTTAAGGGTTTTATGAGATAAGCAAGTGAAATTCCTAGGACAAGGCCTAGCACAGAGTAAGCGCTCAATAAACGCTACCTGATGGACATACCATGAGGCCAAAGAAGTGAATTAGGGCCAGGTTGTGAATGGCATTTTATGGCAAGCAGAGTTAGTTTAGTTTTGCACTTATGTGTTAGGGACTAGAGATAAGGAAGAAAGATAGCCATGGGCCAGATACAGTAGCAAGCCTTCTGGGATGGGCCAAGGCCTGGGAAATGATGTTGTTATCTTTTACAATAGTCTTTCCAAAATTGTGGATTGGGACCTGGTGATTCTTGAGAGAACTCCCTCTAGGTAGTTAAATAACAATATTAAATTAAATAGCCTTGATTTCTCCATAGAGGAATGGATAGAAAGATGATGTCTGAAAAAGGAAATACAGCAAATGCCAGATGATAGTATCTAGATGATGGGCATATAGGTGTTCACTGTTCAATTTTTTTCAACTTCTCTGTATACTTGAAAATTTTCACAATACAGTATTGGGGAAAATTGAGAAAGTGTATTCCCTCTTTAGTTCTTTTTCAATTCCAGAAAATCTCAAGAAAGTCTCTTGGTGCCAATATGGCTTAAACACTTTGCTTTGGCTCAGAGCCACTGGCAGCCTGTATCTAGTTACAATTTAATAAAACTATTGTACATTTTCCCAGGTTTGGTAGCTTGAGCCTGTAATTTCAGCCACTCAGGAGGCTGAGGTGACAGGATCGCTTCAGCCCAGGTGTTCGAGATCAGCCTGGGAATCATAGCAAAACCTCATCTCAAAAAAATATTTAAAAGTTAGCCAGGTGTGGTGGCACGTGTCTGTTGTCCTAGCTACTGGGGAAGATAAGGCGAGAGGATTGCTTGAGCCCAGGAGTTCAAGGCTGCAGTAAGCTATGATTATGCCACTGCACTTCAGCCTGGGCAACAGAGCAAGACCCTGTCTCTAAATTAATTAGTTAATTTTAAAAAAAATACTGTTTTTTTGTATTTTATTATCTTCAATTTATAGGAATTAATATGTTATTTTTCGTATTGATAGTGATACTGTTCTCTTTTCAAATAATGTATTTAAGCTTTAAAATATTCAGCATGGCCGAGTGCAGTGTCTCATGCCTGTAATCCCATCACTTTTGGAGGCCATGCAGGTGGATCACTTGAGGCCAGGAGTTCAAGATCAGCCTGGCCAACATGGCAAAACCACATCTCTACTAAAAATACACAAATTAGCTGGGCATGGTGGCACACACCTGTAGTCCCAGCTACTCAGGGGGCTGAGCGTGAGGATTGCTTGAACCTGGGAGGTAGAAGCTCCAGTGAGCGAGGTCACGCCACTGCACCCCAGCCTGGGCAACAGAGTGAGACTATGACTCAAAAATAAAATAAAATAAAAATAAAATATTCAGCAAATAGCAAACAGATAGTGTGCACTGTTGTGGTAAAAAAAAAAAAGGCAGAGGTATTATGTACATGTCTGATGACTGCTATAGGAAAAGGAGGATTATTGAAGAATTTGAAGTAAAGGACTGGACTAATTGTTTTGGAAGTTAAATTATTCACCCTCTGCTCTTTGTATGACTGCAGAATGAATATAGAGTTTTGGGCTTTTATAGTTCCTCTAGTCACTGTTAAACTTCAATATGTGACAGTGACTGCCTGTCTGCATGTTCAGATTTTCTTCACAAGCCTATGAAAGCAAAGATCCCAGATAAAGCTCATAGGCTTTCTAGTGCTTAAGATGTGGCACTCTTTACTTGCTTTTGGAAAACATTCACATATTTCCTAAAGGGGCAAGAGATATATATTCTTGAAATAAAATAGAGCCACTTAATCAGAGTGGTTTGCCAAAGGGGACTGCCTGTGGATTGGATTTTAATCTGTCTGTCACAGTCACCTTTTCTTTTTAGAATGTTCTTAATAGAATTTAGAAAACACCATAAAATACCTCACTTATATAAAGTAAATGTAAAATAATGTGTTTCTGTGAAAGCAAAAAAGCAAGAAATATTCAAATTCAACAGTGTTTTTATATTACTTCCATCTGTCTATTGTTACAATTCTGTGTTCATTACTATCTCAATGGAATTCAAAAGTTTTTTTTCACTACCAGAATCAACAGTAATAATGATAAGCAGTCAGAATAACTAGACTTTACCCACTAAAAGAAAAGAAAAAAAAACCTTTTTTACACTTGATTCAGAAATAGTGTTTTTTCATGCAGTTTAAACATTGTAAAAGTGTATTGTTTCCTAGTACCAGCTATATGTCCTTATGAACTTTCATATTTCTGATAAATTGTTAGAAGTAAAACTGCTAAAGCAACATATTAATATTTTAATTGTTATCTACTTTTTGAAACAAAAAGTAGCTGGTATCTCAGGTACTCCTGAGGTCGGGAATTTGAGACCAGCCTGGCCAACATGGCAAAACCCTGTCTCTACTAAAAATACAAAAATTAGCTGGGTATGGTGGCACATGTCTGTAATCCCAGCTACTCAGGAGGCTGAGGCATGAGAATCACTTGAACCCGGGAGCAGAGGTTGCAGTGAGCTGAGATTGCACCATTGCACTCCAGCCTGGGCTACAGAGTCAGAATTTAAGTGTGACTCTTCTCTGTTCCCCTTCTGATATGTTTACATGTCTCCTAATTTGTTCTTTAAATAAATGGACCCATCATATATGTATTCTGTGACTTACATTTTTACCTAATAGGTCTTAGATTTTTATGTTAATACAAATGAAACTATTTCATTCATTTTTATGACTGCATTCCATAAAATGAATGATAATGTATTACCAAGTCCCATCTTGATGGCTATTAAGTTATTCATAGTTTTTTGGGGATTTTTTTCATCCAGTGAATATCATCTATATATCCTTATGAACTTTTGTATTTCTGATAAATTGTTAGAAGTAAAACGGCTAAAGCAACATATTAATATTTTAATTGTTATCTACTTTTTGAAACAGATTTTCTCAGCCGGGTGCGGTGGGTCATGCTTGTAATCCCAGCACTTTGGGAGGCCTAGGCAGGCGGATCACCTGAGGTCAGGAGTTTGAGACCAGCCTGGCCAACATGGCAAAACCCTGTCTCTACTAAAAATACAAAAATTAGCCGGCCATGGTGGCACATGTCTATAATCCCAGCTACTCAGGAGGCTGAGACATGAGAATCACTTGAACCCGGGAGCAGAGGTTGCAGTGAGCTGAGATTGCACCACTGCACTCCATCCTGGGCTACAGAGCAAGACTCCGTCTCAATAAATAAATGCATTAATAATTGTCTCAATAAATAAATAAAATGGGACAAATTTTTTCAAGTTTTTATGAACTTTCTTTTCCATTGGCAAATATGTTGATTTGGAATATAGTTCATTAATTACCCAATACTTCTGTTGTGGGAGTCAAAGCTTCCTCCTGAAGTATCTTGTTCCTGTTTTCTGTATCCATTCAGTGTATTGTATTCTGCATTTCTCCTGCCCTCCATGACACACATTTTTCCATTTCTGTACCCCCAGATTGTGGGCATAATCAAATCAGAGTTGTACTGATTTTTGTAGCTACCTGCATCTATCCCAATGCCTGCCATGTAATAACTGCTCAATGAATATTGAAAAGATGGTAGGAAAAAAACTCATTCCTACACTTATAAAATCATATTTTCTATATTTAAACAGTCACTTTTTGGTAATGACTTGTTAAGACATTCCCTCTCATTGTTGGGGTTCAACTTTATAGTCAATTTTGTATTTAATTATAGTATTTTATGGTACTTCTAGTATTATTACAGTTGAGAAATGAGGTAGAAATCCTAGATGTTAGTAGGTAAAATGATTTTTTAAAATTAACTCAGTTTTATTGACCTTGAATTTTAGCATGTTTTTCAGTAGGTGATTCCTGTTAACATCTGCATTTTGACAACACACTTAAATAAAACTAGTGAACCAGAGAACAATGAATTTTCATCAGCTAATTACTAGTGATGATTTTAACCTGTTTCAAAAAACTAATGTTAACCTTTTTTGATTTTTAACCATTTTCTTCCTCAAACATAAAGGATTATTTAAAAATTTGCATCTTATTAAGGATTACATTAATGGAAGTATGCAATTAATAGATAATCTTTTTTTAATATGTCACAATTTAAAATAAAGTGAATAGTGATTATAGTGAATAAAGTGTGTAGTTATATATTTTTCTAAAAGTGAAATACCCTTTTAATGACCAACATTCTTTGAGTGCCTGGCATTGTTTTGCCTAAAAAGACCTGCACATGGCTGGGTGCAATAGCTTACGCCTGTAATCCAGGCACTTTGGGAGGCCGAGGCGGGCACATCACAACGTCAGGAGTTCAAGACCAGCCTGGCCAATATGGTGAAATCCCATCTCTACTAAAAAAAAAAAAAGAAATTAGCCAGGCGTGGTGGCAGGCGCCTGTAGTCCCAGCTACTCGGGAGGGTGAGGCAGGAGAATCCCTGAACCCGGGAGGTGGAGGTTGCAGTTAGCGGAGATCATACAACTGCATTCCAGCCTGAGTGACAGAGCGAGACTCTATCTCAAAAAAAAAAAAAAAAAAAAAAAAAAAAAAATGTACATATGTACATATTTAGATACCGGAGAGATCTAATTTCTTTTTTTTTTTTTTTTTTTTTATATACAAATGTTTATAGCAGCATTATTCATAACAGCCAAAAAGTAGAAACAATCCACTTTCCAAGGATGAACCTTGAAGTGATTGCCTAAATTATCCTTTTTACTTAGGCATTCACTTCCAAATCCAGCTGCGCATTGACATCACCTGGGAAGCTTATGCAGCTCCCTGGCAATCTTTGAGGATGGGATACCTGGATTAATGTTTGAATCCAGACTAGACGATCTCTAAGGTCCCTGATAGCCCCAAAACTTGTATAAAATCTCTAATAGTGGGTCACCAATGCCCACATCTTTGAAGAAGAGACATTATTGGTACTTGGAACAGGTCTCCCGATAGGTCCGTCTAGAAGCCTAAGTTGGTTCTTCTCTTAGGCATCATCCCAACCTCCTCAAGGTTGAATAAACATATTCTTAACAAGGATGAACTATGGCTGAAGGGATAGGTCACATCTGATTATGTCTGTGTAGTCTGCTATACTAAGAAATCACCCCATTTTGAAGAAAGTTACTCATTAGCACAGAACTTGTCGCTGCAGTTGAGAATAACCAGTTCCTCCTTCTATGACATTTTTTTTTTTTTTAAATGAAATTTTTCAAAATAACTTTAATAACCACTTTTACACTGAGCAGAATATGTCTCTCATTCTCTCAAAAATGGTCAGGAGATAATTTTTTCATTTATGAGTTTCTATTGCAGCTTTCATTTTCTTTTTTTTTTTTTTTTTAATTTATTTTTTTATTGATAATTCTTGGGTGTTTCTCACAGAGGGGGATTTGGCAGGGTCATGGGACAATAGTGGAGGGAAGGTCAGCAGATAAACAAGTGAACAAAGGTCTCTGGTTTTCCTAGGCAGAGGACCCTGCGGCCTTCCGCAGTGTTTGTGTCCCTGATTACTTGAGATTAGGGATTGGTGATGACTCTTAACGAGCATGCTGCCTTCAAGCATCTGTTTAACAAAGCACATCTTGCACCGCCCTTAATCCATTTAACCCTGAGTGGACACAGCACATGTTTCAGAGAGCACAGGGTTGGGGGTAAGGTCACAGATCAACAGGATCCCAAGGCAGAGGAATTTTTCTTAGTGCAGAACAAAATGAAAAGTCTCCCATGTCTACTTCTTTCTACACAGACACGGCAACCATCCGATTTCTCAATCTTTTCCCCACCTTTCCCGCCTTTCTATTCCACAAAGCCGCCATTGTCATCCTGGCCCGTTCTCAATGAGCGGTTGGGCTCACCTCCCAGACGGGGTGGTGGCCGGGCAGAGGGGCTCCTCACTTCCCAGTAGGGGGGGCCGGGCAGAGGCGCCCCTCACCTCCCGGACGGGGCGGCTGGCCGGGCGGGGGGCTGACCCCCCAACCTCCCTCCCAGACGGGGCGGCTGGCCGGGCAGAGGGGCTCCTCACTTCCCAGTAGGGGCGGCTGGGCAGAGGTGCCCCTCACCTCCCAGACGGGGCGGCTGGCCGGGCAGGGGGGCTGACCCCCCCCACCTCCCTCCCGGACGGGGCGGCTGGCCGGGCGGGGGACTGACACCCCCACCTCCCTCCCGGACGGGGCGGCTGGCCGGGCAGAGGGGCTCCTCACTTCCCAGTAGGGGCGGCTGGGCAGAGGCGCCCCTCACCTCCCAGACGGGGCGGCTGGCCGGGCAGGGGGGCTGACCCCCCCCACCTCCCTCCCAGACGGGGCGGCTGGCCGGGCGGGGGACTGACACCCCCACCTCCCTCCCGGACAGGGCGGCTGGCCGGGCAGAGGGGCTCCTCACTTCCCAGTAGGGGTGGCCGGGCAGAGGCGCCCCTCACCTCCCGGACGGGGCGGCTGGCCGGGCGGGGGGGTTGACCCCCCCACCTCCCTCCCGGACGGGGCGGCTGGCCGGGCAGAGGGGCTCCTCACTTCCCAGTAGGGGCGGCCGGGCAGAGGCGCCCCTCACCTCCCAGACGGGGCGGCTGGCCGGGCGGAGGGCTGACCCCCCCACCTCCCTCCCGGACGGGGCGGCTGGCCAGGCGGGGGGCTAACCCCCCCACCTCCCTCCCAGACGGGGCGGCTGGCCGGGTGGGAGGGCTGACCCCCCCATCTCCCTCCTGGACGGGGTGGCTGGCCGGGCTGAGGGGCTCCTCACTTCCCAGTAGGGGCGGCCGGGCAGAGGCGCCCCTCACCTCCCGGACGGGGCGGCTGGCCGGGCGGGGGGCTGACTCCCCCACCTCCCTCCCGGACGGCACGGCTGGCCAGGCGGGGGGCTGACCCCCCCACCTCCCTCCCGGACGGCGCGGCTGGCCAGGCGGGGGGCTGACCCCTCCACCTCCCTCCCGGACGGGGCGGCTGGCCAGGCGGGGGGCTGACCCCCCCACCTCCCTCCCGGATGGGGCGGCTGGCCGGGCGGGGGGCTGACCCCCCCCCACCTCCCTCCCGGACGGGGTGGCTGCCGGGCGGAGACGCTCCTCACTTCCCAGATGGGGTGGCTGCCGGGTGGAGAGGCTCCTCACTTCTCAGACGGGGCAGCTGCCGGGCGGAGGGGCTCCTCACTTCTCAGACGGAGTGGTTGCCAGGCAGAGGGTCTCCTCACTTCTCAGACGGGGCGGCCGGGCAGAGATGCTCCTCACCTCCCAGACGGGGTCTCGGCCGGGCAGAGGCGCTCCTCACATCCCAGATGGGGCGGCGGGGCAGAGGCGCTCCCCACATCTCAGACGATGGGCGGCCAGGCAGAGACGCTCCTCACTTCCTAGATGTGATGGCGGCTGGGAAGAGGCGCTCCTCACTTCCTAGATGGGATGGCGGCCGGGCGGAGACGCTCCTCACTTTCCAGACTGGGCAGCCAGGCAGAGGGGCTCCTCACATCCCAGACGATGGGCGGCCAGGCACAGACACTCCTCACTTCCCAGACGGGGTGGCGGCCGGGCAGAGGCTGCAATCTCGGCACTTTGGGAGGCCAAGGCAGGCGGCTGCTCCTTGCCCTCGGGCCCCGCGGGGCCCGTCCGCTCCTCCAGCCGCTGCCTCCCGAGGGGCGCTCGCCGGCGCGGCGGCAAAGACTGAGACAGCTCCGCTGCCCGCTGAACTCCATCCTCCCGGCGGTCCGAGATCTAATTTCATTAGTTCCTCAATATCCTTGGGGAATTGGTTCCAGACTCCCTTGCAGATACCAAAATCAGCACATGCTCAAGTCCCTGATATAACATGATACAATATATGCATATAACCTAGACACATCCTCCTTTATAGTTTAAGTCATCTCCAGATTACTTGTAATACCTCATACAATGTACTTGCTATGTAAGTAGTTGTTATACTGTATTGTTTATGGAGTATGACCAAAGAAAGTCTGTACATGTTAAGCACAGGCAAAACCGTCCTTTTTTTCGTTTCTGAATATTTTTATACCGTGATTAGTTGAATCCATGGATGTAGAACCCATGGATAGGGAGAGCTGATTGTATTATTTATGTGTGTGACTCTTACAATTGTGAAGGGGATGCACATTTCAGGAGTGCATTTTTATTTTGTCTGAATTCAGTCTGGGAAATGATTAATTACAGGGCAATATTTCTTGTCAAGTTGTGAATAAATATGTTTAGCATTAGTATAGATGTTTACAAACAAGAAAACTCATACTGCTTGCCAAGCAGTTGATTAAAAAATGCATTCAGTTCACCACAAAGTCTCTGTAGGAAAAATCTTTACATTTGTATGGGTTGGCATTTAGTAATTAAATCTCTAAATATTTTGATTAGGCTGAAGGCCACCCAAAGTCTTTGGTCATATCTGAAAAACACTTTCAGCCATCAGTAGGAACAAAGCTCTAGGACAGCCACTGTCATTTTCACAGGAGTCTTAAATCTAGAGCAGTGTGCATAAGAATCCCCTGGAAAGCCCTTTAGAACACAGATTCTTCAGCCCCACCTTTAGAGATTCCAATTTAGTAGCCCGGGGTGGGGACGCAAAATGTGCAGTTGTCACTAGCTTCAGGCCAATACTGATGCCGCTGTTCCAGGTACCATAGTTTGAGAACCACTGTTCTGGGGATTTCAGTTGTGATTTGAAAGTAGACAGCCTGGCCGGGCGCGGTGGCTCACGCCTGTAATCCCAGCACTTTGGGAGGCCGAGGCGGGCGGATCACGAGGTCAGGAGATCGAGACCATCCCGGCTAAAACGGTGAAACCCCGTCTCTACTAAAAATACAAAAAATTAGCCGGGCGTAGTGGCGGGCGCCTGTAGTCCCAGCTACTTGGGAGGCTGAGGCAGGAGAATGGCGTGAACCCGGGAGGTGGAGCTTGCAGTGAGCTGAGATCCCGCCACTGCACTCCAGCCTGGGCGACAGAGCGAGACTTCGTCTCAAAAAAAAAAAAAAAAGAAAGAAAGTAGACAGCCAGATTGATGAAATCAACCCTTTTTAAAAAGGCTTTTGCTTGACAGGTATTTTATATATTTCAGAACAAGATACTGATGGGAAAGAAAGATGGCAAAGTGTTTTCTGTAAGATTTGGGAGGAGGAGCAGATGGGAAGCCAGTATGTTTGCCCTTTTATTTCTCTTTTCATTAACAGCAGTGGGGAAATATTCTGAGTTATTTTTCTTGGTTCCTTTCATGCCCTCTCCTTCTTTCCTAACAGCAAGTATGTTGGAAGTGGCTTGAACTCTGCCACTTCTAGCAATGTCATCTTGGGTAGATTACTGTATATGTTAGTTATCTGTATTACTTTGTAACAAAAGATCCTAAAGTTGAGCAACTTAGAACAACATCTATTATCACTCCCAGTTTTTGAGGGTTGGAAATACAGGAGCAGCTTAGCTGGGTTGTTCTGGCCAGGGGTCTCCCATGAGGTTACAAACTGTTGGTTAGGGATGCAGTCTCAGAAGTATTTGGAGTATGTTTTCAAGCTCACACGCAGACATATTTGCAGGAGGCTTCAATTCCTTCCCATGAGTCTCCATAGGGCTACACATGACAAGACAGGAGACTCAACACAACACTGAAGCCACAGTCTTTTTTTTTTTTTTAAGTTCTGAGATACATGTGCAGAATGTGCACGTTTGTTACATAGTTATACACATGCCATGGTGGTTTGCTGCACCCATCAACCTGTCATCTACATTAGGTATTTGTCCTAATGCTATCCCTCCCCTAGCCCCCCAGCCCCTGACAGGCCCCAGTGTGTGATGTTCCCCTCCCTGTGTCCATGTGTTCTCATTGTTCAACTCCTACTTATGAGTGAGAACATGCAGTGTTTAGTTTTCTGTTCCTGTGTTAGTTTGCTGAGAATGATGGTTTCCAGCTTCATCCATGTCCTGCAGAGGACATGAACTCATCCTTTTTATGGCTGCATAGTATTCCATGGTGTATGTGTGCCACATTTTCTTTATCCAGTCTATCATTGATGGGCATTTGGATTGGTTCCAAGTCTTTGCTATTGTAAACAGTGCTGCAGTAAACATAAGTGTGCATGTGTCTTTATAGTAAAATGATTTGTAATCCTTTGTCTATATACCCAGTAATGGGATTGCTTGGTCAAATGGTATTTCTAGTTCTAGATCCTTGAGGAATTACCACACTGTCTTCCACAATGGTTGAACTAATTTACACTCCTACCAACAGTGTAAAAGCATTCCTGTTTCTCCACATCCTCTCCAGTATCTGTTGTTTCCTGACTTTTTAATGATCGCCATTCTGAATGGCATTAGATGGTATTTCACTGTGGTTTTGATTTGCATTTCTCTAATGACTGGTGGTGATGAGCTTTTTTTCATATGTTTGTTGCTGCATAAATGTCTTCTTTTGAGAAGTGTCTGTTCATATCCTTCACCCACTTTTTGATGGGGTTGTTTGTTTTTTTCCTGTAAATTTAAGTTCTTTGTAGATTCTGGATATTAGCCCTTTGTCATATGGGTAGATTGCAAAAATTTTCTCCCATTCTGTAGGTTGCCTGTTCACTCTTGTGATAATTTCTTTTTCTGTGCAGAAAGCTCTTTAGTTTGATTAGATCCCATTTGTCAATTTTGGCTTTTGTTGCCATTGCTTTTGGTGTTTTAGTCAGGAAGTCTTTGCCCGTGCCTATGTCATGAATGGTATTGCCTAGGTTTTCTTCTAAGGTTTTTATGGTTTTAGGTCTTACATTTAAGACTTTAATTCATCTTGAGTTAGTTTTTGCATAAAGTGTAAGGAAGGAGTCCAGCTTCAGTTTTCTGCATATGGCTAGCCAGTTTTCCAAACACCATTTATTAAATAGGGAATCTTTTCCCCATTGCTTGTTTTTGTCAGGTTTGTCAAAGATCAGATGGCTGTTGATGTGTGGCGTTATTTCTGAGGGCTTTGTTCTATTCCATCGGTCTATATATCTGTTTTGGTACTAATACCATGCTGTTTTCGTTACTGTAGCCTTGTAGCATAGCTTGAATTCAGGTAGTATGATGCCTCCAGCTTTGTTCTTTTTGCTTAGGATTGTCTTGGCTGTATGGGCTGTTCCTGGGTTCCACATGAAATTTAAAGTAGATTTTTCTAATTCTGTGAAGAAAGTCAGTGGTAGCTTGATGGGGATAGCATTGAATCTGTAAATTCCTTTTGGCAGTATGGCCATTTTGACGATATTGATTCTTCCTATTCATGAGCATGGAATGTTTTTCCATTTGTTTGTGTCCCCTCTTATTTCCTTGAAGAGTGGTTTGTAACTCTCCTTGAAGAGGTCCTTCACATCCCTTTTAAGTTGTATTCCTAGGTATTTTATTCCCTTAGTAGCAATTGTGAATGGGAGTTCACTCATGATTTGGCTCTCTGTTTGTTATTGGTGTATAGGAATGCTTATGATTTTTACACACTGATTTTGTATCCTCAGACTTTGCTGAAGTTGCCTATTAGCTTAAGAAAATTTGGGGCTGAGACAATGGGGTTTTCTAAATATACAATCATGTCATATGCAAACAGAGACAATTTGACTTCCTCTTTTCCTATTTGAATACCCTTTATTTCTCTTGCCTGATTGCCCTGGCCGGAACTTCCAATACTATGTTGAATAGGAGTGGTGAGAGAGGGCATCCTTGTCTTGTGCCAATTTTCAAAGGAAATACTTCCAGCTTTTGCCCATTCAGTGTGATATTGTCTGTGGGATTGTCATAAATAGCTCTTATTATTTTGCGATATGTTCCATCACTACCAAGTTTATTCAGAGTTTTTAGCATGAAGAGGTGTTGAATTTTATCAAAGGTCTTTTCTGCATCTATTGAGATAATCATGTGGTTTTTGTCATTGGTTCTGTTTATGTGATGGATTACGTTAATTGATTTGTGTATGTTGAACCAGCCTTGCATCCCAGGGTTGAATCCTACTTGATCGTGGTAGAAAAGCTTTTTGATGTGCTACTGGATTTGGTTTGCCAGAATTTTATTGAGGATATTTGGATTGATGTTCATCATGGATATTGGTCTGAAATTTCCTTTTTTTATTGTGTCTCTTCCAGGTTTTGGTATCAGGATGATGCAGTCCTTATAAAACGAGTTAGGGAGGAGTCCCTCTTTTTCTATTGTTTGCAATAGTTTCAGAAGGAATGGTACCAGCTCCTCTTTGTACCTCTGGTAGAATATGGCCGTGAATCCGTCTGATCCTTGATGTTTTTTGGTTGATAGGCTATTAATTACTGCCTCAATTTCAGAGCTTGTTATTGGTCTATTCAGGGATTCGACTTCTTCCTGCTTTAGTCTTGGGAGGGTGTATGTGTCCAGGAATTTATCCATTTCTTCTAGATTTTCTAGTTTATCTGTGTAGAGGTGTTTGTAGTATTCTCTGATGGTAGTTTGTATTTCTGTGGGATCAGTGATGATCTCCCTTTTATCATTTTTCATTGTGTCTATTTGATTCTTCTCTCTTCTTTATTAGTCTGGCCAGCGGTCTGTCTATTTTGTTAATCTTTAAAAAAAAACAGCTCTTGGATTCATTGATTTTTTTTGGGTGGGAGGATGAGTTTTTCATGTCTTTATCTCCTTCAGTTCTGCTCTGATCTTAGTAATTTCTTGTTTTCTGCTACCTTTTGAATTTGTTTGCTCTTGCTTCTCTAGTTCTTTTAATTGTGATGTGAGGGTGTCGATTTTAGGTCTTTCTTGCTTTCTCCTGTAGGCATTTAGTACTATAAATTTCTCTCTAAACACTTCCTTAGCTGTGTCCCAAAGATTCTGGTACATTGTGTCTTTGTTCTCATTGGTTTCAAAGAACTTATTTATTTCTGCCTTAATTTCATTAGTTACCCAGTAGTCATTTATGAACAGGTTGTTCAGTTTCCACGTAGTTGCGTGGTTTTGAGTGAGTTTCTTAATCCTGAGTTCTGATTTGATTGCACTGAGCCACAGTCTTTTTATCACTAATCGCAGAAGCGACAGTGCATCACGTATATGTATTCTTTTCACTAGAAGTGAGTCACTAAGCCTACCCATACTCCAAGGAACAAATGAGTTCCATCTCTTGAAGGGAGTATTAAAGATGGACATATCCTTAAAACCATCACACTACATTAGCCTCAGTTTTCTGTTCCATAAAGTGGGAAAGTGATATTTCATAGTGGCTCAGTAATGGTAGTAATTAAATTATTCTGATGATTATAATTTTTTATCATAATCATTATCATCTCTTAAGAACTTTACGTTCAACCAAATTTTCTGATGCATGAAATTCTCCCCACCTAAATCCATATTTTATAAACTGCCACATATCATAAAAGCCTCTTCTTTTAAAAAAAAATAGAAGAAATTTACCCTTATAATAAAGCCAGCCTCTCTACAGCCAAAAAAGTTAAAGACTGATATTAATATGATTATGGATGAGAACATCTGTAATAATTTATTTATTGAATAGGAGTCAGCAACTATTAAATGAATAAGCCGTATTACCAAGTGGGATGTATCCTGACACACAAAGACTGTTTCTATCTGGTACGTTAAAAAGCTATCGTATCATTTAGCCTTGTAGTCCATGTCTGGTATTTTGTCTTAAGAAAATAATACCAGCATTTTTGATGCCAGAAGATGTTTAACACAGGATTGTATTTTCAGGCAGCCTTTAAAATGGCCCCTAGTGATTGATCCTTATCTCTTGTTGTTCAGGCTCTTGTGTAATCACCTCCCCTTGCATGTGGGCTTTACCTGCTGACTCACATCTAATGAATAGAAATGAAAT
Source organism: Homo sapiens (assembly GCF_000001405.40). Taxonomy (NCBI): domain Eukaryota; kingdom Metazoa; phylum Chordata; class Mammalia; order Primates; family Hominidae; genus Homo; species Homo sapiens. The sequence goes on along the minus strand of NC_000003.12, from coordinate 67,437,209 downwards.
AATTCGGTTATAAAAAAGACTGAAGCTTCAGTCTTGGGGGCTGCTGCTTGCTCTCTCTGTTTACACACAGTATTTTTTTTAACCACACCTGGCATAAAACTTCTCCCCACTCCCAGAAACATACTAGAAGGAAATATACAAAATTAATAATACTCAATGTGTTTAAGTGTTAGGACTCTGTCATTTGATCTACTTTTTTGTGTTTTTCTATTTCCTATCTTGATCATATATTATTTTACAAAATGGCAATATTTAAAAGGAAAACAATAAATAAAAGAAAAGAAAAAGCAAAGAAAAAGGACAAAGTACATGTAGGTGTTTAAACACAGGTAACATTTGAAAAACATTTGATTGTTTAGTGAGAAAAAAGTTGAAATGTGTGCATTTGTATTTAAATACCTACAAAAATGTATAATTTGTATTCAAGATTATATAATATTGAAAATTTGTGTGGTGGTCATACATCACTTATAATTTTTTTAAGCACTAAATGAGATGTTTATACAAAAATACTGGTAAATTTTTACCTAACACTTGCTGATGAAAAGTATCATGTAAATTTCTAGTAATAATATTGATGATGATATAGTGACAACTTAGTAAAAGTCCTATAGTAATCCAGGCAACAGACTTGACTAGCACATCGCTGCTAGTTGGTTCCTCCCAATCCGAATCCTTCAACCAGTGAAGATTTTTGAATCGTTGGTCTTGTTTGGCTACAGGATTTTTATAAATGCCATTCAATGAAGATTTGCCCTCTGGCCTTCTTGATGTTGGTTTACCCTCCCTCCTCCAGTCTATTATTTAGCATGGTGATGCCTTCCATAATGACTGAGCCCATCTCCTTGTGGGCTCTCTTTGGGGTCCACTATGGGTCACTGTGATATGGGTGTCTGGCAAAGGGCTGGAAAGCAGGAACATTAAATTACTTCAGTTTCAGACCACTTACTTTTTCTCCTGCAGGAACTGAAGCAGAGCAAGATTTTGTTTTCCTGCTCATTCATTATTAGCAGTAGCCTTGTCTTTAGAAAAAAGCAGGTTATTTTTCTCACTTTTGAGCCTTTGGTTCTTAAAATTACCTGAAGCACTTTGAGACTTGACTTCATTTCATATCTTTCTGTGATGCTCAAAACTAATGTTTGCCCTTAATTTTTTTAGAATTGCTCAAACCAAATAAAATAGTTTCCCAAGTACCAAATTTACTGCTATAACGTATGCATCTCTTCGGATAGCAAATACAATTTCAGGACCGCTTTTGGGAGACACTATTCCTCACATACTTATATTACAAACAGTATTAATAGAACTTCAGTCTAAAATATATGAAGAAAAGAACATCTAACTACATTTAATGGTTAGTGGAAATTCCATTTAGCTATGTTCGTGTTTGTTCCTAAGTGAAGTTATTTAAGGGGAAAACAGTCATAATTGAGTGAGCATATAATGTTGTCTTGTCTGTACTTGATTAAAGCAAAACAGATTACATTTAGGGCCCATCTTTCTTAATAGAAAATCACATCTAAAAAATATTTTCTTTACTTTCACTAGCTTTCCTATTCTTGCAACCTTAGAGGCACATATGTGTGGACATAACATTGGGCTTAGATAATGTGTATTCTTTTTAATCCATAAGATGATGCATGTACATTCTCCCCACTGAGTCTTAAGGGCTGCTGCAATTTGAACTGTGTAGTAATTTTGCATTTTCATTTTCTCTGACTTAACGATGTCTATAAATAAAGGTGGCATCTTACTTTAATAATAAAAAACCCATTATCGCCATGTGGTGGAGATAACATATTATCATTACCACTATTAACAACTGCTAGTGTTAATAATACATATTTTCTGCTTCAGCCAGAGCCACCTTGCATTTGAAGCAAAAGTTTGAGGTATTATAGCCTTTTAAGTTTATTATTCTTCCTATGTTTTGTTCAAAAGGAAAATAATTGTTAAAGGATCCTGAAAGCATATTGTTTGGGCCTAAATCAATATTACAAGGTTGCAAACTGCAGTCATACAAGTGTACTTGTGATTTGCTGAGAATGAGAACTGTGGTCCTCAAACCTTTGTCAGCTGTAGCTACACCAGCCCATGGAGGAGAGGTCCTACTGTAGTTTACCCACTCAAGCAGATAAACAGGAGAAAGCAAGTGAGTGCAGAAAAAGCTATTATACGATTGACCTTGAGTCTTTTGTACTTCATTTAGAAGCACAAGTACATTATTCACAGATTTATATATTTAATTATCATTAGTTACTGGTGAAGAACTTACCTAACAACAGTTGAGACGTAGAAAGAATGCACATTTAAGAACTGGTACAATGTATCAGATTGGACTTGACCCAGCCCTTTTGGGTGCAGTTCTCTTGCCCATTTATTTGGAATGAAAAGAGAAAAGAAATGAACTCATTGCATCTCATGTTGCTATGTGGTATACATAGTCACATATATATGAAATCTGATAAAGAAGGAAATACATTTTTAAAATAAAGCCTTTGCTTTGTATTCAGATTTGACTGCCATCTACCCTTCTCCCAACCAGTATAAAATATTACTGCTGGCCTTCCCCTTCTCTCATCCTAAGTGTTGAGAAATAATTTTAACACCTTTTTTTGTTAGGTACCCTATGTACAATATTTAAAAGCAGATTCACAGTCCCACATTGTTGTTATTGTTGTTGTTGTTATTGTTAGAGACAGGAACCAGACTGGAATACAAGTGGCATGATCACCACACACTGCAGTCTCAACCTCCCAGGCCCAAGAAATCCTCCCACCTCAGCCTCCCCAGTAGCTGGGACTACAGATATGCACTACTATGCCTGACTAATGTTTTTCATTTTTTGTAGAGATAGGTTCTTGCTGTGTTTCCCAGCCTGGTCTCAAGCTCCTGAGCTCAAGAGATCCTCTCGCCTTGGCCTCACGAAGTGCTGGGATAACGGACGTGAGCCACTATGCCTGGCCACAATTTTAAATTGAACTTATTTTAGCAGCATCAATTTCTTGATTATGTTAAACAACAGAAATGATCATATATATTTGTGTGCTCACTTTTCTGCTTTTCAAAGAGATTTCTGACAGATCATTTCATTTGCTCCTGTAGCAGTTACTCGTACTTTAGTGATTTGGGGTTGCAAGATCAGTACTTACGAGACCTGCTTCTTCTCATGCACTTTGTCAACCTCTAGTGTATGTGTGGTGGCCTCTTGGATTTGCCCTCATGGCTCAATTAGACAGAGTTCTCGTAGGTATTGAAAGCTTTTTTTTAACTACAATTTTTTGTGAACAGAAATTAAGCTAATTATTAAACCAGCAAGAAAACAGTTAAAAAGCTGTGTTTTATAGATGTTTTTGTAGAGCTAGGCTAACTAAGCATCTCTGTGCAAATAAGTTTTTTTTTTTTTTTACTAAATCCCGCACCTCATACTTCCTAGCTAATATGACCCTGGTTTAGTCTTTACACCTTAAATTTAATTCACCCAATGTCTGGATTTATTATTAATTCTGCTAGGAACTCTCTATCCCTCTGGGCATTTGAGCAGTTTGCTTATTAATCAGCTAATGTGGTAGGCTCATCTACCTCGCTACTCAGTTTATACCTCATTTCGCAGTTCTCTGCAGGAAGAAATAGCCTTTTTTCCTCACACAGCAGCTAGCAAAAAGAAAGGTCACTCAGTCACTTGAATCTGGGCCCACTCCCCCATCTTCTAGAAAGGATTCTCCCTCCTTCCACACCCACCGTGCGCACCTTCCTATCTTTATCCTCAGTGGGCATCACGGCTCACATCCGAAAGTTTCCCTGAATAAAATTGGTTCCTTTCAGCCAATTGCAAGCACAGATGAGGTCACAACTGGTAAATGGAATGAAAAAATAAACCAGTAGCATATTTAGCTTGAAGTAACATTCCAGCTAAATATTTTAAAACTTGTTAAACAGGGTTTGGGGAAGCCATATGAAGTGGTTTCTCCTGGAGGTCAACTTTAGGGTTTTTCAAATGGTTATAAAGTGGTGTTCTATGGGGTAGCTTTTATAGAAGGGCTATTTTGAACTTTTACTAGAGGAAATGGCTAGCAGCAACCTCCCCCAACCCCCAGAAGTACAGTGAGGAAAAACCCAAAAGACAAATAATAGACACCCTTTCCCCTAACATAGGGGAGAACAGTACAGCATAACAAGATACCATCTCAGCTTTATTTCTTACCTATTCAGAGGATTTTAAGATCAGGAAGCTCGAGAGAAATTAGTTATTCCTTCAATTTAATTCAATCCAATAAAAGAGTATGGAGTTCCTCTTCGTTTTAAAATTCTGACTGTGGTGTTACGGAAGGACCTTCTAGGTGAAAGGGTAACCGAAATAACAAAGGTTCCATTTCGTCCTTCAGCAAATTCAAAAGCTTGAGAGCGAGTCATACAATGTGATTATTTGATAATTCTCTCTATATTCTGATAGAAGAACCAGAGGGATATAAAAGACAGAAAGGTAAAATGGGATGGCATATGGTAACAACTGGAGGCTTAGAACCTAGCAGATCGGGGTCACCATGTTGGATGAATGTGAAGGGTAATTATGCCGGGAGAGGTCACAAGAAGAATCTTAAATGAAGCTTCTAAGGATAGGCAGGATTTTACCAGGTGTAAAGAAAAAGGAAGCTCTAGGCATAAGGATAGAAATTAGATAAAAAATAAACAACAAATTTGGAATATAATATTGTATAGCTGGAACGTTTATAGTTGACCACAGAAAGTTTCCTTCGCAGCTGTTTGCCCAAGGTTTCACCAGTGCATGTGACTTTGTATTTCAAATCAGACCTTGTTGATCATAAATTAATATTATCACCTCTAGTACTGTCCTAGACCTGCAGGATACAGCATTTACTAAGACCAATTGCTGTCTGTAAAAAGCTTCTTAGTCTAGTATAATATGCAGCCAGTTACTTGCTGCTTCTTTACTGAAACAAGTTTAATAAACCAGCAAAACAATGCCTAGCAACCCACTGTTGCTGGGTTTAAAAGTAAAGATGCTGGTTGTCATCTGCCAGGCGTGTACTTCAAAAGGTAGTTAGCCTCCCATCTAGCCTCCCATTGTTAAATCTAGTGCCTGCTAACAGTATCTCTTGACAGCTGAAAAATGCAGTTGGGACAAAGGGAATCTGAACAGACCATCCATCATCCCCTTCCTGCATTTCTTAAGGTTAGACACCCTCAATGTACCACCCAAAGAGAACAAACATGGTCTCCAGTGCCCAATTGAGCCACCAGCTGCTGACCCCTAAGTAATTATTATTTGTTTGTATTTAACTTAGGTTTTCTTTTATTATTTTATTATACTTTAAGTTCTAGGGTACATGTGCACAACGTGCAGGTTTGTTACATGTATACATGTGCCATGTTGGCTTGCTGCACCCATTAACTCATCATTTACATTAGGTATATCTCCTAATGGTATCCCTCCCCCCTCCCGCCACCCCACGACATGCCCCGGTGTGTGATGTTCCCCACCGTGTGTCCAAGTGTTCTGATTGTTCAGTTCCCACCTATGAGTGAGAACATGCGGTGTTTGGTTTTCTGTCCTTGTGATAGTTTGCTGAGAATGATGGTTTCCAGCTTCATCCATGTCCCTACAAAGGACATGAACTCAACCTTTTTTATGGCTGCATAGTATTCCATGGTGTATATGTGCCACATTTTCTTAATCCAGTCTATCATTGATGGACATTTGGGTTGGTTCCAAGTCTTTGCTATTGTGAATAGTGTCACAGTAAACATCAATACCTAGTTCACTGAGAGTTTTTAGCATGAAGGGGTGTTGAATTTTATCAAAGGCCTTTTCTGCATCTATTGAGATAATCATGTGGTTTTTGTCATCAGTTTTGTTTATGTGATGGATTACATTTATTGATTTGCATATGTTGAACCAGCCTTGCATCCCAGGGATGAAGCTGACTTGATCTTGGTGGATAAACTTTTTGATGTGCTGCTGGATTCAGTTTGCCAGTATTTTATTGAGGATTTTTGCCTCGATGTTCATCAGGGATATTGGTCTAAAATTCTCTTTTTTTTTGTTGTGTCTCTGCCAGGCTTTGGTATCAAGATGATGCTGGCCTTTAAAATGAGTTAGGGAGGATTCCCTCCTTTTCTATTGATTGGAATAGTTTCAGAAGGAATGGTACCAGCTCCTTTTTGTACCTCTGGTAGAATTCGGCTGTGAATCCGTCTGGTCCTGGACTTTTTTTGGTTGGTAGGCTATTAATTATTACCTCAATTTCAGAGCCTGTTATTGGTCTATTCAGAGATTCAACTTCTTCCTGATTTAGTCTTGGGAGGGTGTATGTGTCCAGGAATTTATCAATTTCTTCTAGATTTTCTAGTTTATTTGTGTAGAGGTGTTTATAGTATTCTCTGATGGTAGTTTTTATTTCTGTGGGATCGGTGGTCATATCCCCTTTATCATTTTTTATTGCATCTATTTGATTTTTCTCTCTTTTCTTCTTGATTAATCTTGCTAGTGGTCTATCAATTTTGTTGATCTTTTCAAAAAACCAACTCCTGGATTCATTGATTTTTTGAAGGGTTTTTTGTGTCTCTATGTCCTTCAGTTCTGCTCTGATCTTAGTTATTTCTTGCCTTCTGCTAGCTTTTGAATGTGTTTGCTCTTGCTTCTCTAGTTCTTTTTAATTGTGATGTTAGGGTGTCAATTTTGGATCTTTCCTGCTTTCTCTTGTGGGCATTTAGTGCTATAAATTTTCCTCTATGCACTGCTTTAAGTGTGTCTCAGAGATTCTGGTATGTTGTGTCTTTGTTCTCATTGGTTTCAAAGAACATCTTTATTTCTGCCTTCATTTTGTTATGTACCCAGTAGCCACTCAGGAGCAGGTTGTTCAGTTTCCATGTAGTTGAGCGGTTTTGAGTGAGTTTCTTAATCCTGAGTTCTAGTTTGATTGCACTGTGGTCTGAGAGACAGTTTGTTATAATTTCTTTTCTTTTCATTTGCTGATGAGTTTTTTACTTCCAACTCTGTGGTCAATTTTGGAATAAGTGCAATGTGGTGCTGAGAAAAAATGTATATTCTGTTGATTTGGGGTGCAGAATTCTGTAGATGTCTATTAGGTCCACTTGGTGCAGAGCTGAGTTCAATTCCTGGGTATCCTTGTTAACTTTCCCTCTCGTTGATCTGTCTAATGTTGATAGTGGGGTGTTAAAGTCTCCCATTATTATTGTGTGGGAGTCTAAGTCTCTTTGTAGGTCTCTAAGGACTTGCTTTATGAATCTGGGTGCTCCTGTATTGGGTGCATCTATTTTTAGGATACTTAGCTCTTCTTGTTGAATTGATCCCTTTACCATTATATAATGGCCTTCTTTGTCTCTTTTGATCTTTGTTGGTTTAAAGTCTGTTTTATCAGAAACTAGGATTGCAACCCCTTCTTTTTTTTGTTTTCCATTTGCTTGGTAGATCTTCCTCCATCCCTTTATTTTGAGCCTATGTGTGTCCCTGCACGTGAGATGGATCTCCTGAATATAGGACACTGATGGGTCTTGACTCTTTGTCCAATTTGCCAGTTTGTGTCTTTTATTTGGAGCATTTAGCTCATTTACATTTAAGGTTAATATTGTTATGTGTGAATTTGTTCCTGTCATTTTGATGTTAGCTGATTATTTTTCTTGTTAGTTGATGCAGTTTCTTCCTAGCATCGATGGTCTTTACAACTTGGCACGTTTTTGCAGTGGCTGGTACCGGTTATTCCTTTCCATGTTTAGTGCTTCCTTCAGGAGCTCTTGTAAGACAGGCCTGGTGGTGACAAAATCTCAGCATTTGCTTGCCCGTAAAGGATTTTATTTCTCTTTCACTTATGAAGCTTAGTTTGGCTGGATATGAAATTCTGGGTTGAAAATTCTTTTCTTTAAGAATGTTGAATATTGGCCCCCACTATCTTCTGGCTTGTAGAGTTTCTGCTGAGAGATCAGCTGTTAGTCTAATGGACTTCCCTTTGTGGATAACCCGACTTTTCTCTCTGGGTGCCCTTAATATTTTTTCCTTCATTTCAACTTTGGTGAATCTGATAATTATGTGTCTTGGAGTTGCTCTTCTCGAGGAGTATCTTTGTGGCATTCTCTGTATTTCCTGAATCTGAATGTTGGCCTGCCTTGCTAGGTTGGGGAAGTTCTTCTGGGTAATGTCCTGAAGAGTGTTTTCCAACTTGGTTCCATTCTCCCTGTCACTTTCAGGTACACCAATCAGACATAGATTTGGTCTTTTCACATAGTCCCATATTTCTTGGAGGTTTTGTTCATTTCTTTTTACTCTTTTTTCTCTAAACTTCTCTTCTCGCTTCATTTCATTCATTTGATCTTCAATCACTAATATCCTTTCTTCCACTTGATCAAATCGGCTACTGAAGCTTGTGCATGCATCATGTAGTTCTCATGCCATGGTTTTCAGCTCCATCAGGTCATTTAAGGTCTTCTCTATGCTGTTTATTCTAGTTAGCCATTTGTCTAATATTTTTTCAAGGTTTTTAGCTTCTTTGCGATGGGTTCGAACGTCCTCCTTTAGCTTGGAGAAGTTTGTTATTACCGATCGTCTGAAGCTTTCTTCTCTTAAGTCGTCAAAGTCATTCTCTGTTCAGCTTTGTTCCATTGCTGGCGAGGAGCTGCATTCCTTTTGAGGGAAAGAGATGCTCTGATTTTTAGAATTTTCAGCTTTTCTGCTCTGGTTTCTCACCATCTTTGTGGTTTTATCTACCTTTGGTCTTTGATGATGGTGACGCACAGATGGGGTTTCGGTGTGGATGTCCTTTCTGTTTGTTAGTTTTCCTTCTAACAGTCAGGACCCTTAGCTGCAGGTCTGTTGTAGTTTGCTGGAGGTCCACTCCAGACCCTGTTTGCCTGGATATCACCAGCAGAGGCTGCAGGACAGCAAATATTGCAGAACGGCAAATGTTGCTGCCTGATTCTTCCTCTGGAAGTTTCGTCTCAGAGGGGCACCCTGCTGTATGAGGTGTCAGTCGGCCCCTACTGGGAGGTGCCTCCCAGTTAGGCTACTCAGGGGTCAGGGACCCACTTGAGGAGGCAGTCTGTCCATTCTCCAGTTCTCAAACTCTGTGCTGGGAGAACCACTAGGGATGTTTAAGTCTCCAGAAGTTCCTGCTGCCTTTTGTTCAGCTATGCCCGGCCCCCAGAGGTGGAGTCTATAGAGGCAGGCAGGCCTCCTTGAGCTGCAGTGGGCTCCACCCAGTTCAAGCTTTCTGGCTGCTTCGTTTACCTACTCAAGCCTCAGCAATGGTGGACGCCCCTCCCCCAGCCTTGCTGCCACCTTGCAGTTCGATCTCAGACTGCTGTGGTAGCAGTGAGTGAGGCTCCATGGTTGTGGGACCCTCTGAGCCAGGCATGGGACATAATCTCCTGGTGTGCCATTTGCTAAGACTGTTGGAAAAGCGCATTATTTGGGTGGAAGTGTCCTGATTTTCCAGATACTGTTTGTCAGGGCTTCTCTTGGCTAGGAAAGGGAATTCCCTGACCCTTTGTGCTTCTCAGGTGAGGTGATGCCCTGCCCTGCTTCGGCTCGTGCTCCATGGGCTGCACCCAGTATCCGACAAGCCCCAGTGATATGAACCTCGTACCTCAGTTGGAAATGGAGAAATCACCCTTCTCTTGAGCTGTAGACTGGAGCTGTTCCTATTCGGCCATCTTGGAACCTCTTCCTATTTAACTTAGGTTTTAAGGTTGAACTGACTTTTCCTACCAACTAGATAGTCAATTGACAACATTAGTTCTGGGATATAATGTGCCCATAGAAATACTTTTGACCAGTAGCTTCCTTGATATTAAGGCATTTCTGAAACCAAGCATTTGTGTCTATGAACAATAAAATCAGGTCTTCAGTTGCTGACCTGGTTTCTATTGTTTACTTTCTTGTCAAGGGCTTCTCCTCCTCAAAGTTATTTTAAAGCCTGATCTTACAACAATAAATTCAGTTTCACCTGTGAATTGGTAGGCTACTTTTAAAGGAAAATGTTTTTCTAAAAAAAGAAGAGTGATAACATAAAATACATACCTTTGGCTATTTTAGGTGACTGGAACCATTACTAATAATCAGTTTCATTCAGCAAAAAAACCGTTCTTTCAGGTAATATATAAAACCTTTTGTTCATCCTTAGTATAAGGCCAATCGGTAGGAAGAAATCCTATTGTAAATTACATTCTTAGTGTTACTTATTATTTTATGTGTTTAAAGTAGGCAAAGGATGCTTGGTCAAATGGATGGATTTTGCCACTTTTTTTTTTGAGATGGAGTCTTGCTCTGTCGCCAGGTTGGAGTGCAGTGGCAAGATCTCAGCTCACTGCAACCTCCGCTTCCAGGGTTCAAGTGATTCCCCTCCTCAGCCTCCCAGGTAGTTGGGACTACAGGCGCGAACCACCACACCTGGCTAATTTTTTGTATTTTTGTAGAGATGGGGTTTCACCATGTTGGCCAGGATGGTCTTGATCTCCTGACCTCGTGATCTGCCTGCCTTGGGCTCCCAAAGTGCTGGGATTACAGGTGTGAGCCACTGCGCCCAGCATGCCACCTATTTTAATTAGCAGAAAAGAGTGTCATGCTATTAAGGAATCAAGTATTTATAAATGAGACATTTCAATACTGGAGAAAAGTTTATTTTCTTGAATATGGTAAGTATGTTCTTTACAGTCTTACTGTAATATATATTTTTTTACTCAGCAAATACTTTTCCTTAAATATTGCAAAGGTAAATTGTGGAAGAGTCCTCCATATTCACATTCTGAACAAATGGAGTTTGAAATGAAGAGTTTTAATTGTTTGTGCAGAGCCATTATTAGCATTTTGGGTAATCAGAGCTTTCTTTTTCACCTAATATATTCTTTCTTATATGTCTGTTTTACTTGCTTTCAAGTATGTTTTGGTTATTGTACAAACCAACCTTAATGACCTCAGGTGCTAATATGACACTGAGTTTTATAAGTAGTGAAATAATCATGATTATGGGATTTTGTTATTGTTTGCTTGTTTTTTTTATTCTTTTAGCTCAAGAAAAAGCAAACATTTTAAAATACTAAAGCTTGGCAATCTTGTCTTGTCTAACCTCCTGGAATAGAGACTTAGCATTCTCTAATACTCTCAGAGTACAGAATCTTTCTCATAGGAATTGTGTCATATATTAAGTGAGACAGTTGGTAATTGAGTTATATTCTTTATTACAGAAAAGCAGGATCTTCCTGAGCTGGAATTCCTCTCTAACTGTACATTAAAATCCTTTTGAGCTTATAGTAATATTTTACAAGTCTCTATTTGAGGCTAAATTTTATTTTTGGGTCATTGGAAACCTCGACAGCTCGAATGTTTATGCAGTATCATGGTGTCCAGTGAAAATTTACTACACCTGTTTTAGAGTTCACCAAACAGGACAAATAAGAGATATAAAGAGATTTATTATAAGGTATTGGCTCATACAGTCATGAAGGCCAAGGAATCCCACAATCTGCTGTCTGTAAGGCAGAGACCCAGGAAGGCTGGTGGTATAGTTTGAAGGCCTGAGAGCCAGAGAGCCAATGGCTTAGCATCCAGTCTAAGTCTAAAGGCCTGGGAACCAGGGATGGCAATGGCAGAAGGAAGATGCCCCAGCTAAATAATCACACAGAGAGAGCAAATCCTCCCTTCTTCCACCTTTTTTTTTATGCTTAGGCCCCCAACAGATTGGATGGTGCCCACCCACTTTGGTGAGGGTGGGTATTCTCTATTCAGTCTATGAATTCAAATGCTAATCTCTTGTGGAAACACTCTCAGACACCCTCAGAAATAATGTTTTACCAGATATCCGGATATCCCATTTTCCAGTCAAGTTGACATATAAAATTAATTATCGTACTTTCCAAGCATCCCAATATTAATTCTAGGGATAAATAATACACTTAGGACAGAGGTGTGGGTCAGTCCACTGATAATACCCAGATCTTATTCTGTATGCCTAAAATGATGCTAAGTACAAGAAGGCAATACCAAGTAAAAATAGGAAACTCTTTGCCCTGTAATTAGAAAAACAAAGTAAATTCATAAGTCAGTTAGGAAGCCATAAATCATAGTAATCTTATATGACATTGAATTTAAAACTAGAAGAGCGCTTAATTCAAATGCAAAATGATTCTCTGGCTAAAGGTGTGGGGGAAGGGGAGGCGATTGTGGGTGGAAGATGTTGAGTAGGCTCAATGAGCAGCCTTGATAGCAGAAGAGTTGGAAGGGTGTAAGAGAAGGTAAGGGCTTTTAGGCTGGATGATTGAGCAGGAGAATACAGTAAAGAGATTGTTCAGATTGGCTAAAAGTGGAATGCTAAGCAACATATTCAGCCAGATAAAATGGGGCCAAATCTTGGAGGGCAAGGAATGCTGCTGCCACTTCTATAATCATCGTTGTCCTGCAGCAGTTCATTTGGGGTCCTCCATCAAGCAGCAGTAGTGAGAATGGTGGTGGCAGAAGTGATGCTGGTGGTTTTAGTAACGGCCAGCAATTACTGAGCTCTTATGACTTGCCAGGATCTTGTACTTCATGTGGATTATTGTATTTTAAGACATGATTATCTATTTTACAGCCAAGAAAAGGAGGCATAGAAGAGATTCATAACTAACCAGAGGACACAGAGCTAGTATGGGTATAGCTAGTATGTTGAGCCCGGGCAATTTTACACTATATTCCGTATTTCTAAACACATCCCTGTATTACCACTGGACAGTAAGTAGCTACAGAGAGCAACAGTTCCAATGCATCATCCTACATTTTAGGAGGGATGTTGGTGACTAGAGTCCGTCCAGAGAAGGATAACTGGGAAAATAAAGAGTCCTTGAATCTCTGTGAATGGAAATAGAGATGTCAAAAAGATAATCCGGTTTGTGAGAGAAAGTGGTAAATTGGGCTTTAGATTCCCCCCTTTTTCTCCTCTTCCCCAGGCACAGTGGGCTGAGTCCCCTCACCATTGTATATCAGAGATTGAAGAATTATGTACAAATGTTTAAATGGATTACAAGATTATTCCAGGTAGATGGAACTATTTTTATCAGTGACAAAAGAGTTCCTAAGAGTTGTCATTCACTGACCTTTTTTGAATGAGCCATCATTTGCTTTTATATTCTACTAAAGCAATCCTTGAAGATCAAGTACAGAGAAAACAAAATCAGAGTATTTATCAGTTTCTGCAGTTTTGATTTTCCACCAAACATATGAGATCCTTTAGAGACTTCATGAAGTGGAACAAGAGGAAGGGAAGTGGTGTATAGTTAGTATCAGTGTCAGTCCTGTTATTGGTCAGGACCTAAACAACAGAAATGCAGTATTTCTTCTGCTCTAGAATCCTAGCTATAGTAAGATACCTCACTGTTTTAATAATGGTGTTTTAGGAGCAAAACTCACTTCAGTAAAGGGAGATATTCATTCTAAGGGGGATTCTGATGTCAAAAATGTTAAAATGTCTAAAAGCTTTTTATTTTAAAATAGCGGAAATAAGAAGTAAGTTCTGCTCTGATCTTTACAGAATCTTGTAGAGCAGGGGGTAAGAGAAAACTGGGCAAATATTAACAAAGGCAGCATGATGTGTGAGTATTTGGGCTCCAAGAGGTGAGGGAGGCATGAGGAAGATAGACTCAAATGCCAGGCACAGAAAGAGCCTAAATGAAGTTGGTGGATGTTGGGAGGAGGGAATTGTAGTGTCTAGACTTTGAGTACTCATATCAGGTTAGCCCTGTAATGGAAACATTACAAACATGCATTTTATGGAAATGCATAAAATTATTCCTAGGTGTATTAGTCCATTCTCATGTTGCTAGGAAGGAACACCTGAGACTGGGTAATTTATAAAGATAAGAGTTTAAATTGACTCACAGTTCCGCATGGCCAGGGAGTCCTTAGGAAACTTACAATCATGGCAGAAGGCACCTCTTCACAGGGTGGTGGGAGAGAGAATGCAAGCACGGGAAATGCCAGACACTTACAAAGCCATCAGATCTCGTGAGACTCACTCAGTGTCACACGAACAGCATGGGGGAACCGCCCCCATGATCCAATTACATCCACCTGGTCCCAACCTTGATACGTGGGCATTATTACAGTGCAAGGTGAGATTTGGGTGGGGACACAGAGCCAAACCACATCACTGCACCTATTAACCATCCACAAACAAGACTAAATCAACCCTGGCAGCCTGGTCCAAAAAAACCTACCTTCTTCAGCCTAATAAATTTGTCTCCAAAGACCCTGACCACATAATTCTACCTTCCATTCTCAGGTCCAGAAGCTTCCACCTAATGTGATGGGTGTCCTCACAACCTTCTGAGTATTGACCATCTCTCTTGGTGTAGCTGAAGATGCTTATTAAGTGTAAATGATACAGATGCCCTATCCGTCAGTTGCCCACCCTTTAGTAAGATGCACAGACAATAAAAAGTCCACAGTTACCTCCCTATAGGCATTATCTTAGTAAATGGTGAAGTAGCTATTAAACTGGGACTTTATGGTTTATAAGATGTTCTTAGTTGAGCTATGCCTTTGAAATCTCTTTCTCATTCTCAACATCAAGTTCACCACTAGATTATAAAATTAGCAAAGGCAAAGACTATGACTTTCTGGTCACAGATTTCCTTTGTCTCCACATCTCAACACAGTTGTACACATATTGTAAGATCTTAGTAAAATTGTGTTGAATGTTCTTTTTTTTTTTTTTTTTTTTTTTTTTTTTTGAGATGGAGTCTCGCTCTGTCACCAGGCCGGAGTGCAGTGGCGCGATCTTGGCTCACTGCAACCTCCACTTCCCGGGTTCAAGCGATTCTCCTGCCTCAGCCTCCAGAGTAGCTGGGGCTACAGGCGCACACCACCATGCCCAGCTAATTTTTTTTGTATTTTTAGTAGAGACAGGGTTTCACCATGTTGGCCAGGATGGTCTCAATCTCTTGACCTTGTGATCCGCCTGCCTCAGCCTCCTTAAGTGCTGGGATTACAGGCATGAGCCACTGTGCCCAGCCTGAATGTTCTTTTTTTAAACTTCCCTGTCATACTTTATTGCTCATCAGAGCTATTTAGGGTGAAAGAAAAACCTCAAGTTTTGAAGCTTAGTCTCTGAGACTCAGGTAGGGCTGACAGCCATTCAGTTCTGTTCTGCATTTACTTGCCTCATTTGAGTAAACTTCTTCCTGCCTTGAAGGACTGTACTATATACATGTGGACTGATGACTGTGCAAATCTTCTTTGCTTTTATTCAAAGAATTGAAAACATTTCTCATCAAAATATCCTGCTCCTCAACATAACCGAAATAGACTTTAAAAAGCCAATTTTAATTATTTTTCTAGTCCAGTTTATGTCAAGGATGCAATTCAGTTCTCTTGACAGTCTTTATATTCTAATTAAACTCTTCCAATTTGCAATTTTTGTCTTCATTCTTCATTTATTAATAAAAGCCAAATTTGACCTAGATATGTAATAGTAGATGACAAAATGTGGAGTTGCTAAGCCCCTTTCTCCCAATGAATACTATTTATCTTTCATTTTTATAGCAGTAAAACATTTATATAAACATACCATAGTGGAATAAAAGCAACAGTCTGGTGCTAGTGATCTTCACTGTGATTGACTTCTATTACTTGCCTATACATTTAGTATGTTTGTGCAGAAATGTTTCTCAAGGATTTTCTAACAGGTGATGTTATTGAGGTCCTGAGAGATGAAGAGATGTGTCCAAGGTCCTGTACCTAAAGCAGGGCAGAGCGAAGACTAGAACCCAGGTCTCCCAACTGACTGCTAGTGAAATGTTATGCATCCCTGCTTCTTTGATTGTTTTTTTGCTGAGAGAGGATTGTTTTGGGAAATATAAAAAGGACTCTGTTAGCGTGTGTCTAGGGTCATGTTATACTGTAATAGCATATGTGGGGTACTCTGGCAGTGGTAGGACAGTGGGTCTTTAAATGGGTCTTTAAAATGGGTCTTTAATGACAGTGGGTCTTTAAATGTGGTAGATGGGGTATCAGGTTGGATAAGAGTTTGGGTAAGCTGCATGGTCAGATGGGCCCAGATTGAAATTCCTGCTCAGACATTAAGCAGCTGTAGGACTATGGGCAAGTTACTAACCTCTGTGATCTCCAGTGTCAACACCTGAACTTCTTGTGAGGATGAAATGACCTGATACTTATGATGTGCTTAGCATTACACCTCACACAGACTAACACCCTTAATAAAAAGTTAACTATTCTTAGATATTACATGTTTATCTGAGTTATGGTTATTGAAAAACCCATATGTGCCTGACAGTAAAACTAGGATTACTGCAAGGGGAAAGGAAAAGATGACAGTCATGTTTCTTACTAACTCTCATTGGAACACACAACAAGCACCTTCTTTAGAATTAAGATAAATACCCACACACACTCACACACATACACAGTATGCATATGGTGTATGTCTTTGTGTGTGTGTATCTATTCCTTTGTTTTTTACTTTATCATGCTGCCTAATGGAGGATTGTTTTTTGAAATATGAAAAGGACTCCTACATGTGTCTGTAAGTCATGTTGTAGGATAGTTGTGGATTGGATAGTCCCCTTGAGATTCTCCTTGCTCTTCAATATCAAATTAACAGAGAAAGAACATAGTTTTACTTTGTGGTGTATGGACTTTTGCAAATCAGTAACAAGAAAATAGTCTATTATTTCCCACACCATCCCACACTCATACTTAATAATACTCATCCTACTACTTTGTTTTTCATTCTTTCCCTTACTTCTCTTGAAGTCAGAGATGAAAATATAATTTGCCAATATACAGCCAAATTTGTTTTTGGAACACATTCTAGATTATTATCTTTCTCACTTACCACCAGTGTGGTATACTGCATTGTTATAAAACAAAATCACAAACAATTTTCAGGTCAGTACATTTTAGTAAAGTCAGTTTATTACGTTGCCTATTTTGTAGATGAGATACCTGACTTGTGACAAATGGTTGGACTTATATTTGATAGTAAGTCACTTCAGACTCAATTCAATTTCATTTTCCTTTTTTCACCCAAGTCCATTTTCCCCATTTTTCTCCTGAATTTAGGATGGCAAGTATGTACTTTATGCTTTGCAGATAAGTTGGTTTCTGTGTAACCATAATAATAAATCAAGCCAACTGGGTGCTGCTGCCCATATCAAAGCCTACAGCTTCCTAGTACATTCCAATTAATTATCTTCATGAAGCAATCAAACCATCCCTGCCTTCCTTGCAGTGTCTTTTCTGTTTCCCTCACCTTTTCTTAAACATCTTAAAGAGAAACATGCCTCTGTGAAATGATTGAATGGTTCAGCAGCTTTTGATTTTCAGCTTCTCATTTAATCATGCAACCTGTCATTCTAAATATTTTTCACCTCACAATTATCCTATTTTCTTTTCCTGCTTGTTTATTGTCCACTCTGTGAATCATGTCAATAACAGTTTTTAAATCATTGTAAATCATAATAGTTTGACACTTATTTGGAGAAGCCTTATTTTTGACAAGGAGGAGGAAATTTCATATCATACTGTCATAAATTGGGGGTCAAATCAACATAGATTTCTCTTCTCATTAACATTTCAGACAGAATGCTCCTAATATAAGACTTTAAGAAAACAGTCACTAAGATTTGAGTTTAAATTGTTTCCTCTGGCCTTACTAGCTAATGAAAGCACATTCATAAAAGACCTTCCCAGATAAAGGACCATAATTTTTTGTTAATATTATGGTTCATGATTTTAGTTACATTTCTCAGAGCCAGAGTCAGACAATTAGACATTCTGATTCACTGTAGTTTGTAAGCCAATTTCTTATGTACCTTCCTAATGAATAGGCAGAACTGTATCTTGTAAGTTCAAAGGAGTAGAAAATCTATATCAGGAGAGACCGAGATAACATCTGACCTGGTGTTCTAAGTGGGGTGTGATAAGCGTATCTCTTCAGAAAATTACAGACATGATTTAGAGTTATTTTAATTTGTTCCTCTCAACAGGCCATCAACAGAAAGTCAGTTTCTTTGTAAATTTAGCTGATGTAAATAGAATGCCAGCATCCTTTCATCACAGGACTGAGTGCTTGGTGATAGAGGACAGAGATGACTGAGCGTGCTTTTGTAATATCAGGAAGCAAGCAACCTGGAAGTACTCTTAAGTGTCATACCATTGTATTCTGATCCTAACATTGTGCAGACCTTTTTTTTTTTTAAATCCATGACTTGGCATAGAGAGCACACAGCTATTTCAAAGGTTTCACTGAATGCATTTCTTATAACATTCACCTGTGTGTCTTTATTCCCGACTAGATAATTCTCTCTCAATACTTTTTTGTTATCCCTGAGTTCCAGGAGAGGTCCAGGCCGTTTGTGATTATCCCATGAAGAACAGTTAAAGGTAGTGGAAGCCCCACCTCTACAGAGGCAGAGATTAACCAGGATGGTATGGGCTCCAGGAACAGAGGTTGGAACAGCAGGCAGGATGGCTCACTGGAAGCAGGGCTCAGGGACTTCAAAGATTCTTCCATCTCCAGGGCTCCTGTTCTCCCATGGCTAGGAAGGGAGGAATCTTGTGGTTAGCTTTTGGCACTAACTATATTTATATCAGAGAAAGGAAAAATTTTGGATTTGTCATAGATTTTGTCAGTGAATACTGGCCCTGTCACTTTAGGATTAGGAAGTTGCCTTACTGTTCACCAGAACAGCTTAGTGTAATGGTTAAAGCTCTTGTCATTAGATAAACCTGTGTTCAAATCCTTGTCTAGCCATTAATTAGCTGCTGATCTTGGCAAACTACTTCAGCTTTCTGAGCCTCAGTTTTCCTGTCTCTAAAAATAATGGTAATAAAATCATAGCTCATAGGAGTTTGGAAAGGGTTGAATTACTTATATGCCAGGTAAATAGTGAGTAGCAATAATTGCTGACTGCTAATAAGTACTTACCACTTGCCACGTACTGGGCTTAGTGCCTTATTTTAATTATCTCATTTAATCCTGGCACCAACCCTGCAAAGGTAGGTACTAATATTATTATCCCCATTTTAAAGATGAAGAAACTGAGGCCCAAAGAAGTTAGCTAATTCACACAGCTAATAAGTGATAGAGCCAGTGCTTTTGTTGCAGAGATCAGAATCAGAACCTACTGCATGGGTAGAATTTTACAGCTCCTCGAAGTCAGGATCATGTATTATTTATCTTTGTATCTTATGTCCTCTTTTTGGCCTCAGGAACCAGAACAGTATTTTGTTGTGTCAGATGAGGTCCCCCAGTATAAAGATTAAAGAATAACTTTCAAACAGCTATAGCCTCAACAATGCAATGGAGGGATGCAATGGGCCACCTTGCAAAGGAGGAAACTTTTGTCTTTGAAAAGGTTCAAGCTGCGGTGGCTGAACCCTCAGGTCCTGCCTAGCTCTAAGATTTTCTGGTTCATTCATCTCCCCGGCATGCCCACATTACATAAGGTGCCTTTCTCTGCTGGAGGAAAAGGGGAAAGAGTACACATCTGTGGGTTATGTGTTAAATCATTCAGCCTTCACTCTTACAAAGTAAAATCTCCTACTCAGGATCCTACCAACTATTATTGTCTACGTTTTACTAAAGAATCAGATTTTCATTTCCACTCCGATTTTTAGTTTTGAGAAACTAGTTCAGTTCCTTGTTAAAAAGTATTGTAGGCATCGTGTCGCACCATTATTAAGAAATGTATTTTACAATATGAATGTAGTGCTAGGTGAATTTATATGAATTATTCCATGTTTGAGAAGGAACCATTTGGTACTTGTTCTGAATACAGTTGTTTAAGGGAAGAAAATTGCAGACATGCAGTTTTGTTCCATCCCATTTCAAAACCCTTGGCCTTGTCTAGGCAGCTAGCAATGATGACTGCCTTGAAAATGAAATTACTGTGGTACTTTCTAGGTACTCCAGATCTTTAATTATTTCCAATATATTGCCAAATGAAACATTTATGAAAAAGCTTACAGTTACACCAAGTATCTTGAAAATTTACACTTACGTTGGTGAAACATCAAACAGTACAGTGTATGGTAGTACTATTTTTTTTTCTCTAGACAAGAATTCTCTTTGCTCTTTTTTTTCATGACTCATCCTTCCTTAACTCATCTTTCTTATCCTCTGAAGCTTTCTTTTCAGAGAATCAAAATAGCTTTCTTCATCTTTTTTTTCTTCACTTCACAAGACCTCCACTTTTGAATGGTAGGAATAAGGTTGGTTTTTCCACAGGAATTGGTTATAAATTCCTTCTCCATGCCGAAGTACACTGGCCTCTAGTGGATACCTGTCTCAGTTGTAGTTCATACTGATCTTGCCTTAATTCACTTATTGTAGCACTAAACCAGATATTTTAATAATTTTCAATAGTCTATATTAAGGAACACAATCAGAACTTTGGAGGGTTTAAAGTAGATTTTATTATGAAATTGATTAAGCTTTATGTGGATAGTCATATACTTAGCAATATATTTAACAAATTTAGATTATCTCCTGCAATTTCTTAAGATGTAATTGTGATGTTAACTCCACAGTACTTTTCATTTAACTCACATTGCACTTGAAGACTTAAGGCATATGTAACAGATCATTATAGAAATCAGCCCAACTTACTCATGTCAGAGAAATAAGATTCTAATAGGATACCAAATTGTCTCATATTCCCTGTACATAGTCCTGATTAAGAAAAAAAAGCTAGCATTTTCCAAAGCAGTATTATTATAGTGGGATTTTTTAAGTATAAAATTTAGGAAAATCATCTGTTAAAAAGTATAAATCTATGTCACTTCTTAGAACTTGCAGTTTAGTATATTTCAGTATGGCAAAGGATTAGTTTCAATTTTCATATGTGGTCATTAAATGGTAAAAGCATATACATTTTATTCAGCAATCTGCCATTAATTTAAATGTGAAAAATATTTTATTGAAAGAGCTACCTAAATTCTTATTCAAAACTCTGCCTATCAGTGAGCCAACAATTCAACCTTGAGTTTATTGATAAGTGACATCTGGTTTTGGTTGTAGGTTGGTTCTGCCTCAGGGTCTCTCATGAGGCTGCAGTCAAGAAGTATGCCAGGTTCACTGTCATCTCAAGACTTGATTGACTGGGGCTAGAGGATCAATCTGCTTCCAAAATGACTCACATGGCAGTTGGTAGGAGGCCTGAGGCCTTGGTTCCTTGCTGGATAGAAGTCTCTTGAGTGTCCGTCCTTATGGCTTGGCAGTTGGCTTGCCCAGAGTGAGTGATCCAAGAGAGAGAACAAATAGGAAGGAGCCCCAATACCCTTCATAACCTGGTCTCAAAAGTCGCACACTGTCATGTGTACCATATTCTGCTCATTAGAATGAATCACTAAGTACAGCCCATGCTCCAGAGGAGGAAGATTAAGCTCTACATCTTGAAGAGAGGAACATTAAGGGATTTGTGGGCATATTTTAAAACTACCATGGAAGGAGATCTTCAAGGGAGGATTTGTCTCATGTTTAAGGAATGTGTTGCATCTGGTGTATATAAAGGACATTTTAGGCTATGCCAAGGATTTCAGCCAAGTTGGCCAGTAAGGTGACTGAAGGTGTTAGAGTAGAAGAGTATAAGGCAAACCATATGACACAGTAGATCTGGAGTCACATGAGGGTTTAGGATTATCAAATGTGTGGCTTAGAGGAGTTACCTAATGCCTCTATACTGTATGCCATCTGTAAAATATGGAAAGCAGTTACCTTCCTTATAGGGTCGTGGTGAGATATCAGTAAGTTAAGATAGATAAAATACTTAGGCAGTGCCTAGCATCTAGTAAGTGATTAAGAAGTGTTAGCTACTTCAGCCTTAGCATGATTGCTGTCATGTGTAAATTCATGTTGTATAACTCTTCAATCCTCGTTTTGTAGCCGGAGAAATCCTTGTGTCCTTCTCCAAACTTGCTTGGTTTCTTTTCTCTCTCTGTGTAGCTTTATTCTGCATTCCAACATTCACACATGTAACAGTTTTCCATTCGAATATTTCATTATATGCAGAAATATTTTCAAATTCTGGCCAAGCATGGTGGCTCACGCTTGTAATCCCAGTACTTTGGGAGACCTAAACAGGAGGATCACTTGAGCCCAGGATTTCGGGACCAGCCTAGGCAACATAGCGAGGCTCCATCTCTACCAAAAACTTTTTTAAAAATTAGCTGGGCATGTGGCAGATGCCTGTAGTCACAGCTTCTCAGGCGGCTGAGGTGGGATCACTTGAGCCTGAGAGGTCAAGTCTGCAATGAGCTGTGATTGCGACATTGCACTCCAGCCTGGGCAACAGAGCCAAGATTGCATCTCATAAAGAAAAAAGAAATAGAAATTTTCAGATTATTTGAGGGAGTGGGAAAATCCAAAAGTTAGAGAGGGTAGTGATAGTATCAGGAAAGATGCACTGGTTTGGAAAGCATCTTCTGGGATGTTGATACATCTACCTAGTTGTGGGAGATACACAGATTAAGCAGTAAGGACAGATGCTGCTCTCAGATACATTTTGTCTAGTAAGCCTAGTGTTTTTAAAAATCCAGAATTTTGGCTTTTGAAAACAGGAAAGATCTGGGCATAAAAGGCCTACATTCGCATGGCAACAATTGGATAGATTGTGTAGCAACTGCCCCATTTGAAAAGGCATGTCCTTGCTGGTATGTCAGAGTATTTTCTGTTGTCTTAATCTAATACCTCTCTACTCATTTACTTACCTGTCTGGCACTGAGTTTGAAACCACCCCTTCCAATTAAAATTAACACTCTGCAAGTCAGTTAGTCAATATAATCTCCCATAAGAAGTACCCCCAACATCAATGTACTCGATACATCTATAAAAACAGTCATTTGGAACTGTAACATGAAACTGGGATGGAATTCCTGTTCTCAAATCTGCCAAGGCAGAGATTACAGTCTTCTCAACTAGGTGGCAAGAACTTCGGAGTCGAGTTAGATGGCATAGTATGAAAGGGAACTCGTGTAGCAGAAATGGGCATTACAGGAAGCATCACCTACTCAAGACAAACAAAAAAATGGGAGATGCCCTCAGCTAGCCTTGAGCAACACAGAAGACCATCCAGGTTTCCGGAGTAAGAACTTTGACATGATATTCAAAGCAATCATGAAAATAAAAAGGTGGCAGGTCAAGACATTTACAAAAATATTTTTTTCAACCCAAGAAGCTTTTTTTTGATAGGACACAAAATAGACATTAAATAAGTTAAAAACTATTTTTTGGATTTAACATATTGGAAAATACATGTTCATGAGATAAACCCACACTGAGAAACATGTGTGATAAGATGGATGAGGTAGGCGTCTGCAAACAGGGACATTTGTCCAGACATTTCAGAGAATAAAGGAGAGTTACAGAGCAGGGAAGACAAAAGGAAGCTCTAGCATATCTGGAAAGCAAATGCTTGTCTACGTTGTGGACTTAGGTACTGTGTGTGTATCTGTCTTTACTGGATGCTGCTCAGTTCCTAGAAAAGCCATGTGGAATTTGAGAGCTTTAGTTTCCTTCCGCATGGTTTTTCTTGGTTGTTAAGCCATCCTATACGTATTCCCTTTGGGTATATTTTTTGGTTGACTGT
Source organism: Homo sapiens (assembly GCF_000001405.40). Classification (NCBI taxonomy): domain Eukaryota; kingdom Metazoa; phylum Chordata; class Mammalia; order Primates; family Hominidae; genus Homo; species Homo sapiens. The sequence goes on along the minus strand of NC_000003.12, from coordinate 67,413,596 downwards.
TAACAGCTCAATGACACAGTTTATTTGCTTAGTAGAACAGAATAATGTGGCTTTTGAGATAAATGTATGGTGACTACTTGCAGCTGGGTCATTGGCATTTTATGGAAGTTAACACTTTTTGTTCAAGGTTGCAGACCTACATTTTTAAATACTAACCATCTTCTCGAGTTTGTCTCCATGTTACCCATGTTCCTTCTTTAGACAGACTGGAAGACCACATGGGGATTCAGTCTTATTGAGCCCATCTTTCATCATGCTGAAAATAAGGATTTCAAGTCACTTTCTTAGTGGGCCTTCCTTAGTTTTGTTTGTGGCTAATAAACTGAATGAAGCCGTTTTAGTGCTGAGAAGCTCGTTTTCACCTGACAAGCCATCATCTGTCATTTGTAATGGACAGGACCCAAGATAATAAAGCCTTTAGCTTGTTTTCCTTTTTCTGCCTTTAACTGGGGTGTAGATCCAGACAGCTAATGAGCAACAATTTCAGATTCTTAGGTATTAGCCATGTCCCAAAAAGAGCCAAGGAAAGAAATGTTTGTGATAATACTCATTTAATGGCTTGTGCTGAGAATGTGCAGCTTTATTTGACTTTTATTTTATTGTGTAACCCATGACCGTGGTTATCTTGTGGAGAGGGGGTAACTGAACAAAATGTTAACCTTCCAGTTCTAGAAGGTTGAATGGATTTTCCCAAGAGCAAGCTGGGTTGGTCAAAATGGCACATTATCAGTTAGTCTTAAAAGGAAACAATGGCACACTCATCTCACAGTATATGGAGGAAAGTTTATTTTTAAAAATATTGATAATGACAATATATGTGGGGTTAAAGGAACCTGGGGCTGGCAGCGTGGGATCGCTTCTGTCCCAATGCTGAGAGAGAGAGAAGGAGGTGACTACTTGACCAGAAGAGAATATCCTGTAATGAAGACTTTTTTGAGATGCTCTGATACCTTCTGTGGAGGAAACAGCCACCCAAGACAATCGTGCTGGGAGGGACGGGGGAATAAATGCCCCCAATTCCCTCTCCTCCTGCCAGGGCTCCCCAGACATCAGATCCAAAAGGAACCCATTAATCCGTTCTCTCTAGTCAGCCTCCCAGGGCCAAGAGGAGGTTGCAAAAGAGTGGAGAGGATCTGGAGAGGCCCCTGACAATTCTGCAGCACAGCTAGGTCCCAAATCACGATGTTTTCATAGTCTGTTTAACATGTGCCTCAGAGAATATGATATTCTGGAATCCTTTTGCAAAAGGAGTCTAATAGCTGGAGAACTCTACTAGGTCCATGAAAGGTTAACCATGGATGAGAGAAGGTGTGGCCAATCAATGATTTAGACACTTTGAGGTAGAAAGCATTTTGTTCAATTCCTTACTTAGCAGGCTGTAGGGAGTGCTCTGCCAATGTAGTTTCTAATTTTCTCCAGTCATGGTATACTGACATTTGCTGAACAGCTAAATAAATAGATCTCTGTTCCACACAACAGATAACAGCAAGGTCAGACAGTGATATTAGTAATTTTAGAATATTGTCTACAGCTGAGAATGTTTTTTTGGTGACAGTGACACTTAATACTGCTGGTCAGTGTAGAATGAATTCTACAAGATTCCATTCCTCCTGATATTAAATATTACCAGGCACCAGCCCTGCCCAGGGATTTCAGAGGAGCCCTAATTCAAATGGGGTGTTGATTTTTATAACACATGTTTGAATGTGTAACTTTCTTGCATTATTGTTTATTTGGTTTTCCTCTTAATTTACCTGAATTTAAGTTTGAGATGCTAATGAATTTTTTCAGCAGTGACTGAAAATTCTGAAATTTCAGAATTTAAGATTCTGAGTGTCAGGTTTGGCATTAGAGTCATTTTACTGGAATGAACAAAAGGTGGGGATTTGGGGAAATGAAATGGAAACTTGTTTTTGTAAAGAAATTTGGCAGTAAATTGCCTTTCACAAATATACTAGTGAGATTTGTAATGAATAAAACATGTATGTGTTTTAAAAATGCTTTTACTTAAAATAATTTTAATATAAATTTTAGTCTATAAGAAATAGCTTATAGATCACTGAAATCATAGCTGGAATCTTATGTTTTTACTCTTTCCAGCCAGATATTTATCCACTAGGGTTTTGATATGAATCTTTGTCAACCCCTTATTTTTCCAGAAAACTAAATGATCAAATAGGTTTATTTGAACAGATGCCTAAAACCTCACAGGATCATTATATTCCACCATCGTTTTACATTAGATTTGTTATTTACAGAAACAGTGGGTTTTGCCATTAACTAAATTTGTCTTCATTTCTCTGTGGTGTGAAGTGTGAATCTGTGTGGTCTTAAGTTTTGGCTCTCTCTGCTTAGCTATTTTTTTTTCTAATTGATGTTAATCACAAATAAAGGAGAAGAAACCACTCATAGAAATATATTTTTTCCTCTTGCTTGTAGGGACAGTAACCCTGTGGAGACTGATATGTTGCAACAATAGATGGGTAGACATCCTGTTTATAGATTAATAAATGGATCCTTCACCAAGTTGCCAATTTTATGGGTGTTCTCTATATTAACTCTCCAACAAATGATGATGGAGTATACGTATTTACATGCATCAAGATGACATAAGTCTGAGATGATTGAACAAAATATGGCTCAGAAAGAATGTGCCAATAAATATTCTCAATCTGCACCAATGTAGCTCCCATTACAAATAAAATATAGATACTGCATTATAAGCAATGAGTATCCTGCTTTGAAAGCAATTATCTGTTAAGCTGGAAAGACAGTTTTGTAACCAAATATTTCTGAAGAGTCAATTCTAATAGCTGATTTGTTAAGAGAGAATTATATGACTCTTTTTTTAAGCCTTTTGATGCCCCTTTATGAAATAGTATGACCAAAATCTCTTTGCTCTATTTTTTTTTAGCTTTGAATATCTCTGTGGCCAAATTATACATTATGGTAGTTTTTGCATGATTTATTTTAAACACACAGCACTCAAAAAAGAACGTTGCATTTGCCATTCTAAATGTCCAAATGGTTTTTGTAATCATGGCAGTGGTTCTGATTCTCAGTTCAAAAGGATACGGGAACTATGGCTGTAAAAAAATAGAAACTGTGCTTGTGCTATTCCCCCAAATCTCTGTGCCCTTCAGTCCTTTTAACTCCTTGTCTCCTTTTCCTATTTATAATGCCATTCAATATTTCCATCTTCAGATTTTTCTTCTCCTGAAAATCCTGTTAATACCTGACTTAACCACTACTACCCTGTCTGCTGACAACTACAGAAGCATTTATATGCCACCCTTGGCCTGGCCAGGGCCTTTGTAGTTGCTGTTCTTGCTTGTGAAAGCCTTCTACTTTTGTAGATACTATAACTTTGACCTAAATAATGAAATGATTAGCATCTTTGTAAAGAAGGACCATAGATCTCTGTGCCACCTAACCACAAACATACCAGCTCCTGAACACCTTTTCTGACAGCTCTCTGCAGATCAAATTTCCAACCCATTGACTCTTTTGCAGAAAATAACTAAATTAAGGTGTTATAATTTAGAACACAGATGGTCTGCTAAAGTTCACATTAAGGTAGAATCCAAATTATTTGACCAGAAGATTTTTTCAAGGAGCATTACTTAGGTCTAATACTTCGTACAATATACTTTGGAGAACTTTGATTTAAGGAAACAGATCCTTGTTTTGGGAGGAAGTATGGCTTTATAATTTATATGGTGCAGTATTCACATTAGTTTTTAACCTGTTAAGCTATACCAGTATTCCTAATGGAAGATGTCTTCATTCTATTTAGAGCTGGAAGTCTATATTTAAATTTTTTGCTTTACATATACCTAATCATACATAATTAATATATTCTTGGTGGTTATGCAGGATGTGAACTGGATTTCTTTACTGCCTGATATTTTCTTTGTAAAAGTTATTAAAGGAGGGGCAATGTTGACAGACTAAACCTTTAGTTGTAATTATGTGTAATTATGTGTAAATATGTGTCATGTAACTCCAAAGTTAGGGAAACAAATGTATTATACACTTGCATTGACTCTTTCCTCCACTTCCATGGCAGACATTGTTAACAGTTCAAAGATCTCTGCCATGGAACTAACTAGAATGTGCCCCCATCATCATTCTTCAAGCAGCCACTTACAGAGTTACCATGCCTACCAGTGGCCATTCCACTGCCTGATATCTAAAATCTGTATTGATGATGATGTCTCACCATTAGAATTTTTATGGCCATAATTTCAAAGAATAATAGTGGCAATGGTATACATTTCAGTGTTTCAGACATGGAGAGGAGGAGCTATCAGTCTGCAGAGAGAGTTCTTGTTAGGAACATCTGTTTCAGCTCAGGACAGAGTTTAGTGTTTGAAGGCCAGGCCCCACTCTTGTACCTTCATGACCCCTCCCCAGCCCCATCTAACTAGGAAATGCCAAAACCATGAGCTCTGGACAACTCTTTTATCAGTAAACAGGAAATATCTGTATTGTAAAGAACTAAAACCCATTGGTCCACAAACCTATACAAGATATCTTACCTCTGATTGATTTTAATTCAGCAGCAAAATTTGAAAGCAAGAAATACTTGGGCACCAGAATACAGGACTCAGAAGCACGTTCTTGAAGCTTGGAAATAGGACCAATATGGAGCTGGAACTCCTGACTCATCTTGGGAGTCTCTGATTATAGAGAGACTGCCAGAGGGAGTGGAACGAACATGGACTTTACAGTAAGACCGCCTTAATTTAAATCTTGACACCATTGCCTACTGCTGTGTGATGTTTAAGCTCATTGAGTTTATTTACCAGGGAAAGTTATAATACATAATTTTAGCACCTAGGAAAATTAACACTCAATAAACCTTAATCCTCCATACAGTTTTGCTTATTCTACCAAGGAGTAAATTATAGAATATAAGTAAAGTGAAGAATTTAGGAAGAAGAGAATAGACAGAATAAGGACAGATTGGAGTCTAATTAGACCCATTTCCCTAGGTTCCCCTGACTGCTTTCAGAGGTCAACCTGAATGGAAACTTGACTCTCCATCAAGTTACTGTCCCCAGAGGATCTCTCCATAAGATGTCGTTTCCATGCTATCAGTTCAGAGAAGTTGGAATAAAATGGTTGGTTCATCTCAATTGATGAATTTAAAATGCCCAAATCTTGTTTTGTATTAAGGGTGTTGTATAAGACATTTCCTTTTGATTCTGAGATTTTCAGGCAGGATCGTGGACTCACTAAAATTATTTCTTTTTTCCTTGGAAGAAATTAAAAGGGCAGAGTGGGAGGGTATCTTTCGAGGAATGCTGTTTTTCACATGTCAGTTTTAGCTATTTTGGAGGTACATGAGTTGCTTTATTCCAAGGATCCTGGCATTTGAAGTCACACAAAAGAAAATAATTTCAAACTCCAAGAATATACCAAAGGTAGAAAAGTGAGCCTGAGCAGCTTGCCATAATTTCAGCAGAAGGCAAATCTGGTCCCAATCGAACCAATCTGTTGGTTTATTTGTATTATTACAACAAAGCCCAAGATTGAATTCCTCACCTGAATCACTTCCTTATTGACTGAATCTATTTAGACTCCCCTCTAATTTAGCAGAGTATTTTTTATTAAATCCAGGCATACAAACATCAATTATCCAAGCTGCATCTCATTTCCTTCACCATTTATTTTCCTTCGTTGGCTGCCAGTGGATTAGAAGACATGATTAGAATTCATCAGGAAAATAAAAACAACAAAAAAGAAAAACAGTTTCACAAAAACAGATGCTTAAACAAGAGCAACAACATTCAGAATTAAAATAACCTGTGATTTTTTTAAAAAAGTCCTTATCTTGGCTAATATAAACATGCTTGCTTGATTTTTATCAACCTCATGCCTGCTACAGTGGGACTAAATTAGCATTCGTGATTGGAATAGGCACAGACAAAACCTAATAGTTGCACTTACTGTGCTTCACGTATATGCTACAGTGTTTTTAAATACAATGCAGTACTTAACTATTTGCAATAACCTTTGCAAAGTAGCTGGCTTACTCTGAAAGTTTTCTATTTTTTCACTTCCAACCAATGTCAGGGAGGAAAAAAGAACAAAACAGAGACTTTCCTTCTATGAACTTGTTAAAGGTAACAGGTTTTGTTTTAAAGGAATGTTATTAAAGTTGGACTCCTTTATGTAATTGGCCACCACTACTGCCTGGGTACCTTTGTGTTATCAGTGATGGCAAGAAAATAACACAACAAAGAAAGACAACGTAATGTCTGAAAAGTGTTATCAAAGATATATCAAGTGACATGAAGAAGGAGGGGTGATGGTATACTTGCCATGAATTTGAGGGGAAATGAACCAAATCACATCTGTGTCAGGTTAGCAAACTATGACCTGTGGGCCAAATCTGGCTCACCGCTTGTTGTTGTAAATAAAGTTTTATTGGAATACACCATGCTTATTTACTTATATATTGTTTGTCTATGATTGCTTTCATGCTGCAACAAGGGTAAGTAGTTGTGACAGAGACGGGCTCAAAAAACCTAAAATATATACTGATAGAGCTCTTAAAAGCAAGATGTTGTCGATCCCTGGTGAATGTCAGTGGCTCCTTTATCATTATCCAGCTATTCCTAACTGCCCTGCATGTGCTGTGGTGAAACAGTGTTGGTTTGAACTGTAACTGCTTAATAGCTAGGAAACCCTAAATTTTCTGAGACTCAGTTTATCTATAAAATGAAGGTTAAAAATACATTTATAAGCTTATTGTAAATTCATTGTAGATGCTCAATAAATGTTAATTTCCTTCCTGACCTTACTGTAGTCTGTGTAGGTGTCTCAAAACCAAAGGCTTCTCAAACTCTTTGTCATGGCGTTTGCTCTGTGAGACTCTGCATGATTTGCGAGGGGGCCCATCTTGTTTCCATCACTCTACTTCTCAGGCCCCAGGGACCTGATACTCCAGATTCTGTTCAGTTTCTCAAATGCACCACACTCTTTTCTGTTCCTCCACCTGTATACATGGTATTCTGTTGTCTTAAGATACTTTTCTCCCTCTCTTAATCTTGATCTACCTGCCCTCTTCCCAACTGCCCTTCAGACTCTAGCTTAAATGTCTCTGCCTATGAGAGGCCCTCCCTCACCACCTGGTGTAATATAGGTCCTGTCCTGCTACTCACATAGGACCTAGCATTTTCCTCCCCTTCATAACTATTATCGTGGTTTGCAGTTTTAGATATATAGAACCTTTTTGTCTAATTTTAAAATCTTTCTTGCTGGCTTAGCTACTGCCTACAAGCACAGGGCACATAGTAGGCCGTGAAGAATATATATTAAATTAATAACTTTTTATTGAGCAGTCTTGCAATATTTTTATTTCATTAAGGGGACTCAGGATCATGTTGAATAAAAAGAGCTGAATTTTTTAGACTGACAGCAAACAGGCTGCCTAATTTGGCACAATTTGTTTCTACCTCTGAGTCTTGGTTTTCTCATCTGCGAAAGGGGGGTAGGTAATATCTGTCTCACAAGTATATGGCAGAGTTGGTTGTGGTAATGAACACAAAGAGACTAAGCCATCACTCATTGTAGGGCTTCTCTAGGTTTGCTGGCTTGGAAGGATATTTGACAGTAGATAAAGCTGTAACCCCTGATTCTCCCAGATCTTCACCTCAATTTGGGGATGATTATACCCACCTCCTGTGATACTCATGTGTTAAATGCGTTAGTACATATACAATAATTAGAATACTGAGTACAACCTGCTAAATGCTTTAGTAACGTTAATTATGGTTGTATTTGTGATAGCTATTCATATATCAACTCTAGAGGATTATGTACACTTTGCCCAGAAAAATACACATTCAGACAAAAATTCTGTGGACAGCTGCGAAGAATTCACTATTCCTCTGAAACTCATAGCCCTCTCCTGAATACATATGGTGTGCACTAACACTTGCCATTATCTGAAACTCATAGCCCTATCCTGAATGCATATGCTGTAGGTTACCACTTGCCATTGGAGGTCTTGGAGGCCATATCCTGTAGGAGCAGGGTAGCCATGGGACTTAACTACTATTATCCCCCAAAAATGTTGTGTTTGTGAATTCACCTGACTGAGGAATCCCTAATATTCATCAGATATTCAAAAGGATCCATGTTCCAAAGAAGAGGTTTAGTATTGATTTTTGTTGGTTTGTTTATTTGAGCAGTGGGGATGATGTCAAAAGAAGCTTGATAAATAGCAAGGGCTGTAGCTGTTCTTTTTTCAAAGTTTAGTTTTTACTTTTAATTGTGTACTAAAATCTGCAGCTAGAGTGTGTTTTGCAAAGCAAAACACCCAGACATTTGAAAAACTTGTGTATGGACTGCCTGACCACCTGCACAGCTGCCAGAGCAAACTTGCCTTGGGATCAGCTGTCTGGGGTCTGGGGACCCGGGCCCTGTATCTGGCACTTCAACTGCCTCATTAGATGATCTTTACTTTTGTAAAACAGTAAATAGCAACCCTCATAATTCTCACCCGAGAATTAGAAAAAGCCTCTGTTCCCAAAAGCACTTGGGATCTTCCGGGAGAGTCTCTGGTTACTTAAATAGACCTAACACTGAATTCTTAAAAAAAAAAAAAAAAAAAAATTCTCTTTGCCAGGGGGCTGGGGGAAGATAATTAAAAGTTGCTGTTGGTATCATCATGGAACAGCAGTTAGTGGTTGTAAAATGAATGAACACGTGAGGCACATATTGAAAATTTGACATGCTTTATAAATGCTAAATAATAATAATGATGTCACGAGGCTTTCATTTTTAAACTGTCTTAATTGCATTCCCAGTTTGAGATTGCAGATTACAGTAGTTAATTATAGAAGTTGGCCCAGAGTTAAACCTTAAATCAGATTTCCATTAAAGTGCATGACTGCAGCAAATTACTTTACAGTGGGAGAGAAGGCGAGAATGGCATAATCTCTGGTTGAGTGGGATCTTCTCACCACCCAGGGTGGTGACTTTCCTCTTAGGGTGCTGTGGTGTATCGTGTGTCCTAAACAATCCCATTTCCCTGAGCTAAGCAGCCTGCGTACTTCTATGTCCTGTTGCTCTTCTTGTAGAAATCTCAATTGCTTTGTTAGTATTTGTCATACTCTTTCTGTTCCTGTCTTCCTCATGACTTCTCACTCTCCTTTTTGCACTTTCTCTCTCTCTTATTCTTTTGTGTTCTCTCATGCCTTCTCTTTACTGCTTCTTGTTCACTCATTCTCTCTCTCTCTCTCTCTCCCATGCTCTCTCATGGTTGTTCTGTATTTCTCATTGTCTCTCATGCACTCACTCTCCTCTCTGTCCTTCTGTTCCCCTCCTATAACTTCTCTTCGGCGTTTCAGGGAGCCTGCTTTCAAGACTTGCGTCTACCCAGTTCTGAAGAAGGAAGAGGCCAGGCACGGTGGCTCACACCTGTAATCCCAACACTTTGGGAGGCCAAGGCAGGAGGATCAGTAGAGGTCAGGAGTTCGAGACAGCTGGCCAACATGGCAAAATCGCCTCTCTACTAATACTGCAAAAACTAGTCAGGTGTGGTGGCAGCTGCCTGTAGTCCCAGCTACTCAGGAGGCTGAGGTATGAGAACCACTTGAACCCAGGAGGCGGAGGTTGCAGTGAGTCAAGATTGTGCCACTGCACTCCAGCCTGGGTGAAACAGTCAAAACGTGTCTCAAAAAATAAATAAATAAACTAAAAAGGAAGAAATAAGAGGATCCAAATTCCCATCCCTGGCATCTGGCACCTGACAATCTTGGCCTCACCTGTATCATCTTAACTTACTTCACCATTCAACCATTAGTTCCTCAGCGAACTAAGTTGGGTGACATATCTGCCTTTATCCTGGCTGCTCCCTTTATCTCAGATCCTGCTCTTTTTTTCTTCCTGTCTACTAGAACCTCACCTATTCCAAAAATCCTCTGTCATGTCAGCAGCCTGCATCACCGCCTCTCCCCTGGTCTTGGCTGTGTGAGACATCTGTAGACCCTGTATTTGTAATTGTCAGTTTATTGGTCTGGCTCTCAAACTAGTCTTTGAATTCTTCCCTGAGGACAGTGATGATACTTCATCCTTCTCCATATCCCAAAACTTAATTCTGTACCTGGTACAAGGGAGATGTTGATCAAGTGTCTGTTGAAATTAATTCATTCATTGTTAAACCATTATTTTTACGTGATTATGCCATATCATGGATTGTGCTGGCTACTGATTATTAAAAAAATGGGAAAATACATAATCTTTGTTTTAGAGAAGCACAAAGATGATCCAAACACGGGAGTTGCATCTTGGGATGGGGAGAGGAAGGTAAGAGGAGAATAAAGTACATTGGAGAACAACAGCTATTCATTTCTCAGTAAGTCTAACAAAACCAGTTATCCCTCTGCAGTTAGAAAAGAAGGCTTTTCCTGGGGTTCAGCACCAACTAAAGTAGTTAAATTTTAACCGCAAGTGGTTATATGAAGAGTATCTATTTTTAACATCGGACTCTAATTAAACACGAGATACTAACACATGAGAGACTCATGGGAACTGATGCCACCTGAGGCAACACTGATTCCTGTTTGACACTTACTCCAGGCACTCACCCACTAAGTAGAATTGAATCACAGGGTCTCAAGCCCCTTCTCTCCTTTTTGCTCCTATCCCTCACTCCTGCCTGTTTAGGTGAATTCACATAAGATTATGATGTAAACTATACTCTGTAAAATGATCGTAAAGCTTTAGATGGGTTAAACAGAGTCAGTGATTCTAATTTAATGAGAATTCCCTGAGAAGTTGACATCCGAACTTGTCCTTAAGGAATATGCAGACTGGAACATGGCAGAGGCATGCAGGTGCCAATGTGTGTTTTACTAGAATGCCAAGTTCCTCTGCACAAACCTTACTGAGCCTCAGCAGGTCCTGAGTTTCTATCATGGACCCCATGGAGTCATTCTTGCTCTTGAATGTTTTTCTTCTATTGTTCTGGCAAGTTCCTCTCCATCCTACAGTTATTTGGAAACTACTGCTGTACCAAGCCTCAATGCTAACAGCATTTAATAGCTGTCATTAGAAAGCAAGCTTCTGCTTACCAGTTGTCCTACTGTGAATAGTAATGGGAGATTTCTTTTCTGGGAGTAGCCCCAATCTCTAATTGGTTTGAAAAATATTGTTCATTTCTTTGATTCTTAAGGCATTACCTTTTTGTTGAATTTCAATAAGTTTGTATTTCCATTATATTTGAATTCAACATGAGCTGCAGTCTACTGAAAAAGGTTTTCTTACTTGCCCACTTTCATCAATGCTTGCTGAATAAATGCAAGTGTAAATACCCATTAAGTACATTTAAAGCCATGTGGTAAACATTTCACATGTATTACCTCATTTAGGCCTTTCAACATCCTGTGGGCTAGGTCCTCTTTTTATTCCCATAATACAGATGAGGAAATGTTCAAGAGAGGTTCTGTAACTCGACCAAGGTCCCAGCCCTAGCAACAACATCAATGAACAAATCAGTAGACAATCTAGGGAGCTGGCTTTGGGCCTGGCCACAGCCACATGACAGCTGTGTGACCTTGGGACAACATGCCCCAATGCGCCCGATGGCTTTCTCAGCTAGAGAGCCAACCTTCACCCTACCTAATAAATAGGGTTCTGGGAAGGCTCACAATAAAAAATAAGGATTTGTGTGATGGCACTTTCTAAACATTTAAATGCTATACAAATGTAAGATATTCTCTTCTCATATGTTTGGTGTAGGTAATTTAACAGACAGAAATAATAGGATTCTATGCAGCACATATATATATGCTTTACAATTAGTGTGGCATAATTTAATTGTGACTCTACTGTTGGAATTTTGATGCCTCCAGCTTCATGAACAGCCATTTTTCTGTGGGTGTTATCAATTAATCTAGGTAATGAATTCTCTTCATTATCTCGTTCTTCATGTTAATTATACAGGATTTTCTTATGCCTAGTTATCAAGTCAGGACAAGTAGAGTTTGTTTTTTTTTTTTTTTTGGCCCACATGCCTTTGAATATGGAATATGTACAAACAAGTTAACATGATGGGTGATGGGTTTAAATTTACATTTCTAAGAAGCTCCAGTCAGTAGCTTGACTTTCCTTACATTCTTACTTATGCTATAAGCTTGGATCTCTTTATTTCGAGAGTCTTTTTTTAATCAAAAGGTTGCTGTCTAAGATAATTAAACTATCTCTGATTTTTGAGAACATACCTCTAGCATATCAAAGAGGTATTAAGGAAGCATGAAAACATTTGAATCTTTTTTACCTTTTAATACAAAACAATAAATGGTTTCTGATTTTGAAATATTGTGTGAGGCACCATGACATATAAAAAGGCAATTGTAAATCGTGGAGGAAAAAAACCTAAATGCAAGAAATTTTAAATGATACTACTCATAAAAAGAATAGACAATAATATTTTCAGAAAAAGAAGACATTATATAATAGACGAATGAATGATGATTAAATTCATTTTGAGTTGAAAAGAGTGATTGATGGGAAAATTTGGTAATGTTATATTGTGATATTTATTAATTTATTACTAATATGAGCTTTCTTAACATGTTCTGGGCCATTTTTGTATTTTATGCTCTGTATAAAACAAAAACAAAAAAACGAGCAGTCTTATTTTAATTGTCTCTATTATTTAACCAGTTATTTTTGAGACTGTTGGCGATCAGCATTTTGATTGGTAACTTTTTATTTTTGATTTCAGGTTGAAGCCATCCTTGTCAATATATTTGGTGGTATCGTCAACTGTGCCATCATTGCCAATGGGATCACCAAAGCCTGCCGGGAGCTAGAACTCAAGGTGCCCCTGGTGGTCCGGCTTGAAGGTGAGTCATGGTAGATTTCCGCTGTGCCAGCACCCCTTCTCCAAGGTCAGGTGACCAGCATGTTCTGGATTCACAAACTTCCTGAGATAACAGAACGAAACACTAGATTGTGTAAGATGAAACAAACACAGTACGGCAGGACTTCCCTGGGCCTCTAGCAAACTAATGTGGCTTTTAGCTCTCCAAGTATGGCAGGTGTTATGATTCTCCAGATTTTGAAAAATTACCCCAGAGCAAAAGCCCTTTTATTTATGAATCATTTTATGAGATTAGTGTTTGGGGAAAAACACTCTGAGAAATGTTTCTCTGAGAATCATGCATCATAACTGAGGATCCCAAAAAGCTTTGGTTTTTTGGCTTATATTTGTCAATGTTTATTAATTGATTTAATTGATAAATTAATTTGATAACTGAAATTACTTGGAATTTAAAAAATAACTCTTAAAAAATAATTTGTATATTTTATGGTATATTTTATATATCATATGTATTATATATTTTATAGCAATAAATATTTTAAAAAATTTTTAGTAAGAATAATGACATTGTTTTACAGGTTTGTAAATAACTTTTCACATTTAGCATGTCTGTTTCTGCATAAAATGTTATAACATGTTTTAGTTGAAGTATATGAAGAAAATCTGGCCTCACAGACATATGTGTTTTTCAAAATGGGAGTAGTTTTGTCCGTTTGTTTGTTTGTTAGTTTGTTTGTTTTGAGACAGGGTTTGTTTGTTGCCCAGGCTGGTCTTGAACTCCTGGCTTCAAGTGATCCTCCTGCCTCAGCCTCCCAAAATGTTGGGATTATAGGCTTAAGCTACCACACCTAGCCAGGGGGAGTTTTTAATGCTCTTTTCATATAGTTCTGAATATTCTTTGGTACTACACTAAAAGTCTATTGGTAATAGTTTATTGAAAATTAGTTTCCATGTGGAATCTGGAACTATCTCGATGAACTTTTCATATTCCATTAAAACCCATTGGTCTGTGTTACACATTAAGGGAGTTTTATCCATGCATGGTTCAAAATCATTCACTGATGATCCAGAAAATTTGTGATTATGCAGATCTTCCAAAGGTTGTCTCATTTCAATGTACAATATAAAAAAAATCACATTTGTTAATATTACCACCATCATATTAGAAAAGCTTTTTAGTAGGAAGCTGTCAAGTTCACAGGGCAGGTGCACATTGTCTAGAATTTGAATTTGACTTTATAGTGCAAATTTTATCAGCCACAAAATGGTTAAGTTGTTTTCCTTGATGGGACAGACTCACTTCACTCATATTTAAGAAAATGTCTGCCAGCTAACCAAGTCTGAGCAACTATAGTGTGTCAGTCTTTATTCCAAGAAAGAAACAGCATTTCATGGAAAAGTGAGCAGTTTAGCTTGATACCCAGACAGTTGCACGAACACTTTTCCTCAGAACAGTTCAAGATGCTGCAGAAGTGCTTTATGTGTGTTTATAATTTGGTCACAAAGAGTATCAAACAGATGTGTAATCAAGGGTTGAGGTTTAATGAAATAATTTTTTTTCTTTTTTTTTATTTTATTATTATTATACTTTAAGTTTTAGGGTACATGTGCACAATGTGCAGGTTAGTTACCTATGTATACATGTGCCATGCTGGTGTGCTGCACCGATTAACTCGTCATTTAGCATTAGGTATATCTCCTAATGCTATCCTTCCCCCCTCCCCCCACCCCACAACAGTCCCCAGAGTGTGATGTTCCCCTTCCTGTGTCCATGTGTTCTGATTGTTCAATTCCCACCTATGAGTGACAACATGTGGTGTTTGGTTTTTTGTCCTTGCGATAGTTTACTGAGAATGACGATTTCCAGTTTCATCCATGTCCCTACAAAGGACATGAACTCATCATTTTTTATGACTGCATAGTATTCCATGGTGTATATGAGCCACATTTTCTTAATCCAGTCTATCATCGTTGGACATTTGGGTTGGTTCCAAGGCTTTGCTATCATGAATAGTGCTGCAATAAACATATGTGTGCATGTGTCCTTATAGCAGCATGATTTATAGTCCTTTGGGTATATACCCAGTAATGGGATTGCTGGGTCAAATGGTATTTCTAGTTCTAGATCCCTGAGGAATCGCCATACTGACTTCCACAATGGTTGAACTAGTTTACAGTCCCACCAACAGTGTAAAAGTGTTCCTATTTCTCCACATCCTCTCCAGCACCTGTTGTTTCCTGACTTTTTAATGATTGCCATTCTCACTGGTGTGAGATGGTATCTCATTGTGGTTTTGATTTGCATTTCTCTGATGGCCAGTGATGATGAGCATTTTTTCATGTGTCTTTTGGCTTCATAAATGTCTTCTTTTGAGAAGTGTCTGTTCATGTCCTTTACCCACTTTTTGATGGGGTTGTTTGTTTTTTTCTTGTAAATTTGTTTGAGTTCATTGTAGATTCTGGATATTAGCCCTTTGTCAGATGAGTAGGTTGCGAAAATTTTCTCCCATTTTGTAGATTGCCTGTTCACTCTGATGGTAGTTTCTTTTGCTGCGCAGAAGCTCTTTAGTTTAATTAGATCCCATTTGTCAATTTTGGCTTTTGTTGCCATTGCTTTTGGTGTTTTACACATGAAGTCCTTGTCCATGCCTATGTCCTGAATGGTAATGCCGAGGTTTTCTTCTAGGGTTTTTATGGTTTTAGTTCTAACATTTAAGTCTTTAATCCATCTTGAATTAATTTTTGTATAAGGTGTAAGGAAGGGATCCAGTTTTAGCTTTCTACATATGGCTAGCCAGTTTTCCCAGCACCATTTATTAAATAGGGAATCCTTTCCCCATTGCTTCTTTTTGTCAGGTTAGTCAAAGATCAGATAGTTGTAGATATGCGGTGTTATTTCTGAGGGCTCTGTTCTGTTGCATTGATCTATATCTCTGTTTTGGTACCAGTACCATGCTGTTTTGGTTACTGTAGCCTTGTAGTATAGTTTCAACTGAGGTAGCGTGATGCCTCCAGCTTTGTTCTTTTTACTTAGGGTTAACTTGGCAATGCTGGCTCTTTTTTGGTTCCATATGAACTTTAAAGTAGTTTTTTCCAATTCTGTGAAGAAAGTCATTGGTAGCTTGATGGGGATGGCATTGAATCTATAAATTACCTTGGGCAGTATGGCCATTTTCACGATATTGATTCTTCCTATCCATGAGCATGGAATGTTCTTCCATTTGTTTATATCATCTTTTATTTCATTGAGCAGTGGTTTGTAGTTCTCCTTGAAGAGGTCCTTCACGCCCTTTGTAAGTTGGATTCCTAGGTATTTTATTCTCTTTGAAGCAATTGTGAATGGGAGTTCACTCATGATTTGGCTCTCTGTCTGTTATTGGTGTATAAGAATGCTTGTGATTTTTGTACATTGATTTTGTATCCTGAGACTTTGCTGAAGTTGCTTATCAGCTTAAGGAGATTTTGGGCTGAGACGATGGGGTTTTCTAGATATACAGTCATGTCATCTGCAAACAAGGACAGTTGGGCTTCCTCTTTTCCTAATTGAATACCCTTCATTTCCTTCTCCTGCCTAATTGCCCTGGCCAGAACTTCCAACACTATGTTGAATAGGAGTGGTGAGAGAGGGCATCCCTGTCTTGTGCCAGTTTTCAAAGGGAATGCTTCCAGTTTTTGCCCATTCAGTATGATATTGGCTGTGGGTTTGTCATAGATAGCTCTTATTATTTTGAGATACGTCCCATCAATACCTAATTTATTGAGAGTTTTTAGCATGAAGGGTTGTTGAATTTTGTCAAAGGCCTTTTCTGCATCTATTGAGATAATCATGTGGTTTTTGTCTTTGGTTCTGTTTATATGCTGGATTACATTTATTTATTTTCGTATATTGAACCAGCCTTGCATCCCAGTGATGAAGACCACTTGATCATGGTGGATAAGCTTTTTGATATGCTGCTAGATTCGGTTTGCCAGTATTTTATTGAGGATTTTTGCATCGATGTTCATCAAGAACGTTGGTCTAAAATTCTCTTTTTTGGTTGTGTCTCTGCCAGGCTTTGGTATCAGGATGATGCTGGCCTCATAAAATGAGTTAGGGAGGATTCCCTCTTTTTCTATTGATTAGAGTAGTTTCAGAAGGAATGGTACCAGTTCCTCCTTGTACCTCTGGTAGAATTCGGCTGTGAATCCATCTGGTCCTGGACTCTTTATGGTTGGTAAGCTATTGATTATTGCCACAATTTCAGAGCCTGTTATTGGTCTATTCAGAGATTCAACTTCTTCCTGGTTTAGTCTTGGGAGGGTGTATGTGTCAAGGAATTTATCCATTTCTTCTAGATTTTCTAGTTTATTTGCGTAGAGGTGTTTGTAGTATTCTCTGATGGTAGTTTGTATTTCTGTGGGATCGGTGGTGATATCCCCCTTATCATTTTTTATTGCGTCTATTTGATTCCTCTCTCTTTTCTTCTTTATTAGTCTTGCTAGCAGTCTATCAATTTTGTTGATCCTTTCAAAAAACCAGCTCCTGGTTTCATTCATTTTTTGAAGGGTTTTTTGTGTCTCTATTTCCTTCAGTTCTGCTCTGATTTTAGTTATTTCCTGCCTTCTGCTAGCTTTTGAATGTGTTTGCTCTTGTTTTTCTAGTTCTTTTAATTGTGATGTTAGGGTGTCAATTTTGGATCTTTCCTGCTTTCTCTTGTGGGCATTTAGTGCTATAAATTTCCCTCTACACACTGCTTTGAATGTGTCCCAGAGATTCTGGTATGTTGTGTCTTTGTTCTCGTTGGTTTCAAAAAACATCTTTATTTCTGCCTTCATTTACTTATGTACCCAGTAGTCATTCAGGGGCAGGTTGTTCAGTTTCCATGTAGTTGAGCGGTTTTGAGTGAGTTTCTTAATCCTGAGTTCTAGTTTGATTGCACTGTGGTCTGAGAGACAGTTTGTTATAATTTCTGTTCTTTTACTTTAGCTGAGGAGAGCTTTACTTCCAACTATGTGTTCAATTTTGGAATAGGTGTGGTGTGGTGCTGAAAAAAATGTATATTCTGTTGATTTGGGGTGGAGAGTTCTGTAGATGTCTATTAGGTCCACTTGGTGCAGAGCTGAGTTCAATTCCTGGGTATCGTTGTTAACTTTCTGTCTCATTGATCTGTCTAATGTTGACAGTGAGGTGTTAAAGTCTCCCATTATTATTGTGTGGGAGTAAGTCTCTTTGTAGGTCCCTCAGGACTTGCTTTATGAATCTGGGTGCTCCTGTATTGGGTGCATATATATTTAGGATAGTTAGTTCTTCTTGTTGAATTGATCCCTTTACCATTATGTAATGGCCTTCTTTGTCTGTTTTGGTCTTTGTTGGTTTAAAGTCTGTTTTATCAGAGACTAGGATTGCAACCCCTGCCTTTTTCTGTTTTCCATTTGCTTGGTAGATCTTCCTCCATCCTTTTATTTTGAGCCTATGTGTGTCTCTGCACATGAGATGGGTTTCCTGAATACAGCACACTGATGGGTCTTGACTCTTTATCCAATTTGCCAGTCTGTGTCTTTTAATTGGAGCATTTAGTCCATTTACATTTCAAGTTAATATTGTTATGTGTGAATTTGATCCTGTCATTATGATGTTAGCTGGTTATTTTGCTCGTTAGTTGATGCAGTTTCTTCCTAGTCTCGATGGTCTTTACATTTTGGCATGATTTTGCCGCGGCTGGTACCGGTTGTTCCTTTCCATGTTTAGTGCTTCCTTCAGGAGATCTTTTAGGGCAGGCCTGGTGGTGACAAAATCTCTCAGCATTTGCTTGTCTGTAAAGTATTTCATTTCTCCTTCACTTATGCAGTTTAGTTTGGGTGGATATGAAATTCTGGGTTGAAAATTCTTTTCTTTAAGAATGTTGAATATTGGCCCCCACTCTCTTCTGGCTTGTAGAGTTTCTGCCGAGAGATCCGCTGTTAGTCTGATGGGCTTCCCTTTGTGGGTAACCCGACCTTTCTCTCTGGCTGCCCTTAACATTTTTTCCTTCATTTCAACTTTGGTGAATCTGACAATTATGTGTCTTGGAGTTGCTCTTCTCGAGGAGTATCTTTGAGGCATTCTCTGTATTTCCTGAATCTGAATGTTGTCCTGCCTTGCTAGATTGGGGAAGTTCTCTTGGATAATATCCTGCAGAGTGTTTTCCAACTTAGTTCCATTCTCCCCGTCACTTTCAGGTACACCAATGAGACGTAGATTTGATCTTTTCACATAGTCCCATATTTCTTGGAGGCTTTGTTCATTTCTTTTTATTCTTTTTTCTCTAAACTTCCCTTCTCGCTTCATTTCATTCATTTCATCTTCCATCACTGATACCCTTTCTTCCAGTTGATCGCATCGGCTCCTGAGGCTTCTGCATTCTTCAAGTAGTTCTCGAGCCTTGGCTTTCAGCTCCATCAGCTCCTTTAAGCACTTCTCTGTATTGGTTATTCTAGTTATACATTCATCTAAATTTTTTTCAAAGTTTTTAACTTCTTTGCCTTTGGTTTGAATTTCCTCCTGTAGCTCGGAGTAGTTTGATCATCTGAATCCTTCTTCTCTCAACTCGTCAAAGTCATTCTCCGTCCAGCTTTGTTCTGTTGCTGGTGAGGAACTGCATTCCTTTGGAGGAGGAGAGGTGCTCTGCTTTTTAGAGTTTCCAGTTTTTCTGCTCTGTTTTTTCCCCATCTTTGTGGTTTTATCTACTTTTTGTCTTTGATGATGGTGATGTACAGATGGGTTTTTGGTGTGGATGTCCTTTCTGTTTGTTAGTTTTCCTTCTAACAGACAGGACCCTCAGCTGCAGGTCTGTTGGAGTTTGCTAGAGGTCCACTCCAGACCCTGTTTGCCTGGGTATCAGTGGCGGTGGCTGCAGAACAGTGGGTTTTCATGAACCGCGAATGCTGCTGTCTGATCGTTCCTCTGGAAGTTTTGTCTCAGAGGAGTACCCGGCCATGTGAGGTGTCAGTCTGCCCCTGCTGGGGTGCCTCGCAGTTAGGCTGCTCAGGGGTCAGGGGTCAGGGACCCACTTGAGGAGGCAGTCTGCCCGTTCTCAGATCTCCAGCTGCGTGCCAGGAGAACCACTGCTCTCTTCAAAGCTGTCAGACAGGGACATTAAAGTCTGCAGAGGTTACTGCTGTCTTTTTGTTTGTCTGTGCCCTGCCCCCAAAGGTGGAGCCTACAGAGGCAGGCAGGCCTCCTTGAGCTGTGGTGGGTTCCACCCAGTTCGAGCTTCCTGGCTGCTTTGTTTACGTAAGCAAGCCTGGGCCATGGCAGGCACCCCTCCCCCAGCCTCGCTGCCGCCTTGCAGTTTGATCTCAGACTGCTGTGCTAGCAATCAGTGAGACTCCGTGGGCGTAGGACCCTCTGAGCCATGTGCGGGATATAATCTCCTGGTGCGCCGTTTTTTAAGCCCGTCGGAAAAGCGCAGTATTCGGGTGGGAGTGACCCGATTTTCCAGGTGCCATCTGTCACCCCTTTCTTTGACTAGGAAAGGGAACTCCCTGACCCCTTGCACTTCCCGAGTGAGGCAATGCCTCGCCCTGCTTTGGCTCGTGCATGGTGCGCTGCACGCACTGTCCTGCGCCCACTGTCTGGCACTCCCTAGTGAGATGAACCCGGTACCTCAGATGGAAATGCAGAAATCACCCGTCTTCTGCGTCGCTCACGCTGGGAGCTGTAGACCGGAGCTGTTCCATTTCGGCCATCTTGGCTGCCTTCCCCAATTTTTTTTTTCTTACTGTGAGTATGTGGTAGTAAAAAGTACAGTGATCTCTCAGGTGTAGTGATGCATGCCTCTAGTCCCAGCTGAGCAGGAGACTGAGGCAGGAGGATTGTTTGAGCCCAGGAGTTCAAGGCTGCAGCAAGCTATGATCATGACAATATTCTCCAGTCTGGGCAACTTAGCAAGACCCCATCTCAAAAAAAAAAGTACAGTGACTACTAGCACAGTATGGTGCCACTGCCTTGATTCCATGATAACATGCCAGCGGTTTTGCCTACCATTACTTTCAACCTATGAGTACAAATGCCAACATAGTCTTCTCTTATTGTTATTATTACTGCCACTATTAACTATGAAAGTGGTTTTTACCTTAAGGAGCACCCCTCTGCCCCTGCCTAAAGTGTATTAGGACGTTTTCTCTAAGGTAAGGCAGTGGATGTCTAACATGGGATAAATTTCAATTACTCACATTATCCTAGGGGTAAAATGAAAACCCAAAGGGCCAAATATAGTAGATTATTTACCTGGAAATTGATATATTCGATCTAAGAAAGCTAGCCTAACTAATACTTTGATCAGGTCCTGTGAGCCTTTGTCTAATGTTTACGTGTGGTAAAGTTTAAGCATTAAGAAGTGTTTTTTAGACAATGGAGCAGATTTGAGGCTTGACGGCAGCATGGGATTCCCTCAATGTCTTACTGGGTTTAAGCTGATGATGAAGAATTGAACACCAGGAGGAAGGAGCAAGGGGGTTCTGCAGGGAAAAGGTGGAGAGGATGCGAGTGATAAGGCAGGAGAGGTGAAAGATGTCACTGTGAAGTGAAACTGGTCCTAGTAAGGACATGTCCACAGGGGTCAGTGAAGGAGGAAGGAGATGAAGAGGTGAGTGGGCACTGGTGAGGCAGAGAGCAAAGTGATGAACAGGACATGTAGAAAATGGAGACCTGGAGAGTAAGAAGAGAAAGGACAATGAGACTCAAACATACAGAAGGACAGGGGCATGCACTGACAAAAACATCAGACCCTCCTCCAAGAGCCACGTCTCCAATGACAGCAGCAACAGAACGACCTCAGACAGGCTGTGGGTGGAGGTGGGAAACAGGTCCATCTTACCTTGCAAGGGGACAGGGCTTGAGTAAAGAATAGAAGATGGAAAATTAACTCCGTACAGAACACACGTTGGAAACGAGCAGCGGAGAGAATGCCTAAATCCAGAAAAGTGCAAAGAGGCCAGGGGACATCATCAGACACAGAACTGGACCTTGGCTCTGCTGGGGATCTGCATTCACTCTGCCCAGAACAATTCCACCACTCAGCTAAGGGCCCGTTCTCAATGTATTCTGGGTGTTAGCAGCAAATCTTGGGCTCTAATATTCTGAATGAAAATGTTTTCAAAGCTACTCGGCCCACAGTCAATCTACCGAGGCTGCCTTTTTGATAGGAGGTAAAGGCATTATTACTGCTCTCATCTCTTGGTCTTAGAACCTAGCATAACTGAAGACTTGAAGAATGAATAGCCACGAAGCATATGGGACACAGCTGAAAACTCTATGGCTGCCTCTAAACTCTTTAATACCCAAAGGTTTCTTTCTCTCCTCCAGCAGACCAAAGGATCACATACCATCATGTAGCGAATAGGAGTGCAAATTGTGTCCTTCTTAGCATACCGAGTCCATGCTAAGAAGGACACGATTTGTACTCTTCTATTTGTGGCTCCAGTTTATCAGTATTTCAGAATCAAGGATAAGAAAGTGTCCACCCAGAGGAGGTACAGTGCCTAGTCAAGAAAGCGAAAGACACAGAATATGTTTATGTTCACAACAACTTTAGAGAAAGTTTAGGGAATGTTAGAGAGATTTGTAAGAATGAAGGGGGTGGGATAATTGTTTTTAAAGACATTTGGCAAAAGAAAAACAAAATGTTTATGTTGCTGAAACAAACCTTTTGGTATTGGGTGGAAAATAAAATTGAGAAGATTTGGCTAAGAGAAACGGTATCCAGTCTACAAATTATCTCGAGGTTTATTATTAATATATTAAGAGCTCAACTTGGAGTCATAATGAACACCTGAGAAACAAGCATATTCCTCTTCAGACATATCTGAGACATAGAAGTTTGCTGCAGATTTAAATAGGACAGTAATAAAAGGAATTCTTAAAAAATTATTATAAGATGTTGGTGGATTCTGATAAAGAACTGTAAAACCACTCAAAACATTTTGTTTACTGCGTTTGGCCAAAACGCTTTGTACACTGACTGTATAGAGCTGTCAATAAATGTACATTTCTCAACAGTTTCATGGGTTGGGCCAAGTTAACCGTCTAGGCAATTTTTGTGCCAAGGTTTTTATACGTTTCAAAAAGGAAAAAAAAAAAACCCTCATTTCAGATAATTTGTTCTTTATTCACACCAGAAACAATTGGTTACAAAGGCTGAATTTCCCCCAAATATGTAGCTGTTCATTTCACGCAAGAGTCTTTTGAACAAAAATAATCCTCTGTCTCAGTTGGTGAGTTCTGTTCTGATAAGGCAAGTAAATACATGTAATTATAAAGTTACCATTTTCAAAGAGGAGAATAATCCTTTCCTTATCCACTGGTGAAACAGCTTGTAATTATTATACAGCTGAGAACAAAGATTTGTCCACAAAATCCCACTACATCAAGCCTGATTTGATTGATTAAAACTTTTCTCATCAGGATATTTTTAATACATTGTGGGTGGGCAACAGAATCTTTAAAATGTGGGCTGCATATTAGAGAGACTGATGGCAAGGACCCTGGATCTTCTGAATGGTCACCAAACAAACAAGAAGGCCACTTACTTTATTCACAGGAAATAGGTAGTAGTTACAAAATGTGCCACTGGGTTTTGAAATGTCTGTTATCTGGATCACTGAAAATCTCACAGTTCTTCAGACTGTGATAAACATGTGGCAGCGTGCCTGAAACTTAGAAAGTACTTAATAAATATTAGCAATAAAAATTATGTACCATTGTAATCCAGTCTCTGGTAACATTTTTCCATCACATCTCATTTTTAGTGTCACTTGGCTTTGTAATAGCTACTGGGATGATGGAGACCCGTTTTCACCTCACTCTCCCTAGCTAGACAATGGTGTGTGTTGTGGGAGTCTGAGCCAATTTTAATATTGATATGAATAAAGAACCTTGAGAAATTCATCCATCAAAACAGAGTATAGTGTAATGTCAGGTCAAATAGAAACTACCACTAAAAGCGTCCAAAATGTTTCCATCTCTTTGTACCACTTTATCTTTCTTTGTTCTTGTAGACAAATGAAGACTTGCTCTGTTTAGAAAAAAAAAACAGAAGGAACCAAATCATACTCTAAGGTTGGATAAACTACAACTAAATGTAGAGAAAATTGTGAGAGAATAAGAATTTATGTTTTGACATAGAGGAAAGCAAATGAAAAATTTAGATGGAAGATAAAAGACATTTCGCAAAGGTCCCTGTAGTTGGCAACTTTTTCTCCACTGGAAGTACTGAGAACCACTATTTGTGACAAGATATTTTTGGTTTTGGTTGGTTTTTCATTTTCACTGAGCTATCTTTGAAAACCACAGTTCTGCATGTGGTTTATGAAGGGCCTTTAAAATGACCATAACTTCTCCATTTGTCTGTCACATCTCTCCTTGGATGGCCCCCTGTATTCATACATCTTTCTCCACATGCACTCTCTCCAGTGTTGCAGCTTCATCTCTGATCCTCTCCCACGCTCTCTATTGAGTTCCCTTTCTGACTTTCCCAAGTCCATCAACTATGCCATCATTCTTCTGGTTCACAGATTTAAATTCCTTAGATTCCCCTTGTTGTCTCATCTCCTTTTCTCTCTGCTCTTGCCTCCATACCACTTTATATCTGTGGCAATTCTGCTTGGGTTTTTGGTTCTGCCTAATGTCATTGACTCGGTACCTACTCAGTTTTCCCACTCTGTTCTTTTAGCCGTAACATATTGCTGCAAAGCCATTACTCTCTCCAGGACATCCTTCTGATCTACCCAGGTCCTGGGCTTCAGTTTTTACCTCTGTTACGACCCCAATACCAACTCTCAGGTATGGATGATGACTTACTTGATGACTGACTTCTGATCCTCTACCCACTCCTTCCTTCTTCCTTTGCAATGATTCAATTCTTACCTATCCTCCAGACTCAACTTGGAAATTCTCCTTTTATACTACTTCTTTGCTAACTCACATCTCTAAATCTACTATAACTATAATAGTCCATGTTGAATAAGCATAAAAGTGGGTTATGCCAATGAAAGTGAGCAGAGCTACACTAGGCACTGACTTTTGTCCCTTAAAGGGACACATTATTAGGAGTCTGCATTTCCTTAGTCTAAAAAGCATTGGCTTGATTTGCATTTAGTTCCCTTTATGGATAATACCTTCTTCAAATTTCTGCATTGTTTCACCTATGATCAGTGCCAAGAATACAGTTATAACAGAATGCTTCATCTTCCCTTTATTAGGCATGGTCAATACAATGTTGGGATAGGTCTTGTCTTGCTATGGGTCTGCTCCATTCACAGAAATCACACATATGAATATTAGTGAGTATCCCTGGTAGTTTCATGTTGAGTGTGAGACCCTGTATCTATCCGAGGACGTTTATCACACAAGATGCCAATTCCCACAAGAGGAAGAAAAGGACACCAGCTAGGACTCCAGAAATGTCCAAAGCTCTCTTGCTTTTTCTCTCTTGATAAAGATCCCAGATTCTTACGGTAAGAGAGGAGCTATAATAGTGGAAAGAGGGTAGTGGCTAAGAAGGGTCACTATGTATATTTTTCTTTGCATAAATTTGGAAGGCAGTGCCCTCTTTGATCTCATCCTGAGCTATCACATTCAATTCCTTCATGATACAGTGGACATTGTGAAGTTATCAATATTTCTGAAGATTCAGCAAACCAGTCTGGTGGCTGTCTGGGATCCCCTGATGGCTACTTTTACTAAGATAGAAGCAGGTCCTATTAGCAGATAACACTTGTTACCATTTTATAGATATTGTCTTATGTTGTTAGTTTTTTCCATTTTATTTTCCCAGCCATCTAGTAGCTGACATTTTTTTTTACATCTCTCTTGATCCTCCTTAATGCCTAAAGTTCATTGACCTGCATGCACATGGTATTTACTAATATACTAATTAACTAATTAAAAAACCACAGGCATAAACCTTGGAAGTACATTTAGTTAAAAGATTCAAATCTGATCATCTAACAAATTTAGAAATGTCAAATCTTCTTCTTAGTATCTCAGATAGACCTCTGATGCAATCAGCAGAGAATATTAAGGAAAATAATCTTGAATGTGGTATTTTGCATATTTCAGCATGAATATCATCTGCGTATTATAAAAATCACTTAATTCTTCTGGAATACTAAGCAGAGTATGAAAATAAAAGATGCACTCCTTTAAATCTTTTGGGAAAAATTTAAGGCAGGGTAACTAGCTTTTCTCGAAATGTATGAATAACTAATAAATTGTGGGCCTCTGTGACAACTCAGGCACAGAAAGGATCCCCAGAAAGAATGGGTCAATCGTAGTGTGCATTCATTTCTAGTTATTTCCAGTGACAAACAATAATATAATTGGCTGATAGAGACCTTTCCCCCTTTAAGAACAGGAGAAGAGTTGACTCTTAAAATCTGAGGGTCTCTGATCACTTTGACCCTGAAAACAGTCTGACATCAACATTTTAATCAGAAATACACCAATACTGATGCACTCATTGACTCCTTGATCAATTTTTTTTCATTGTAGCTTTGTCACTTATTTTCCTTTTATTACTTTTATTGGGATCAATTATGCTGCATTTACACTTCTAAGAAGATTTAATTCATCAGTATGTTTTAATGTTCATATTAGGCTTTGCTGACTGGCGTGTCTGCCATTTTCATTTTTCCTTTGTGATTATTATTTCTATTAAGTCCATATTGTGCAGATCTAAACATGTGAGGCAGACAGTCTCAGGGAAGGAAAGAGAAAGGAGAGTGGCAGAGAGTGGAAGAAGAAAGAGATACAAAGAGAGAGGCAAGCACAGAGAACAACACAGGCTACAACTGTTTGGGAGTCTTCATGTCAAAGGATGGGGGTACACCAGCAGAGTCAAAATATCCTTGGACTTTTTCTTGAGAAGGTCTCCAGGGAATTATGGCTGCAACACAGAGCTTGGGAAAACTGAGCTGTTCCAAGAATGATACTGTAAATGATATGGCTTGCCTCTGTGTCCCCACCCAAATCTCATCTTGAATTGTAATAATCCCCACGTGTTGTGGGCAGCACCCTGTGGAAGATAATTGAATCATGGTGGTGGGTTTTTCCCATGCTGTTCTCCTGATAGTGAATAAGCCTCACAAGATCTGGTAGTTTTACAAAGGGGAATTCCCCTACACATGCCCTTTCTTGCCTGCCACCATGTAAGACGTCCCTTGCTCTTCCACCACGATTGTGAGGCCTCCTCAGCCATGTGGAACTTTGAGTCAATTAAACCCCTTTCCTTTATCAATTACCCAGTGTTGGATATGTCTTTATTAGCGGCGTGAGAACAGACTAATACAGTAGATGTTGACTCAGTGGGGCTGCTTGAGTATAGTAATCTGAGTTTGTTGATGAAGTGTACAAGACTTTTGGATAGTTATCATATTAAAGTGTCTGTTATTCAGGTGGATAATGAGGTCGGAGATCGAGACCATCCTGGCTAACACGGTGAAACCCCGTCTCTACTAAAAATACAAAAAAAAAAAAAAATTAGCCGGGCGTGGTGGCGGGCGCCTGTAGTCCCAACTACTTGGGAGGCTGAGGCAGGAGAATGGCGTGAACCTGGGAGGCGGAGCTTGCAGTGAGCCGAGATCGCGCCACTGCACTCCAGTCTGGGTGACAGAGCGAGACTCCGTCTCAAATAAATAAATAAATAAAGTGTCTGTTACTGCTGTTACTATGGTGATTCTCAGAGTATGGTCCACAGAACTGACTTTCTCACTCCTTTGTGTTTTTTCTTGGTCCCTCTGAGACCTTCTAGCCTCTCAGGAAGGCCATCCTGATCCCACGGTGTTCCTTAAAAGTCCAGATCCCATAGGTAGCCAACCTAATTAGCTTACCTAATAGCCACTGCTCCCATTGTTCACAGCCCATCCAGCCAAGCCTTGGGGTTAGGGTCTTTGAAGAGGCCCAACAGATCCTTTTCCACCTGGGTTCTGATCCCAGTAAGAAATAAAATAGACTGAGGAAACAAAAGTATTACCTTCATCACCAAAGAAAAAAGAAGTAGTTGGAGGATGCACCTTATTGTGTGACCACCAGTGAGCTTCCTTACTCTAAGCCCCAGAATTAGGCAGCTTTGTAAACCCAGTCACAGGCTCCACTAGACTTCAGTGTACCTTCCATCCCAGGGTGGAACCCAAGGAGCAGAGGATGACCTGGACTCACTCTGAGTGGCATATCCCTAAAAGGAAGGCCAGAGGAAGGGGCGGGACTACCCATGCCAACTTTCTCCATTCAAATATTCAGTCAGCTCCCTACACCATCACCACTCCCGGATGGAGCCAGTGATAGGCAAAGAGAACAGGAGGGGTTACACTAATGACTGTCCCTCTGCATGGAAGGAAACATCCCCCAGTGCACATCACAGGTCTTATCTGCCCCAGGAGTGGGCTGCCTTTGGTCGGGTAGCTGCCCCACTCTAGGCAGTGGTCATCCCTTCAGGAACAAGAGCCTGAAGTTGCTTCCCTGAGCAGCAGCTGTGGGTGTGGCCATTTTTATAAGGAGAGGTTTTAAAACTGGGCAGGTACCAGGACTCGCATATCCTAAGTGCTGCCTTATAGTGTCAGAACACCACTGCGTGCTCTCGGGTATCTTCTGAGTGACTAGTCAGTTCATTTCTTCCTGACTCAATTTCCACTTGAAAGTCATATTTGATGAGCCATCAAAAAGAGCGAGCGAGCACATTGCTATCAGGACGAGACTTACAGGTGATTCAGTCTGTAGTGTCTTATAGACGCTAAGTGTGTCCCGCTGAGACTCTTCCAGAGAGCGCCACCTTGAGGCTGTCCTGAGGCAGAACTACCTATGGGGAAAGACTTCATGAGAAATGTTTCAGATGAGGGAAGACAGCTTTCATCTCATGCCACCTTCTCTTTATTGGCAGTGGCTGCCTGAGCAGTGCTGTGCCAAGAAAGATTCTGAGGCTATATCCCAGCTCAGTGGAAAAAGAGTTCTATGATCTTTCCAGCCACACATGTGGGAAGGGGTGGAGGGAGTGGAAATTCGAGCCAATATTTGCCATTGTCAATTCAAAGAGACCATAGGTGGGTTTTTTTCTCCTAGATATATAGCTGCTTACCACTATATCAAGTCAGAAGTAGGGACTGCAAGCTGGGAAACACCAGATGAAGATGATTCTTGTCTTCACCTGACCCTTTAGCCACAAGGCCAGAAATTTGGATTGTATAGAGCAAAGGTCTACAAACTTTTTCTGTAAAGGGCAGGATTTTAGGCTTTGTGTCTGTATATTCCCTGTTGTGATTACTCAGCTCTGCCATTGTAGTGTTGAAGCAGCAGTAGACAATAGGTAGAGGAATGGACATGGCTGTGTCACAGTAATCTTTTTTTAACAAAAACAGATAGTGGAACAGATTTGGTCCGTGAGCTATAGCTTGCAGATCCCTAGTGTAGAAAAGAGGCCAGCAGCAAGACCTAGAATTCTGGAAAATCCTCACGTTATCTCTATCTAAATCTCCCTTCCCCTAAGCTCTGAAATGTCTCGTGAGAGTCAAGTAAGAATTTGGCAGGCAATATTAAGCTCTGAGAATCTGACTTCTTCCCAAGGAAAATATTAGCAATGAGGTCCACTCAGTCATTTCCCCACGTAAGGACAGAATCACACTGAGTGACACAGTGATGAATGTGATTCTGTCCTAGGCAGTAATGGTGGACCAAAGTCAGCATTTTCGACAAAAGTCTCACACTGTTAAAATTACCTTTGAAAATTTCTTAAATCATCCGTAAATTAGAGTATGCATGGCTTGAAAGCTAGGAGGAAGATTCAAGGAAAGCATGAAAGGTAAATTCACATGCAGATGTTTGGGTGTATAAAACATCCCTTCTTTAAAAGAATTGTCTTATCCCTAGCAGATGATGGCAGGTGAGCACAGAAGTGTAAGGTGTTCTTGCTTGCCAGAGGGTTCATTCCATTCTTGTTTAATATTAAGGCTCCTTTAACTTTGGTTTAGTATCTATGTTGCTTTTTTTCAAGGGTTAACGTAATTGAAAGCATAAGCACGTAGCATCAGCTCTCAGTGAATATGTTAGACTTGATCCTAAACCTTGCTTGCATGATCATAGCACATACACACCATTCTTTGAAACCGTGTAGAGAAGAACTTAGCCATTGGCTTCCTGCCACTGGAGCTGGGGGCTCCTGCTGTGATGGTCCGAATAACTATCACATTCACACCTCGAGTGTTGATTTCTTCTTACTGTGCGAGAAGAAATCATCGAGGAGATTAGGTGTGGATACAATACAGCCACACAGAATATCTTATGTCATCTTTAATCTTCATAAAATGTTAGGGGTACAAAGCATTTAGATATGATTCACATTCAAGGAGAAATCTAAAGCCTCAAAGCTGCAGTAACTTCCCCAGGTTGTTCAGCTACTTGGGAACAGAACCGGGTTTAAAATCTCAGCTTCTTCCTCTGCAAAATGGAATAAAAATAGGGCAACTCTATAAGGTTGCTGTAAGGAGCAGATGAGTTTTTAAATAATTTGCAATAGTCCTTGGCTCAGTAAATGTTAGCTATCCTTATTATTATCTAAACCCTTGTCAGTATCTCGACTGAGGCCACATGGATGGCCAATGCTGTTGGCTGCCAAGCACGGTGCTAGGTATTAGGCACATATCATCTCAAAGAAATAAGAGCTGCTGACATAGCAGAAGTTTTGCCTCTGATTCTCAATGAATTATTCTGTTTCTGACATAAAGTAACAAGGCAAAAGAGACATGAAAAGTTATCTAAATTTACAGGTCACCAAGAAAATGGACCTCCTCTATCTAATTGCCACTTGAAAGGAGACTAAGGAAGGAGGTGCAAGGGTACAGGAGCAGTGGACATTTGAGGAGGAATTTGCTGCTTTAGAGAATTTGGCTTGTTTCCACTGAATTCCCCTCTCCCAGTGGGGAGAAAAAAACTCAGTTACTTCCAGCAGAGGGGCTGAAATACTTTAGGCTTTCGAGGCCATGCTGTCTGTGCCACAGCGACTGACTCCTCCCATTGCAAAGCGCAAACAGCCACTGATGAAGCAAATCAGTTTGGCTATGTTCCACGAAAAAGTTATTTATGGATGCTGGAATTTGAATTTCATGTAACTTTCATGTATCATAAAATGTTCCTGTGATTTTTTCCTCCCAGCTATTTGAAAATGTAAACCCTATTCTTAACTTGCAGGTGATACAAAAAGAGGCAGCTGGCTCAATTTTGCCCAAAAACTAGAACTTGCCAGCCCTGACTCAGAGCACTAGACCAAGAATCAGACCTGTCAGGGTTAACTGGTTGTTTGATCCAAGCAAATTGTCTGACATCTCTGGGCCTCATTTTCCTCTAGTGAATTCCTTCTAGCACTTAAAGGCCAGCTGCGTGGTTATGTGGCTTTACCCTCAGGTGAACCTGGGTTCAAGTCCTGGCTCAGCCTCTGACTTGCTGGGGATGTCGGGCCAGTTCCGAAGCCTCCCAGTGTTTTTGTTGCCTCTCCTGTAAAATGGGGATTAAAATGATGTTGACTGCAGGGTTGCTCTGAGGATTAAGTTTCATGATACTTGTAAATCCCTTAACTCATGTATCCAACAAACATTTGTTGCACCTAATATGTACTCAATAAGTGCTAACTACTGTATTCTTTTTTAAAAAACTGAATTCCTATTAAAATAATAACTTTTAAATTACAGTTTCTACATATTTCCAGACTGGAAAATGATTTTCTTCACAGCCTTATGATAAAAGGCAGGAGGCGTCTGCACCTTGCGAACAAAATCCTGTACCATGTGCCCACTACCTTTATTTTCTCTTGTGTGTAATAAAAGCGAAGAAGAAATTTTGATAAATTAACCTTGCATCTTTGTTTACAGCTCTCTTACTCCACCCAGTGGCAGAAAGTCACTGGTAACATGCCAAGGAGGTCACGAATTTTTAACATTTTAATAATTGTTATTATTTATAATATCCCCTAGTAGTAGAGCAAGATTTCATTTTAAACTCATTCCCCTTTGATTTTCCATTTTTAAGGCCTGCAGTGGGTAGATAACCATTTAGCTGAGTGGCTCTCAACAAGCAGATATTAAGAAGTGCCTGAGGTTCCACCAGCATGAGTTGATCAGTTATCTGTACAGGTGGTTATTAAAAGTGTTGTCCTGAAGGCTCATTAAAAAGCAATGTAGCATTTAATAAATATTAGAACATGTCAGTAGCACCATTTAAATGTGGGAAGGAGATCAATTTCCTTTGTAATTCTGTGCACAGGCATAAACACTCTTTAGAACACTTAATTCCATGTCAGAGTTTAAAGCAGCTATGATAATTTCTATTTAGAAGTAAAGGCAGGGAGAGGGTTGGGGAATAGATGTCAGACACTTGGTGAATTAAGAAGAAAATAACCTTAAATACTCAAATAATATCATTTTGCAAAAAAGGAATGCAGAAACTCACAGTCATTTCCAAGGCTTCCTCTAATTCTTTTCTTCCTTTTCTTTTTCAATAACCTGTTTCCACTCTCTGCTGTTTTACTTTTATTTTATTTTATTTTATTTTATTTATTTATTTATTTATTTTGAAAATAGAAGTGGGTCTCACTCTGTTGCCCAGGCTGGAGTGCAGTGGTGCAATCACAGCTCACTGCAGCCTTGACCTTCTGTGCTCAAGCGGTCCTCTGACCTCAGCCTCCTGAGTAGCTGGGACTACAGGCCACCATGCCCAGCTGGTTTCCTTTTAATCCCTCTTCTCTGCGTGTCCCCACCTCCCCTTCCAGTTGTTCCCTCAACAGGAAGGAGGAAGCAAGTGGTAGTTAACGACAAGGGCAGGGTCAGTGGGCAGTAGAGCTATGCCTTCAAGGAGAAACCAGGTTGAATGCTGCAAAGAGATGGTGCCAGCATCAGGGTAGGGGCTGGTGTGGAAGGCACTTGGCAAACTCATTTTTTTCCTTTACTTTCTCTTATTCTCTACCTGTCTTTTTTCTTATGTCTGTTCCTTTTTGAGCTATTCCCCATGACTCTGTCTCTTGTCTCTCTCTTCATTTGTCTCTCTCTCTATCTCCCTCTCTCTCTCTCTACCCCCCTTTCCCCTTCTGTAACAAGTTTCTACCTGGTCATGATGGCTCTGCATATGACCCATTTCTCATAACAGATGAGCTTCATATTTGAATATGAGAATCCCTTCAAAAACTGCTTAGTTCTGAGCATGCCTAGTATATGCTTAATAATTAAGGTGGTAATTAAAGTGTAACTGCAAGTATAATTAAAATTCACTTTTGTGGATCCTAGAATTATGAAGCAATTAGGCATTTTCACATGGCACTGAAGGAGCAGCTGGGAGGAGAGAAGGGTTGTGGTTTTCTGGGAAACTGCTCCGTCCCCTTTCTTCCCTGGCCCTGTCCACCAGTGTTAGCCTGGAGCAAGGCCTCACTTGACTGGGGCACTTGAAGCTGCTACAGGTTGGGAGAAGTGGTAACAGCTTGGAGTCCTCACTCAGGGCAGTGAGCACAGCCAGCTCTTCCTGGGCCCTTCCCAGCAAAAGGAGCCACTCCCAAAACCCCTAGGTAACTGTGAGAGGACTCCAAAAAAAAAAAAAAAATCCCTCCTGATTGCACCTTGAGCAGTTTGCGGTATCTATTTCAACCCTATAGGAAAGGGTTGTTAGGACAGCAAGGAGATCTATCAAAAAGTACCCGCCCACTCCTCTTCTCGTCAAGCACACTTTGTATGTGGGAATCCATCTGGAGTTACCCCGTCGGTCAGCACGTACTGCTAGCTAACGGATATTGGGAGGTATCCAGTAAGCAAGTCTGACAAAGGAAAGTGGATGTTTAGAGGGGACGAGGGAAGCATCAGTAAGTCATCCCAATAAGACTTCATCCATGGTAAGATTTTAGAAATACAAGGTGCTCCAGAAGTTCATTGTACCAGCCCCTGCTTTAGTTGGGGCATGGGGAGGTGGTGATTAGAAAGATATCCCCAAAGAAATACCATTTAACAGATGCCTTGTGAATGAATGGGTGTCAGCCCAGTGGAGAGAGGTGTCAGCCCAACAGAGCTCTGGGTGGAAAGCCCAGCAAGGGCAGTGGCCCAGCACATCTTTGTGCTCATGAATTTCTAAATCATTTCTTTTCCCTTGGGAATACTGGTGCTAAGTTGGGTGCAAAAGAGGATATTAATTAAGGAACTAAATTATTTAGATTACTTGGTTGCAAGGAAGCACAACTCATTAAAGTTATCTCAAAAAATTAAGAAGATCAAGAGCTCATTTCATCCATACACATGCAAAGGAACTCAGGTAAAACTGAATAAGAAGTTATCTGAATAAGTGGGAACCGTGATAAAAAACTAGTCTCCAGAAAGAGCAGGATCTGAAATGGAGGAAGACATCAGGAGCGCCACTCCTGCACCTATCTGGAGGTCTTAGAGCTGCATTGAGATTGGAAGGTGCTCAAAAGAAGAAAGGAAGAGGAAGAAGGGCCTAGTCTACGTCTCTGCAGGAGGAGATAGAAATTTACACATGGGGTACGGTGGCTCATGCTTCTAATCCCAGACTTTGGGAGGCCGAGGCAAGTGGATCACTTGAGGTCAGGAGGTTAAGATCAGCCTGGCCAACATGGTGAGACCCTATCTCTACTAAAAATACAAAAATTGGTTGGGAGAGGTGGCCACTGCCTCTCATCCCAGCTACTCAGGAGGCTGAGGCAGGAGAATTGCTTGAACCAGGGAGGTGAAGGTTGCAGTGAGCTGAGATCACGCCACTGCACTCCAGCCTGGGTGACAGAGCAAGACTCTGTCTAAAACAAAATTTACACGTGTAACTGTCATTTACCTTCTGGTCCAAAGACTGGTTTGCTCCTGTGTCCATCAGGGCTTTTGTTTCACACTCTGTCATTACTCCATGAAAGCCATGCTTTGATTAGTTTCTAAATTCCTTAGCCTGCTATCTAACACCTGCCACAGTCAAATGAATCAAAGTGCACGCAGGTTGTGTTAATGAAATAATACATTTTTACATCTGTGTTACTTACCTATCAGCACTTAACAAATTACCCCAAAATGTAGCAGCTTAACAAAAAGAACAGTTATTATCTCACAGTTTCTGTGGTCAGGAATCTGGGTGTGGCTTAGGTGGATCCTCTCACTCAGGGTCTCTCACAAGGCTGCAATCACAGTGTCAGCCGAGCTGTAGTGATCTCAAGGCTTGACTAGGGAAGAATTTGCTTCCAAGATCCCTTATATGGTTCTTGGCCAGATGCACTTCCTCCTTGGCTATTAGACCCAGAGCCTCAGTTCCTCATCAGCCGTTGGCCAGAGTTTGCCCTCAGTTCCTTGCCCAGGTGAGTCTCTCCAGAGGGCAGCTCATAGCAGGGTAGTTTGCTTCATCAGAGTGAAAAAAGAGTTAAAGGGAGCAAGACTGAAGCCACAGGCTTTTGTAACCTAGTCTCAGAAGTGACACTCCATCACTTTTGCCATGTTCTTATCTATTAGAAGTAAGGCTGTGGGTCCAGATCATACTCAAGGGGGACGGATTCTACAAAGATGTGACTACCAGGAGGCAAGAGTGATTGATCTTTGAAAACCATTTTAGAAGCTGCCTTCCACAGCATTTACAAAGTCATATGTTAGTCAAAATAATGCTAGCTCCTGTAACAACAGAAAAATGCAGAAATTTCAGAGTCTTAACATTATAGAAGGGTCTTTCTCATTCCCATAAGGTCTAAGAGGGTGAGTGGGTAAGATGCTTGGCTCCAGAGAGTTATTAAAGTATCCAGGCTGAAGGAGTCATTGCCATCTTCAAGAAGTGATTTGGCTGGGTGCAAGGGCTCATGCCTGTAATCCCAGCATTTTGGGAGGCCACGGCAGATGGAGTCCTTGAGTTTAGGAGTTCAGGACCAGCCTGGGCAATGTGGAAAAACCCCATCTCTACAAAAAATACAAAAAATAGCTGGGCGTGGTGATGTGTGCCTTTAGTCTCAGCTACTTGGGAGGCTGAGGTAGAAGGATCACTTGGGCACCGGAGGCTGAGGCTGCAGTGAGCTGAGATCACACCACTGCACTCCATCTTGGGTGACACAGCGAGAGCCTATCTCAAAAACAAAAAGCAAGACAAAACACAACCAGAACCAAAAAGGTGACTTCCAGGGCTGCCCCAGCTAGGAACACTCCAGAAAGCAGACAAGGAAAACCGAGTGTGAAGAGTCCCTTTGGAGATTGTCATGGCCATGTGACATTCCTTTGGCCTGAACTCAGTCACATGTCCCCTTCGAGATGCAGGGGGGCCTGGGAAATGTAGTTTCTGGCTGGGCAGCTGCTTTCCAGCAATAGCACTCTACTGCAGAAGAGGAGCAGGAGTCTGTGGTGCAAAGCCAGCCAGGCCTGCCACAGATACTGCACCATTTACAAAAATGCTTTTACACTCATTTCATTTGCTTCTCATCACAATCTATACCATCAGCTATACTGTCCTCATTTTTCAAGTAGGTAAGCAGACTAGCATATCTTTAGAACATGCAGCGTTTATAATTACAGAGAACAGTTCAAGTCCCATCTCTGACACTTACCGCCTCTGTGACCATGGAAAAGTTATTTAACTTCTCTGTGCCTCAGTTGCCTTATCTGTAAAATAGGAACAATAGGACTACTCATAGTTTTTGTAAAGATTTCATATGCTGTGTATAAGTTACTTAGCACTGTGCCTGGCATACATAAGCACTTAATGATATTAGTTCTTGGGAAGATTACGAGGATGATAGTGCTCTGTATGGAAACAAAAGTTAAGGCTCAAAGAAGTTAAACGATTTACCCAAAACTACATAACAAGTACATGGCAGAGCCAGCATGGAGATTTTAGGTAGCAGCTTCCCACATTTTATGCTTTCACCTTCCAGAGAGGACTTTCACCAGCTTCCTCTGTAAAAACAGGAGTAGGTGAGCCTTAAGGTGAAGACACAGTGCCAAGCGGCCATCTTCACTGCTGCTTGGGTAGACCCAGGGTCCCAGGGGAATCAGTGCTGCATCATCTTTTCAATCCACCCATTTCTATTTAATCCAGCATTTGCCTCTTTATATGAAATGTGCTGACCCAGTGCCTCTTTTTATCTGCACTCTTTGTGGTAAGGCAAGTTCTCCAAGGCCTATATTTCAAGGTCTTTGTTTATAAATAGGCTCTGTCTTGCCAACTAGATAAAAGCACAGGAAATGATGTAGGATGAGATATTTCATTAGACACTTAAATTCTATTACATTTCTCCTACAGGAGTTGTTCACTCTAAAATGGCAGAAAAGCAGTTCTCATGTTAAATAGTCCCCAAGCACACCTTTGAATGAAGTGACTTGGCCAGAAGATACTCCAGATCCACCAGGAACAGTCAAGAGATTGCCATCAGAGGCTGCTTTGCCCGTTTTGAAGGGCTCAGCCCATTTCATTTTATAGAGTGAGGAGAAGGCAGAAATGGACATGCTGGATGCGCCAGAGTCTCCAAAGCAGTGGATTTGTGGACATAGCTGGGCAGATTCTCGGAACTTCCTTTCTCAAATCAGGTCACAGCCCAAACCCCTGATGACGTCTGAGAGGGCTTTAAGACAAGTGACTTCTGGTGTGGGCCAAAACCGCATTAAATCCACATGGCTGTGATTATCAGCAGACAACTCAGCTTCCATCAGTAAAATATGTTCATTTCCCTCTTGCAAGCCCTTGCTTTCATCTTCTTTTCTAGCTGGACCACAGCTTGAGATAAATTTCATCACATAATCTTTTCTGTCAGTGACCTTGATGAGAACCTATATTTAATTCATTTCCTAGTGAAAAGCTGTAGACAGGTGAGTCTTGTGTGTCCTTGTGCAAACTTCATAAGGCGCCACCTCTAGTTTCATTCAGTGATTGTTCCCTGTCCCCCTTCTAGGAACCAACGTCCAAGAGGCCCAGAAGATACTCAACAACAGCGGACTCCCCATTACTTCAGCCATTGACCTGGAGGATGCAGCCAAGAAGGCTGTGGCCAGTGTGGCCAAGAAGTGATGTCTTTGTCCTGATCCAATGGAGAAAGAAAGCCATTTTTCCGTAAAAAGGGATGGTTCATCATTGTGAAAGAAATGGTTATCTCATTGGGGAAGAAAAGGGGAGGGGGAAGGCAAGAATCACTGAAAAATCTTAAATCTGTGTTTTCTGGAATAAGATATCTAGACAGCCTAAATCTGATTTTGGTCTTTATAAAAATAATATCTTGTGTTCTCATACTTTTCTGTCACTGTAAGCCTGCCCAGTAGGCAGTGTTTTGCAGACTTTGGGGAGTGGTCTATGTGGCCAAATATTGTGTGTATAGACAGAATTTGAAATCAAGTCCTGCTTCATTTACAAGAATTTTGGTGGGCATCTAATCCTACATAATGAAAAAGAAAAACAGACCATTTAAAAACTCAGACAAGATTATATTTAATATATTAATTACTAAAAAGGCATAAGATTACACTGAACATATTAGCTACTAAAAAGGCACTGCTAAGACATTCAAGCAAATAGCTATTACACACTACTGCAGATTTTACAGGTTTCTAATTCTAACATATGTTTGAAAAATCCGTGAGTATTCCAAAATATATTTAATAATGGAATATCTGCATTAATATACCATCCATGTGTTTTTACCATTTGCCTTAATATTGAATATACTGTTTACCTCACACTAAAAAGAAAACCAGAAGCCTTATTTGTGATTTTGGGAGTGGAAGCTTCCATTTTTGTGTCAAAAATGAATCCTGATTCTTATGGAAATCTCTGTTATTAAGATATTTCAAGATGAGACAACACTGAAGATCAAATTGTGTTTAGTATCACTATCTTCTCTCCTCGTTTCTCTCTTACTCCTCATCCTCCCAGAATCTACCAGTTTATGGTAGAAAGATGGGAACCTTATTTGAATGTGTTTTTTTTTTCCATGATGTCCAATTTTGTTGTGGGAAAGGATTTGGATAAAATTTTTGTTTAAATTTTGGTAGATTTTTATCTATACAAATTTAAATAAAATTATGTTTTGTAAGCTGTAAGATCTGTGTGTATCTCTCATTTTACTCAATTTTATTCCTCAAACATTTTTTTTTTTTACAAAGACACTAGTCTTAGTGTCTTAGGTATGCCTCTAAAATTTGATAATTTGGGTCATTCCAGGATTATTCCAGTTCCACTCAACTTTATCAGATACCCATTTCTGTGTTAGGAGATTATTGAATCCATAAAAGTTATACACAAACCAGAACCCCAGGAATGTATCTCAGATGTCTGACAGGTTGAACTGTGATGTCAGTCTGCGTAACGCAAAGGGAGATACTCCAGTATAACTCATTCCATTAAGTGAGGCTCAATTGCCACCATTAATTTTCCTTTCAGTGTATAAATATGTAGTAGACCAAACTATTTTGTTTGTTTTTTTTACCAGCTTACTTTGTTCTCATAAATTTTATGTGTGGACAAAAGTATGAAAGTCATTATTGTTTAGAGCCATGTTTGCCATGGAGAAATAAACTATTGGATAGATCAGTCTTACATCCTTTCTTAATGCCCATGCAATGAATGAAGAATATTAACAATGTCTTCTTAGTTGTGTTTTGGTTTTTGATAGCTTAATCACTAGTTGGTGCAGTAAAAAAAATAACCTATATTATGTCAACTAGACAACATTTTTAAATTTTTGATCTCTGAAGAGGACTATGTTTGAATCACTTGTAAATATTGATGTTTCCAGTCAACCCAATTTGGAGGAGGGGATAAAGCAATTAAATCATTTTTGTGATTATTTCATAAAAGGGTTAATAACAAGGAAATAGCCTTTTATTTTCAAATAAGCTCAAAGCCATCAGAGCTTGTTCTTTTTGCATCCTTAGCGTAGCTTGTCTCTAATTGTTTTATTCTCAGGCAGGCCATTTTTACAGGTGGATAATGGCTGCTGGCCATTACATGTGAGGTTCTCAAATTTAGCATCCTCAGAAGAGAAAGAGAGAGGGAGCAGAGGGAAAGAGAAAATAAATGAGCAAATAAACGAAAGAAAGAGGGAGGAAGGAGAGAGGAAGGAAAGAAGCTTCTCTTGGTAATTCTAAGACACCTCCCAAAATTGAATATGACTCCAGTGATCAGTTTCAGGTCAGTAACCTATTCCTGAATCTGGCCCCGGTTCATTTACAATAATTTTTGTGGTCTTCTATACAATAAATATAGGCCATAAAAAACTCAGACAAGTTTACATTTAACATATTAACTACCTGATATGGTTTGGCTGTGTCCCCACCCAAAATCTCATCTTGAGTTGTAATCAGTGTTTTTGATTGTTTTGGCTTTGAGCTTATTTGAAAATAAAAGGCTATTTGCTTGTTATTAATCCTTTTATGAAATAATCACATAAATGATTTAATTGCTTTATCCCCTCCTCCAAGAATTAAATTACAATTCTTCTACATTTTATTTTCATGTCTCTTCCTCTCAGTTTTCTCTCTGAGGAAAAAAAAAATGTCATTAAGAATTATATTGTTTTTTAAGTGCAAAGCCTTGATAAAAATTAGAAGGAATATTATTTTTTCACATTACTAAAGTAAATATTTGAATGTTTGATTGTGATCATTTGTAGAATACACTATATGTTCAAAATTAAAATAAGCGAGAAAATATATATCATAGTGGGGAAGGAAACAATGTGGGGAAGTGAAAAGGATATGTTCTTTCATATTTTTCTAGATCTGGAGTTGGCAAACTAAGGCCCAAGGGCCTATTTTAGTAAATTAAGTTTTATTGTCACAGACACACCCATTTGTGTGCATGTTGTCTGTGGCTACTTTCATGCTACACAGCAGAGCTGAGTAGTTGTGATAGAAACCTTATGACCCTAAAATATTTCCTCTTTGGCCCTTTACATAAAAGGTTTGCCAACCCCAGCTCTAGATAAATAAAAAAATACAACATTGCCCCCAAAATGACAGCAACGGAGTATTGTTTTCAAACCTGAGAAAGGAAGATTTAGATATTAAAGTGAAACAGAAATGGAAAAGTAGGAAATAAGATCTTTGATCTTTCCATTTTAAACCCTGTGAGAGCTACAAAAAGTCTACAAAAGGCCACTTGCCAATGAAAACCAATTCAGTTTTGTTACTTTTTGTCTTTCCATCACCACAAGGACTGTCTGCAGTAGCTCCTTGCACTTTTGAACATATGCTGTTCCTAACTGCTCACAGGTGCATTGGAATAATACCAAATCATGGCTATGAATATTAAACTACCAAAGGGCTGCACCTATCAACTAACTCATCCTCAAAGTGATCCTTGCTAGTAAGTATGTCATGCATTGTTTAGTCTTGGAAAGACTAAAGCAAGGAAAAAAAAAAGTGACTGCAGTGTACTTGATCCCCACCACATTACTGCAAAGGCAGTATCCATTTTACCAGTGAGGAAATTGTGACAAAGTGAGATAAAGTTGCTCCTCTTGAGTTTCGTAGTTAATGGCAAAGATGTTGGCTTCTGGACTTTGGATTCTTGTTTAATTCTATCATTTCTTCTATTGTCCAGTAAAACTTTCTGTATGACAGCAATGGTAAATATCAGTGCCGTCCAACATATAGTCATCCATCACATGTGACTATTGAGCATCCTGGGAACTGAATTTTAAAGTCTAATGCTAATTAATTGACAGCCACACATTGCTAGTGGCTGCCATATTGGACAGTATAGCTCTCTGGTCTAAATCTCCTGAGTATTAGGATGCGTTACTTTCACTTCAGAGAGGCTCACATTGATTAAGTGCTTTCTGTGTGCCAGGAACTTTACCTGTGCTATCCTAATTAATCCTCTTTAGCAACTCTATGAATCTGTCATTGTTGTTTTACTGGTGAGAACATTGTAACTCCGAGAATTTAAGTAACATGACCAAGAGCACAAAACTAGCATGTGGCGAGTCAGGATTGAAACTTGGTCTTCTGAGTCAAAAGCCACTGGTCTTTGTTTTGTATCTATGGGGACCCAAATTCACTAAGGTTATGCCACTTATGATCATTTGAAAGGATGTTGGAGGCAAAGACATTTAGCAAGCTGGGTTCTTGAATGTATTGCTTGCCCTGTGTATCTCATACTTTGGGAAGCAGGATTTAGAAGCAGAAAGATCACCATAAGCAACTGGCAGGTCATATGGACTACAATGTGAATGGCACCTCCGGGACTTGCACAAGGCATAAGGCAAGGGCCATTTTCTAGGGATCTAATTCCCAAGTGTCTTCTCTTTAACTCAGTGCCTTCCCAACATCTATAACCATGACCATCCAAAAGACAAAAGGCAGAGGGGCAGAAGAGATAAAGGCTGGAGGCACTTTTATCATATTAGGAGAAAATTTAGTGTGCAGCCTTTACCCTTCTTCTGGAGAAGTTTAGGTCTGGCAGTCTTATCTCATATTTTCATATTCTAAGTAAGCCAGGAGCAATTCCTAGGCACCTTATGCCAAATTTCACAAATCCAAAATTAATTAAATTGTATATGCCAGCTATGGGGAAATTGTCAGGTTTTTGTTGTTGTTGTTCTTGTTCCTCCCTTGTGTTTGTAGAGGCAGCAACATACAGGCATGTTTATTGGGAGCTCTCCTAATTCCTTTCCTAGCTAGGGAAGAAAAAAATGAAAGTAAGCCATGATGTAGTAGTCATTAACACATCTGTTTTCAAACATCAGACAATGGGAGAAACTAGAAGATTTGGAGATTCAATTTGGAGTTTTTTTTCAATTACCTTTTAATATTGAACATTCATGTGCTTTAAATCCTTATAACTAGTTGCCCTGAGCAAAACAAATAATTTTTGAAGGACCTTGTATTAAAAAGCAGAAACGACATCACAATGATAAATCGTTTTAAATAAATAAATAGCCTTGTATTAGGAATCACATACAGCACATACAGTAGTCCTCCCTTATCCATGGTTTCACATTTCAGTTTTAGTTACCTGTGGTCAGCTACAGTCAGAAAATAGATTAGTACAGTACAATGAAATGTTTTGAGAGAGACCACATTCATATAACTTTTATTACAGCATATTGTCATAATTGTTCAATTTTATTCCTGTTTGTCTCTTACTGTGCCTCATTTATAAATTAAACCTTTCCATAAGGATATATGTCTAGGAAAAGACATGCTATGTGTAGGGCTTGGTACTATCTGTGGTTTTAGGCATTCACTCGGGAGTCTTGGATGCCCTGCAGGTAAGGGGGGATTCCTGTATATTAATAAAAGTATTGGTTGGGTTTTATTTATCACTCTTCATGTATATGATCTCATGGATACAAACAGGTGACCTTGCCAATTGGTGCTTTTTGTGTGTTTAAGAAAAGAACAGTAGTAACCTTGCTCCCTGGATACCAATAAAAAATCTATTATTTTTTTAAAAGAATTTTGGACCTCTAGTTAAAAGATCATTGTTTCCCAACTGCATGACTCTATCTTGAAACATTTACTTATTGTTCTTTATTAAACATATTTTTAATTATCCTATGTTTTAAATAATTTCTTCCAAGATTGCTTCCTTTCAAGAGAACTTTTAAACATTCAGTTAAATAAGAACCCTTTAAATTTCTGTTAATTGTTTCAAATGTTACATAATTTGTATGGACCCATTGACAGTTGTAAACTTTCAGAATATTGCGTGTGAATTTCAAAAAAATTTGTAAAATATTCGCATACATTGAAATTCATTAAACTATGTTTTCTCATACTTTTATTTTTTATAAAAATCTAGTATTAAAAATAAAAGTATTAATATTCAAGTTTGACAAAAATATAAGAAAGTAGATACTCTTCATTAATTTAGTATTTACTATGTAATCAGTATAACGTTTCTGGAGGTCAGTTTTTTAGTACAGATTAACAGCCTCAAAAATGTTCATAGTGCCACTTCTTTAGGGTATGGAAATGGCTTCTGGGTAGGAACAGGTGAAACAGGAAAACAGAATGCCTGGGCTGATCTATGTGACAGAAGCAAAGGTTGAAATCTCTGTGCTGAAAGCCAGTGGGCGTCTTTTCT
Source organism: Homo sapiens (assembly GCF_000001405.40). NCBI lineage: Eukaryota > Metazoa > Chordata > Mammalia > Primates > Hominidae > Homo > Homo sapiens. The sequence goes on along the minus strand of NC_000003.12, from coordinate 67,369,725 downwards.
TCTCACCATCCAGAGCTAATAAATGGCAACGGCATACGCCTCCAACTAGGTAGATGCTTAGCAAAATCACAGAGGAGACAGCATGGTGCAGCTCTTCCAAACAAGACTGCACACAGGCCCAGCGGAACGGCTCCCATCCACCCTCTCCTTTCCTCCCCGCTACACACAACACATTTCCACCAATGGCACACAGCCTCAGGAAAGTATTGCATATGCACTTCCCAGCTCTCAGGGAGGTAGACAACTGATCTCAGATAAGGAGATCAGAGAGAATTAGCACACAATATATCAGAACAAAGAGAAGGTAGACAGCTGCTGTGTTCATCATGACCAAGAAAACAAGAAACAGAAACAACATGGCATCTGTGCTATTCAGTAAAGGAAAGAGGGGTAAGCCAAAGGCAGAAAAACGAAGGCACCACCCATAATAGACAAATAATCCCTTTTGGAAAAACATATAACTGAAGAAAAACATTTTTTAAATCCCTAAAGAACCTATTCGTGTAATACTTAATAAAACTATTAATTCAGTTAATAAACAAAAAGGTGATCAAATACTGACATAAAAACAGAAAAAGAAGAAAAGGGAGGTAAGAAAATCAGTGGAGAAGGAGGAAAACAATATTCAAGAACTGACCAATAAATCACAAAAAGTAATGAATCCTAAATATATTGCAATGCACAGGAGAGCCCCCACCCTCAGTGAAGAGTTTTCTACCCAAAATGTCAATAGTGTCAAGGTTGAGAAACCCCAATTTAACTACATTTACTAATTTAACATAATAAATGTGGGTTACGGATTCATTAAAATGAAAATGCCAGCCGGGCCTGGTGGCTCACACCTGTAATCCCAGCACTTTGGGAGGTTGAGGGGTGCAGATCACCTGAGGTTAGGAATTCGAGACCAGCTGGGCCAGCATGGTGAAACCCCTCCTCTACTAAAAATACAAAAACTAGCTGGATGTGGTGGCGGGTACCTGTAATCCCAGCTACTTGGGAGGCTGAGGTAGGAGAATCACTTGAACCCAGGAGGTGGAGGTTTCAGTGAGCCAAGATTGTGCCATTGCACTCCAGCCTGGGTAACAAAAGTGAAACTCTATCTCAAAAAATAATAATAAATAAATAAATAAAATGAAGATGCCAGAAAAATGGAAACATATAAAATAGTGGATTGTATGATTCACCATGAATGCAGAGGGGGAAATAAAGAAATTAAAGGAACTAGGAGACAATAATACATAGGACAAGGACAATCCAACATAAGGATAATTGGTGTGCTTAAAGTAGAAAAGACCAGCAACTAAAAATGAAAGTGATTTTAAAGATATAATAGAATAAAAGTTTATTGAAATGAATGTGAAATTGTGCCAAAAGACTGAAAAGAAACACTGTATTTCAGGAAATATCAGCAAGTTGATACTTTAAAGACAAAGGTTTTTAACTTTAAGAATAAAGAAAGAATCCTTTGGGTTCCTTGACTAAACATGCAGATGAACAAATGCAGAGGAGAAGAAATTTTACTGGACTCATACTTCTCAGCCATTTTTGATACCAAAAGACAGTGAAGCAAATCTGCAAAAATTTTAGGGGAAGAATGTGTTTCCCAAGAATATCATACCCAACCAAAGGCACACTTTTATCAAACATTGGGAATAACTTCAATATCTAAAAGTAGTAAATGGAATAAATAATATTGTGTATAAACAGTGGAATATCGTGTAGCCATTTTAAAAATGAGGAAATAAACATATACGTTTTTGTGAAAGAATGTTCATAATATATGCTGCAAAAGAGAAGTAATAATGCTAATTTTAAATGTGTTTATATATATTCCATATATAAAATATCTTATAGCTAGATACTTGGATACATATCTGTATAGATAGAGAAAATTGACCATAACAATATAAACTAAAATATAAGTGTGGAAGAAAAATGGGTGACTTTGTTTTCTTTTCATAAATTAGTGGCTCTCAACTAAGGACAATTTTGCTCTCCCTGGGAAAATTTTGCAATGTCTAGAGACGCTTCTCTTTGTTGAAACTGGAGACACTCCTCACTTCTAGTAGGTAGAGGCCAAGGATGCTGCTGAACATTCTACAACACAGGGTCTGCCCTCCACAGCAAAGAATTATTCAACCCAAAGTGTCAATAGTGCCAAGGTTGAGACACACTGATTCAATTATATGTATTAATTTACTATAGTAAATATGGGTCATTGGTATAATAAAGACAAAAATTACCAAAAGAAAAAGCACTGCATAAAGTTAAGTGAGACAAGAGTATACTTATTAGATAAATATATTAAATTTAAAAAGATACAAATGCTTTTACACATTTCTCTGAGATCTTGAACTAATTTACAAATGTTCTATGATTGTGAAAACTTATGTAAGTTATACTGTTCTTTTAATAATATACTTTTTGGGGGGATAAATATTAAACTGCAAAAAAATATGGTAAATACAAACCCAAGTAAGTTTGTTTTAAAGCTGATCTATTCAAATAACATTTAAAAATCTCACTCAGTTTACATTTTAGTGTCTCAGAATGAAAACTCATCTTAGTTTTAGATCTTTAACTGGAATAATATAATTAGTTACTGGTTCTCAAAGAGCATGTATTTCATGGATATGCCACCCAGTTTTGTTCAATATATAGAACTTAATTTTTTCTATAATATGCGTTGTAATTATTGATGACTTTTTCATGTTGCTGTAAGTCTCTTTAACTTTGAAGTGCAGTGTCTAAAATTCTAGTATTTGAAATTATGCCACATTTTGTTCCAGTGATGAATGTCAAACAGTATGTTGATCTATATTGAGGTGTTTCATGGGGGTGAAGCTTGCTACTTAGAAAAAGGCATTGTGTAAGGACAATCAGCACCTCAAAAACATGGCTGGTTAAAGGCAACATGGCAGAACTTTGCCTCCTGAGTATACAAAAAAGCATGTTCCAGGCAGCTAACAGTTCTTCCCAAACTCTAACAGAGTGCTGGAGGGGGCTAAATTCTGCTCAACGTTGTCATCCTATGAGTGCTCAGGCTGCAAATATGGCTGGTGAGCTTCAGGTTCTTCTGAGTCATTTCATCCTTGGAAGCCAAACCTCTTCAGGACCACTGTCGCAGAATACACCATTTTAAAATAGAGCTTGGAAAATGTAGCTGATTAAGTTGAATTCAAACACGTGTTTCTCTACCATCTGCTCTTCCCTGGCACCATGGCAGCTGCAGCGATAACAGAGATTAAATAGAGGCAAAATCTCTACTCAAGGAATGAGTAATCCAGACATGCTTAGAACTACTCACTTGAACTGGACAGGACTTGGAGAAGCAATGCAACTTTCCACTTTTCTGGGGTTTTTTTGTTTTGTTTTGTTTTTTGAGATGGAGTCTTGCTCTTTCGCTCAGGCTGGAGTGCAGTGTGTTTAGTAGAGATAGGGTATCACTGTGTTAGCCAGGATGGTCTCGATCTCCTGACCTCATGATCCGCCTGCCTCAGCCTCCCAAAGTGCCGGGATTACAGGCGTGAGCCACTGCGCCCGACCAAGTTTCCACTTTTCTAGTGTTTCCACACTAGAAAAAGTTAACAAGATTTTTCCCATAGATGATGATCATACCACATGTTCATGTATATGTTAGTGTGAGGGATTTTATGTCTTTAGGGGCAGGTTTTAGGCATTGAAAAGATCTTCCAGAGGTTTAAATGTGAATAATTAAGTTACAAATTTTAAAGCCAACTTTCTGAATTTGTAGATCTCATTCTATTTATAAATCTATTCAATTTTGAAAAATCACCTTTAAGGGGATTGATTCATGTTTTCAAACAATGAAACTCCTTTAAATACGCAAACTGCCTGTACAAATTTAATATATTTCGTTATAGTTTTGTTTTCAATTTTATGCTAGTCCGCTCCATTTAAGAAATTCTCACAAAAAAGTTTAAAAATCGTCAAGAAATTCTTAAGTTCTCTTAAATGTGCTGATACTGCCTGCATACTCAGTAAGATTTCAACTTAAAATTGCAAATTTTTTATCACGTGCTTAGTCACACATGTTAGACTGAACATGTATGCTTAGTCATACATGTTAGATTGTATGAAAACAGGACACTGACCTGTTAATCCAAATATTTCTTACATGTGGAAAATGCATAAAATATCAAATGCACAAAAATATTGAACAATGGAGTGTCTTAAACATTTCTACACTTAATTTGAATCTTCCTGGGCTAACTGAAGTCATAACTAGTCACTCTGGCTAGACACTGTCTAACACTGTTACTGTAGCATCACTGATGGTCTCTGAGTCCTTTTCACAGGTTAAAAACAACAACTTCATAATCTGAACAAAGTGATTATCTGGTGGCTTTCATAACCTACATAGTCATACTCAGACTTATTCTTGAAAATCGTGAGTTTCGTTCAGCTTCTTGATTCTAAAGGTGTATGTCTTTAGCCAAATTTGGTAAATTTTCAACTATTATATCTTCAAGTTTCCAGCCCCACTTTCTCCTTTCAATACAGGAGTTCGGTGACATAAATATTAGCTCTTCTGTTATAATCCCACAGGTCCCTGATGTTGTTTTCACTTTTTCAGTCTGTTTTCTCTGCATTGTTCAAATTGGGTAATTTCTATCATTCTGTCTTCCAGTTTACAGATGCTTTTCTCTGTGCCCTCCATTTTGCTGTTCAGCTCATCCATTTTTATTTTATTTTGGTTGCTGTATTTTTCAGTTATAAACTTTCCATTTGGTTCTTTCTATCCTGTTTCTTTGCTGAAACTTTCTATTTTGTTCCTGTTTCAAGTGTGTTCATAACTATTCAGTGCCAGCATTTTTTATGATGGTTGCTTTAAACTGTCCGTTAGATGATTCTGCCATTCCTGTCATCTCCGTGTTGGCATCTATGGATCACCTTTTTTTTCATTCAGCTTGAGATCTTCCCAGTATAAAGCATGTTACTCGATTGAAACTTGGACATTGTGGATGTTACTTTCTGAGACTTTGGATCTTGTTTAAATCTGTTCGAGCCAGCTTCCTCTAACTCTGCTCCAGCAGAGGAGGAAGGAGATACCTCACTGCTGCCATGTTGGGTGGACAACCAGGTGGCCTTCATTCACACCTGAAGTGAGGCTCCTTATCACTCCTGGGTGGGTGGGCACTCTGACTTTTCATTACGCCTCCACTGACTGAATCCCCTAGGCTTGGAGAGCAAGGAATGCCTAGTGCTGCACTCCCTCATGGCCCCACTAGCACCACAGAAGAGAGTTATGGCCTCTTTACTTGGGGGTGGGGGGGGTGGAAGTCCTGCCTGTCTGTTAGGCCTCCTCTGACACCACAACAGTGAATAGTTGGGGGGGATGCCTCTTTACCGCTGAGCAGGGGTGGAAGGCCAGGCTCCCCATGTGTTCTCCACTGACCCCATGTAGGAGGTGGGAAGTCTTGTTACTGTCTAGAAGAGATCAACAAACCAACTCTCTACTCAGCCTTTCTAATACCACCCAGGCAGAGAGATTGGGTTCCTCCTTATAGTCTAGTGAGGGTGAAAGTCAGAGCTCCCCAATCAGCCTTCATGGGCTTCAGTAGGGCTGGGGTCACAGGTTGCTTCTGTGGTGTCCCACTGAAGTAGAGTGGGTATAGAAGAGTCCTGCCTTGTTAGGCTGCCCCTTCCTGGTCCTTTGGCTACAGACAACAGGCTTTTGTTGGTGGTTTCCTTGTCTGTGCCCATTGGCATTTCTCCAGTTTCTTCAGTTCCAACTCTGGGATATATGAGGCAAAATGAAAACCCAGGGAACTCACCACTGTGTTGTGTCTTATTTCCTTAAATCCCTAGGAGATCTGATTTTCTCCACCTTTCAAAGCCATCTTATATTTGATGTAGAATGTCCAGAAATTTACTTTTGTACAGAGCTCATTTGCAGGGGGTGAGGTTGGGGGGAGGGGGAGGAAGTGCTATTGTTCTCTCTTTGATCTGTTTGCTGAGTTACCCTTTTTTTAAACCATATTTTTTCAAAAACCACAGTCATGCTTTCTGTTTAAAATGTGAAGATTGTAAAATTGTAAAAGATGAAATAAAAATCTCTCAGAACTTTACTACTGCTGTTCACATCTTGGTATGCTTTCTTTCATTGATTTTTCAATGCCTAGATAGAGAGATGGATAGATTTGTTTTATTATTTAAGATTGCACTATGTGTAGCCTTATATAATTTTTCTTTTAAGACTGTATGACGGGCGTTTTTCTAGCCACCATCACCTATTCTCTGATTATCTTCTGAAAGCAGAAACCCACAAATACAGGGGAGATGAAAATCCTGGCAGTCAGACATCAAACATGCTCTCTACTTGAATAGTGCTGTTAAGAAATGTATTAGTGTATAGTGGTACAATTTGAGAATAAACATTTCCAGGAATGAATAAAACTTTGCTTTAATAACTATGGAGGTTCTAACCAACCCCCAAATTATCAGATGTCTGTGAATTTCTGGACCCTTTGAGAAGAGTGAGCTATAATTTTTCTCTATCCAAAGATTTATACCAATGGATACTATTTCAGGGTTCTTTTGGTTATTTTATTTTTTGGTTGAGCAAGAAATGCTCAAATTTATTGCATGTCTTTATTTGGGTTTGGTTGGAAGTAGAACCTAAAATAGGAATTTTCCTGCAAGTGATTTATTGAGGTCAAGTTCTCAGGAGAAACATAAAGCAAGATGAGGGCATAGATTAGTGCAGGGAAAGGAACCTGGCAAAGATGTGGTTTTAGAAGTCAAGCCTAGGCCCCATCTCACGGGGAGCTCTAGAGCATAAATTACACCACGGAGGTTATCTCACTCAGAGGCAAGCAGGCTGGACTACTCCATAGCTGCATCTATGAGTCACTGATTACAGGCTTCCTGTGGGGGAGAGGGCTTATTTGTGTACCTCTCAGGTATCTTTGAATGAGGCAGCTCCAGTTACTCAAAGCATACTTCTCGAGAAGGCTACAAATGTAACTCATCAGTCATCACACACAAAAGGTGGAGGATACGACTTACATCTTCATTCAATAAAAATTGGTGCCTGTCACTGCATTAGGTAGCGTGTACCTAATACACTATATTATCTGCTGCGTTAGGATACAGTGGCGACCCAGATAACAGTTGCAGCCTCTAAACTCATGGACTTTGCAATTTCATGGAGGAGACCAGCTTAACTATCACACACACACAAAAAAATTAGATTATCATTCATTAACAGAGACATCAGTAAAAAGTTCTCTGATATAAAGTAACACAAATACATGAAAATATATTGCAATTTTAAAGAAAGCCCACTTACTCTGGATTGGAAGGAAAAGCTTGCCTAAGGAAGCTACTTTTGAGCTAAGAACTGATGAATAAATGTATTTCAGCTAAGGAGCTGGCCAACGTAAGGGGCCAGGGGAGACGCATAAGAGACAGCTCCAGGCAGAGGGAGAACAGCATGTGCAAGGATCCTGTCCTGGGGTACATGAAAAGTTCTCTTAAATAGATAAGTCTAATGTTGCTGGAGTGGGTGTGGAGAGCAACAGGGAAGTGTTGGAAAGTATATCAGATTGATAGCCACAAGAATGCTGTATAACAAATCATCTCAAAACTCAGTGGTTTGTAACAATAAGCATTTATTTTGCTTATGAGTCTGGGAGTCAGTTATTTAGGACAAGCACAACTGGGCAATTTTTCCTGTTGGTTTGGCTTATTCACATGTCTGGGAACCAGCTGGCTGATGGTTGATCTAGGTTGGCTTTGGCTGGAACACCTGGGCAGCTTGGCTCTGTTCTGTATGTCTCATCCTTCAGCAGCCTAGCCAGGGCATGTTCCCCTCACCATCCCAGAGGAGCAAGAGCAAAACCAAATACATGCAAGCACTTTCTAGACATCTGTTAGTATCACAACCACTAAAATTCTATTAGCCAAAGCAAGTCACATGGCCAAACTCTAAATCAAGATACCCCAAATATACTCTACCTCTTTGTAGGAGTTGCTTAAAACCCCATGGCAAAAAAGCAAGGATACAGGAAAGGATGAAGAATTGGGCCGTTAATGCAATCTATCTAATAATAGAGAAGTGGGCAGGGGCCAGGCCATTTTAGTCGCTGCAGGCTGTACCAAAGTTGCCAAGGCTCACACAATGGCCCATTTTCAAGTCGAGGGTAGAAATCTGTCTCGTCTGTCTCCTGAGCCCTGCCCTAGAAAACAACCCATCCCACCAGTAGCATCAGTTTCCTTTTTTAACTACAGGCTGCAGTTGTATTCCACATAACCCACATCTTGAGACATCTGTAAGTGGTGTGCTCATGATTCACAGTTTCTATTTCCCTTCTCATGCTGCTAGACTTTGTATTTAATGTACATTTTGTATTCCTGTGAGAAACTCAACGTGATTTATACTCTATGCATTAACTAAGCTGTCAACTACTCCTTTGATATAGTTACACATCACAATAGATGGTGGAGAACTCTATAATAGAAAAGTATAATTACCATTTATAGGTGCAGCCCAAAAAGGCACCAAAAGACTCTTGAGTGATTTTTTTTTTTTTCCGGCATCTCAGAACAAGCCTAAGATTGAACAGTTGGACCCAAGAATCCAGACTTCTGGTCTAGTCTCTATTATAGTCACTCTATTATCTGTTTTATAAGAAAATTTTGTGCATGGTTGCTATTTCTATCTGGACGTAGGACACTTACTTGTTTCATCTGCCTTATCCAAATGTCAGCAATCCAAGAAGACGATGACGTTGTTTTCCCAATAAACGAGAGAGAGACAGGGAAAAAAGTTCAGTCCTCAAAGCATATTCCTCCAGTGGGAGAAGAATCAGTAACACGATGTTTCCATTAAGGAATAGGAGTAACAGGATCTTAGGAATACCATACTGTTGTTGTTCATCTAAATATATTGCAAGAAAAAACTCATTACAAGAATCTCACTCCAATTTCAGGTACTTTTATGGAAAAAAAAGGAAGTTATATGCACATAAAACAAGAAACAGGAAATTCAAATGAGAATATAACTGGTATCCAAGAGAACGTCGCCCACCAAAATCTGAGTAAGTGTGCCATCAGCATTTTTTTATGTTAAAGATTTACTTTGCTAAGATACTTGCTGAGATTACTTTTCCAAATTAATGAATATCATCACAAAATTATTTTTTTACATTTGGGTTCAGCTGCATGCTAATGGAAATGGAAAATGGAAGGGCATGGCTTATAGCTGTTCATTCACCAAAAATATTTTAGAATTGTGTCCAGGTAGGTAATGTATGCAAGAAGTGTTCTTGTTTAATAAAGGCATTTGAAGAGTTATGAGGATGAAGGGTATGTATAATCGATAACTATGTTCAGATTGCCAAGAGCTTTGGCTCCTTAAATGGGTGGGGAATGAGCCATTGGTCCTTTCCCTTTGGATAGCTTCTGTCACATCACTTGTTAATCCTCCTTATTGTTCAGCACCTCCATCAGAGTTCAGAACGTTCTATATAACAGCCTCTCTTCATTCATGACTCCTGTACCATATTAGCCATCCATGAGAGAAGGCCTCTCAGATTATTCCACTCCAGTTGGAAAAACTTTGCTTCTCTATTTATAATCTGTTTATAAAACAAAATTAAGAAACTGGTTCCAGAATGTTATATCCGTTAGAATGCATTTGGCTCCAAGTCATAGAATATTCTTATAAGAGCTAATTAAACATAAATACTGTATTATCTCACATAACAGGAATCTGAAAATAGGGCGGTTCTAGGGTTGGTTCTTCAGGGGCTCAGTAATGTTCTTGTTAACTTCTCTTATTCCCTTGGTTTTGCCCTCATGATCCAATGTGGTTGCCACAGTACCAACCATCACATCTTCAGACAACAACATCCAAAATCAGGAAGGGGCAGTTTCTTGTCTTCTGACCTTTCCTAAAAGCAAATAATACTTTTCAAGAAGAGTTCTAGCAAAATTTCTCCTTTTTTCTCATTGTCCTTTTCACAAGAATTGTCATATGCCTGCTCCTACCTCAGTCATCAACAAGCAGAATGTAATTACCTTGATTCTCAGACTATTGCATTTTTAGTATCTGTGGTGTATCTTTCTCCTTTTCTCTTGCTGTTATTGTTTATTTATGCCTATTCTTAAAAAATTAGTCTTGCTACAGCCTTTTCTGTTTCTCAGAGAACCAAGCTGTGGTCACGTTCATTCGCCCCAGTGTATTATAGTTTTCTATTTTATGTATTTCTTGATTATGTTTGTTATTTTTTCTTCTGATTATTTTGAGTTACTCTTTCTAAATTCTTTGTCTAGATCTTTAAATACTTAACTCATTTATATTTAGTCTTTCTTGATATTGAATAGATCCATTTAAACTTACCTGTAAATATTTTATCTGCATCTCACTAATTTTGCAGTTTCAGCTGTCTTTTCATTGGTGTTCTATCCTAAATACTTTGTAATTCTCTCACTGTTATTTTCCTTTGGATTATGTTATTTAGGAGTGAATGTTCTAGAGTTCTAAATATATGATCTTTTATCTATCTTTTAATTTTTAATTTCTGGTTTAATTTCATTACAGTGAGATAACATAGTCGCTATGATATTGAAACTTTGAGATGTGTTGACATTTGATTATGATACAGTTAATTACTGTAAATGGCATCTTTGTACTTGAAAAGAACATAGAGGTACAAATTTTATTATAGTTCATTACATCAAACATGTTCATTCTGTTTTCAAATCTTTTCTACTATTATTAAGTTAATAAACTTAATAGAGTTGTGTTAAAAGTTCCCAGTTTCAATATGATTGTGTGTGTGTGTGTGTGTGTGTAGAGAGAGAGAGAATGCTGTTAGATGTGCATAAATTAATTATTATTATATATCTTAGGAAGTTATTTTTGTATCATTAGTAGTATTCTTCTTTAACCCTGTAATAATTTGGATTTAGGTTCTGTTTTATCTGATGTTATATTAGAACCCTAGATATTTGGGGATTACAATTTTACTGGCATATATTTTTTAGTTCCTTTCTTTTAATCTTTCTGCATTTTGTTGTAGTTTTTTAAGAAACATATAGCTGGACTCTGTGCACTTTACTCATTTAAAAAATCTATATCTTTTAAAAAATAAACTTAATTTCTTTATGTTTGTTGTGATTATTGGTTTATTTGTATTTCTTTCTACAATTTTTTGTTTCTTCTGTTTATCATTCATTTTTGTTTCTTATTGCTCCTTTTCAGTTGAAAAAGATATACACATACAAACATATGGTATTACTGGACTGTAAGCTGTTGCTGTAATGAGATAAGACTGGTGGGAACTTTGAGAGGGGTAAATACATGTTGCATCTGGGAGGAATGTAAATCATTGGGGATTCAAAGGACAGACTGTGGTTGGCAGATTCTAAGATGGCCCCTAAAATTCCCACCTTCTTGTATAATCTTCCCTGGAGTGTGGGCAGGACTGGTGCATATGATGGGACAGCACTCCAGTGCTTAGGTTACATTGTGCAGCCAAGGGGAAGGGATTTTGAAGATGCGATTTAAGTCTCTAATCAGTTAACTTAATGAAGAGGGAAGTTATCCTGGTTGGGCCTGATCTAATTATGGGAGCCCTTCAAATGAAGGTTTAGAGATCAGAAACAGGAGTCTGAGAGATTCTCCTGCTGACCTCAAAGAAACAGTCATTTTGTGAACTGCCTATAGAGGGAGTCAGGTGACAACGACGTGGAAATACCTCCTGGGAGCTGAGAGCAGCGTCTCGCCAACACTTGCAGGAATTCTGGGATTCCAGGCCTACAGCTGCAAGGACCTGAATTCAGCCAACAACCTTAGGAAGCTTGGAAGTAGATTTTTCCCTAAGAGAGCCTTCACTTGAGGACACAGCTAGGCCTACCCTTTGATTGCAGCCTGGTGAGACACTGAACAGAGAAGACCCAGCCAGCCTGTGCCCATACTCCTGACCCACAGAAACTCTGAGATAATGTATGTATTTTTATAAGTAGCTAAATTTGTGATAATTTGTTGTACAGATGTAGAAAACAAATACAGAAAGCATATATTGTATTGTTTACTTTTAGTGGCAACCCTGAATTTTTTTCACCTACCTATTTAACTATAAATATTTTAAACAAATCTATTTTTAATCATTTCTATCCTCCTACTTATCACAATTTAATTAACCAAATTGCTCCCTTTCCCCATCTTGTTTTTTTTCTCTAAACACAGTGTTGTTTAACACACACCCAAAATAGTCAATACTTCATTAAATTTGCTGACATATTTCATCAGTTTCTTTACTCATCATTATTTCTTTTCTCCCAAGTCTATGTGTTGTAATCTATTATGTTCATGGTTTTACTCATTTTTGTCTTTAAATACCTGAAACATTTATTTTAAAGCCATTGTCAGTTTCCTTTATAAAATAGATTTTTTCAGGAATAAATTCTGCTGCAGATGAATCAGTATTTAATTTACTTTTGTTTATTGTTCTTATTTTCTTTTCTCTCCTTCCCTCTTTTCCCTCCTCTTGCTCCCTCTTTCAGTTGTCTACATTCAGCAGCTGGACCCTGAGTCCTTATAATGTCACCTTGAGGTTCCTGCTCCACTGGGATATCAGTATAAATCACTGTGAGTTTTTCACAGGAATGCAAAATGTACATTCAATAAAAGTGTAGCGGTATGGGAAGGGAAATAGAAACTGAATTATGAACACGGCACTTACAGGCGCCTTAAGATGGGAGTGTGTGGAAAACAACTGCAGCCTGTAGTTGAAAAAGGAAAATGGTGCTGCCAATGGGATGGAAAAGTTTCTCCCCAGACACTGGATCCCTGTCACTCCTGATTCCAGTTGCCTCGCTTGTGTGCCTTTCCTTTGGTCCTTGTTGACACATAGAAGCCTAGCTCTTGGTAGCCACTGCCTATTTCGGAAACAGAGTCCAACAGGCCTCCATTTTCAGCTCCTTTTATGACTTTGTATTTCTGTTCAGTTTTTGGTTCCAGATAGATTTATCTTATTTTTTAGCCTCCACATATGTTATTACTTTTCTCTTTTAAGGTTCTGCCTACCCTTATTATTTGCTTAGAGGAGAGGATGTGCACCAGTGTTTGAATCTAAGGTGCCAATGTCTTGCCCAGAAGTCTCCTAGACATTTTATATACATTATCTCATTTAATCCTCCTTGCTATTCTTTGAGCTAGGCATTACAATTACCACTTTACCATGAAGAAACTGAGGCTCAATGATGTTAACCAGCTTTCCTAAGATCACACAGAGATCGAAAACCCAGAATTAGAACATAAATGTTTATGATTCCAGAGCATAAGATCCAGATTTCTGAATCTTATCAGGAAGGAGATATTGAAGACACCAATAAGAAGAGAGTGAAAAACTGATAGAAGAACATCTTGGGTCAGGCGCAGTGGCTCATGCCTGTAATCCCAGCACTATGGGAGGCCAAGGCGGGTGGATCACCTGAGATCAAGAGTTCGAGACCAGCCTGGCCAACATGGCGAAACCCCATCTCTACTAAAAATACAAAAATTAGCCAGGCGTGGTGGCATATGCCTGTAATCTCAGCTACCCAGGTGGCTGAGGCAGGAGAATCCCTGGAACCCGGGAGGCAGAGGAGGCAGAGGCTGCAGTGAGCCGAGATCGCACCACTGCACTTCAGCCTGGGTGACATAGCAAGACTCCATCTCAAAAAAAAAAAAAAAGAACAACATCTTGGAGGCTATGATGAGAAGAGTGTCCCAGCCTGGGCAACGTGGCAAAACCCCATCTTTACTAAAAATACAAAAAAATAGCTGGGTATGATGGTGAGCACCTGTGGTCCCAGCTACTCGGGAGGCTGAGGTGGGAGGATCACTTGAGTCAGGAGGTCAAGGCTGCAGTGAGCCGAGATTGCACCACTGCACTCCAGCCTGGAGGACAGAGTAAGAACCTGTCTCAAATACATAGATACATACGTACATACATACATACATACATACATACGTAAAGTGTCTGTGAGGTGAAGGGCCATAGCCTAAAGGAAAGATGTATCTTTTTTATAGACAGAAGAGGTGGAAGAGAGAACAGGTAATAGTACAGAGATATCCTGAGGAAGAACAAACATTGGCCAGGAAACAGGTCAATATGTAAATTGTCGAATTAGAAGTTGAAACATTCCACTCAGACAGGGCGGGGCCAGAAATATGAGAGGTGAAAAACAATCACTGTGAGAGATTTGACAAGGAATCTTGAAAGAGAATTATTAATCTAATTCAACTTGGTAAGTTAAACGAATCTGAAAAACCCAATGTGGAAATTTGGACTCAGGAAACGTCATTTTTCTACTGTTCCTTCTCTCTAATGCTTCGAGCAGGTAGGTGGGGGCAGTTTTTGCCAGGTTAGACACTATTGCTGTGGTTTTATTTGTCTACATTGCAACCATTGTCAAATAATTATATGTTACGTATCTACAATTACACATTTCCTTCTATCCTTGGTTTCCTATATTGCCTAATAATATTTGCCAGAGCTGGGGTGACTACATACCTTAGTTTGACTTGGATGGCCTTAGTTCACATCTTTTGCCCCCATGTAACTATTAATGGCACCCTCTGTTATTCTGAAGTGTCCCGATATGTATGTCAAATTATATGGTCACCCTAATAATAGCTAGTTAATCATGTTTCTCTTCTGGATCTGTACATGCCTAATCTTATTTCACGTTCGCATCTACCCTATGAGGTAAATTATATTACTGCCCCCATTATTCAATGTATTATTTCAGTCATTCAATATTTATTAATTGACTACCATATTCAAGGCAGTGTGTTAAATGTTGGTGATAAAATATTAGCTCAGTAGATAAGGTCCTTACCCTTATGTGGCTTGCAACTGAGTAGTAATAAAGAAACAGATTTCGAGAAGTTGTTGCTTGATCAAGATCACATCGTTTGTGAGAACACAAGGTTTTAACCCAGTTCAGAATGACATCAAAGCCTAAGTTTTAACCACAACTTCTTTTGTATTTCTGGTAATGATAAATATTTTTAATTACACATTGTTGGATGCTCTAGGTAGCTATATTAGCCATATAAATACTGAAAATATCAACATGTATCAAATTTTAACAGCTGATTAAAATATCTCATATAATAATGTGTTATAGTAAAAATATTTGCTAGCAAATTTTTATTCAATATACATTCCCATTTAATCTAATCATCATTGTATTAAAAGATTAAGAAGGACTAAACCAAAAAGGTCCACATTAAAAAGACTGCATCTGGTATGACGACTACTGGCCAAAGGCATTAGAGATCTTTGTACAGGAGTTTTGTCAACAATGATTTTTTTTCTTCTCTAAAAACAAGTGCATCTGATTTTCTATAGCAGAGAACATGCAAAGGTAGCCCTTTATGGTCTTGTCATTTTACAAAATTGCCCCTTTAAAAATGATAAAAATTACAATATTCAGAATATCCACCAACAACTTAAAAATGTTATTGATTGGACTGAATACAGAAACAAGTAAAAAGTAAAACTGTCCCTTTGATAGAGGAAAATTTGTTTCTCAGTATTTATTAATTTTGAATCAGAAGAATGATGATAACATGGTGGGGTTAATATGAATAGAGGCTGTATTAATATCTCTTTCTAAGAAAGAATGGTGACTTTTTGAAGAAGGCCTGAATTGGAAAGGTAAATGAGAACACTAGTCAATGACCCCCATATTCAGGAATTAACCAGTGGTGAAGTGTCATTTAATAGCCTCATAAAAGCATTTTTTAATGCTCTTCCAAGTAGATAACAAGGTACAGTTCATCTCAACTAATTTTATGACATTGTGCTATTATTTATTACATGGGCATTTTTTGCTGTTATGTTATTCTACCAATTGACTAAAATAAATAAATGGCTGGAAATGGTTCAAGCTTAAAAGTAGTGATGAAACAAGTAAAATGATTTACTTTTTATTATTTACTTTAGCTTAAGATGAAATTGTAAGCATAAAGACTAAATCCAAATCTGTGTTTCCTAGGACATACAAAGTTAGGTGGAAGTCAACAAAACAGCAAAATATGTCTAAAAAGTATAATGATGAACATCTAAAAGTTGGATTGTATGGGACCTATAGATAGTCCAATTCTCAGAGCCTTATCAACTTTTAAAATTCAATAATGTTGTAAAATATTTATGTTTTTTATCTTCTTCAAATTTTAACTGGTAAACTAATTGTTTTTTCTCAGAATGGGAAATGCAAAATAAAGTTTCCAATACAAAATTGATGAATTGTTTTGATAAGGACAGAGAAGGGAACAAAACAAAAGCATCATGCAGGGTTGCATCCTCAGGGCAAAGGTAGCAGAATTAGCAACATACTTGGAGAGAAAGCCGAGTGACCCTTCAGCAAATTTCCTTCATCAGGTGATGCTGATGGTCATTATATAATGCAAGTGGCATCAGGGAGAAGAAAGCACGTTGTGTGAGTACGCAGGTGCTTTGCATCACAATTGGATACCATGTCAAAGTTTCTTAGCCTATGCATGGCATAACTAAGAGAGGGAGGTGCTAGATGAGTTTCTGTTTTCTTTACCATTGAGCATCTATTCTGCAGATGAGATATTTTGTTTGATGGTCATTAGAAAACTATGAGGTGGAATAGAAAACGTATGTTGTAATCAGTAGCAAAGGAGCAGCAACTACATATGAAGCATTGAAGGATTTTGAATTAAAGAAGTTGTGCCTGATTATCAATCTAATATCACTATTTATAGAAAATAGTATGTCTCCAGATCTTGGTTTAATATTCAAGAAATAGTAAAAACTATGAATATTAATAAATTATGGCTATTGATTTTAACTCTTAACAGAATACTGTAAAAAAGTATATGTAGCAGTTTCAAAACTCTACGTTTTCACACTTCTGTTATGGAATAAGATGCTTAAGTGAACCTTGAAGATGAAAGATGGGATTTAAAAATCACATTTCTTCATTACAATGATGATGCCAGTAGAGACTGTTTCTATCATTTCAGATGGTTTGCTCAAGTGGCAGATTTCAGTGATTTATTCAGTTTTGAGTGCATGCACCTATCCCTTCAAGGAAGCATTGTCATTATTTTTTTATTGTTGGAGACAAGACACCAGGATTTTTTAAGAACAAATTGTGGTACAAACACCTCAGTCTTTGCAAGTTGAATTCATTTCAAATGCTTTGTGTTTCCCTCACTCCCGCTCAACTGTGAAAGAAATCATTGACATGTTTTTTGGTATGATTAAACACCCATCCAAAAACTGCAACAGCAAAAGAAAAAGTACTTTCCAGAGCTGAAGACAACCAGAGGTGATTAGGATTCCATTCACTTTGATCCTTCAAGTTCCAACATTTGAGTGTGTTATGTGGTATGATTATTATCTTCAGTGTCAGATAATGAGCTGGCATGGTCTTCGTAATCTGGATCTACATTTGACCCAGATGTCGTTCTGTACCTTACTTCATTTATGATATTAGTTTATATTATTAGTATATTACAAAACAATCTCTCTCATTAACATGTAATTATTATTACCACTAAATAATAAATGCTATTGCATTCTTTCATTTTCTATGTAAGGCAGTGCACATGTCTGAAAATCTGTTAATTGATATACAGATGCCATAATTTGAAAAAATATTGGTCTAATTCTTATATGATAGAAGGAATTAAAGTGTGTCCTATGAAAAGCAGACAAAAATAAAAATACAAGTGAAGCATTTTCAAACTAATATAAACAAATGGGAAATCTAGAGAAATACCTAAGTGTGTCAAGTGAACTAAACTAATGTTTTAAAGAACCAAGTTTCTTTCTTTTTGAGACAGACTCTCACTCTATTGCCAAGGCTGGAGTGCAGTGATGCTATCTCAGCTCACTGCAACCTCCGCCTCCCGAGTTCAAGGGATTCTTATGCCTCAGCCACCGGAGTAGTTGGGATTACAGGCACATGCCACCATGCCCAGCTAATTTTTGTATTTTTAGTGGGGACGGCATTTCACCATGTTGGCCAGGCTGGTCTTAAAGAATCAAGTTTCTAAATGGTCATTTCTATAGACTGAATGTTTGTGTCCCCGCAAATTAAATTCTACAGCCTAAATCCCCAATATGAGGGCATTTGGAGGTGGAAATTTTAGAAGTAATTAGGCCATGAGTGGGGAGCCCTCATGAATGTTATTAGTGCCCTTATGAAGGAATATAGAGACCAGAGCTCACACTCTCTCCACCGTGTGAGGCTACAACAAAAAAACGAACATTTGTAAACCAGGAAGATGGCCTTCACCAAGGACCCAATCCTGCTGGCACCCTGATCTCAGACTTCCAACCTTCAGAACTGGAAGAAGTAAATGTTCATTGTTTCAGTCACCTAGTCTATGAGATTCTGTTATAGCAGCCCAAACTGACTGAGACAGTTATTTAATCAAGTGATTTTCAAATTTTTTGACCACCTTCCTCAGTAAGAAATACATTTATCTCATCAATCCAATACACATAAACATACCTGTTAGTCATCTTTGGCCAAGTTATGTTATGGTAACAAACAACTGAAAATCTCAGGGGTATCAAAACAAAGGTTAATTCCTCATTATGTACATGCAGGCTGTTCATCAGTGGTGGCTCTGATCTAGGCTGTAACTCTCTCTTCTAGTCTGTAGAAGGGCCACAACACTGTTCCAAGTTGTTTGTCATTCCAGAACTCTGCGTAAGGCAGCAACCCCATCCTAAGATGAGCTTCTGGCGAAGGGAAAGAGTAAAGCACTGAGCCAACCTATATAATTGCTCTAAACACTACTGCTCAGGCTTGGTATATGTCACATGCTTACACTCCATTGACTCTAGTGAGTCTCAAATGTCAATATGGTGGGGAAGCACACCACGGTCACAGGAACCCTGCAAGTGAGCTAGCAACAGAGTACAATGACTGGCATAATTCTCCAACAAGGAAGGGCAGGTGGCCCAGGGGGTGAATAATTGTGGGAAATAATACTGTCTATCACATGCATATGTGCACATGAGTACAGAATGTATGTATTTAAACCAACATATCACAATACAGTAATTACCCTTACAATTTTTGATGCATTATATTTCCTATTCTACTGTGTTTTACTTTTTTTAAAAGTTGCAACCCACTGAACTGAATATGTGACCCTCTGACGGCGTTTTGAAAAGCACTGATGTAATGGCCTATGCAAGTTTTTGCAGTTTCTAAAGTGTCCCAGTGAGAAAGTGAATGGATCCTTGCTAATTGGTTTTCTTACCGTTGAATGAGACAGGCTCATCTTTGCTTCTGAATTTAAGGATGTGTATTAGTCTATTCTTGCACTGCTATAAAGAAATAACTGGGAGTGGGTAATTTATAAAGAAAAGAGTGGCTCATGGTTATGCAGGCTGTACAGGAGGAATAGTAGCTTCTGCTTCTGGGGAGGCCTCAGGAAGTTTCCAATCATGGTGGAAAAGGGGGCACGAGATGTCCCATATGGTAGGAGCAGAAGCAAGAGAAAGATGGGGGAGGTGCTACCCCCTTTTTTTCAGTGCATAATGTGATTTTTTTTATTTCTTCTACAAAAAAAAAAAAACAGGATACATGTGCAGAACATGCAGGTTTGTTACACAGGTATAAGGTGGTTTTCTGCACCTGTTAACCTATTAACCATGGTGGTTTTCTGCACCTATTAACCCATCCTTTAAGTTCCCTTCTCTCACTTCCTACCCCCTAACAGGCCCTGGTGTGTGTTGTTCCCCTCTCTGTGTGCTACACACTTTTAAAGAACCAGATCTCACAAGAATTCACTCATCATTGCAAGGACAGTATAAAATGGGATGGTGCTAAGCCATGAGAAACCATCCCCATGAACCAGTCACCTCCCACCAGGCCCCACCTCCAACACTGGGGATTAAAATTCAACATGAAATTTGAGTGGGCACACAGATCCAAACCATATCAGGATGTGTGACTGACAGGGTAGAACACTAGAGTCAGAAGTTGAACAGTTTGGTTAGGACTCAGCCACTGGTTGGCTGTGTGATTCACTCACACTTTCTAAGCCTTTTTCCCATCTGTGAAAAGGGGATAATGACATTTGCCTATCCTACCTCAAGTGATAAATGAAACTTAAATGCTGCTTGGTACTGTTCTGAGCACTTTACATCTACTAACTTATTCAACCCATGCATCAACCCAGTAGATATTAAGTGTTACTAATATCCTTGTTTTGCAGAAGAGGAAACTGAGGCACAGAAAGGTTAGTGATTTATAAATGGTAGATTCAAGATGCAAAGCCATGCTGTCTGGTTTCACAGTCCATGTTCTCAAACATTATGCTATTTGGCCTCTGTCATGGAAATATTTGAGGTATGTGAAACCACCCCCTTTAAAATTGAGCATTATCATTATGCTTGTTATTCATTCTCTGGGAAACTAATGGGCTGTTTTTGACTTTTCAGTGTGTTCCTAGCGAAACTTGCACATCCACTAACGGTGAAATTGGCCACAGCTCTGATGGGCAGATGTCTTGGTCTCAAGACATAACAGATCCATAACAGATGTAGCTTCCTATTTTGTTTCAGCATATCCCTTGACTGGTTGACCCTTCTCTCCCAAGGTAGAGCAAGACCAGTAGATTAGGCCCAGAGAACATGACTGTGCATTCACCTACTAACAATTAACAACCAGAATCATTGCACATGGACCCCAAACATTAGCTTATTAAAATTCAACCCCATTCAGCTTTGGTATATTAATTTTACTAGAGCATACAAGTAAATGAGGTCCACCATTTATCCTGTAGGTTTGTATTCCGGATCTCCCCAGTGTAATCACTTTCTGGATTGCTCTTTAAAAGACTTGTTTACAATGACATCCAATCTTGCCATAATGAGATCATTTCTCCAGGAAAAACACCAAATCTGTGTTAAATTTATTTCTATTTTTTTAAAGACTCAATTTTGACAAGTTCAAAATAAAGTATTTGAGAAAGTACTCTGTAATGAGAAAACATATAAAGACTTGCATATGAAGAAACTCTGTTTTCTGAATAACTATTTAGGGAAGAATACTGCTTTGTATCCATATATGATTTCCACTTTATAGATTCTATCATATAACTAAAGGTCTTTATCTCAAAGCTAGATATGTGTTTTGGGACCCATTTATGACCAAATGTGTCAATGTCTGACCACCTAATGGAAGAATACTTTGCAATGATGTGTAAAAATCTGCTTTTGTAAAAAAACTGGATATAGTAAAGTATTTAGTGTTTACCAAGGCTATCAAAATATTTGTGCTGTCACTTGGCATTGGTATTTTGCCTAGAAAATTCATGACCTAACAAAATCTCACATCACTTGGTATTGAAAATAAATTTTTATCTTGAAAATCAGCCTTGAGATATAATTTCAATATATTAAAAGTCCTTAATTTTAAATGAACAAATGATGTTTTGACAATGTATACTGTAACATGACCACCACAGAATCATGACGTAGAATAATTCCATAAACTTGAAAATTCTTCTTGGGCCTTTCTGCAGTCCATCCCTCTCCCCAGTCCTGGTCTGATGTGGTTTGGATATGGGGGCAGTTTCCCCCATACTGTTCTCGTGGCAGTAAATAAGTCTCACGAGATCTGATGATTTTATAAATGGGAGTTCCCCTGCGAAGACTCTCTTGCCTGCCATCATGTAAGACCTGAATTTGCTTCTCCTTGGCCTTCCACCGTGATTGTAAGGCCTCCCCAGCCATATGGGACTGTGACTCAGTTAAACCTCTTTTCTTTATAAATTACCGAGTCTCGGATACGTCTTTAATAGCACCATGAGAATTAGACTAATACATGGTCCATGATGATGTCTGATCTACTTAATTATTGTCATTATAATATCGCCTCTTCTAGAATTTCGTATAAATGGAAACATACAGTAGGTATTCTTTTAATAAAATTGTAACAGCTTCATTGAACTATAATTCACATACTATACAATTCACCGTTTAAAGTGTGCAATTCAATGGTTTTTAGTATATTCAGTGATATGTGCAACAATCACCTCAGTCAATTTTAGAACATTTTCATTACCTCAAAAATAAATCTCATACCTTTTAGATAACATTCCCCTACCTCCCTATCCCCACGGTCCTGAGCAATCACTAATCTACTTTCTGTATAGATTTTCCTGTTCTGGACATTTCATATGAATGGAAGCATATAACATGTTGTCTTTTGTGCCTGTCTTTTTTTCAGTTAGCATAATGTTTTCAAGGCTCATTCATGTTGTAGCATGGGTCAGCACTTCATTCCTTTCTATGGCTGAATAACATTCCATTACATATATATATAGTACATTTGGTTGATATTAAATACATTCATCAGTTGATAGACATTTGAGCTGTTTCTACCTTTTGGCTGTTATGAATATATTACCATGAACATTTGTGTAAAAGTATGGACATATATTTTTGTTTCTCCTAGATGAAGTAGAATTTCTGGGTCATAGGGTAACTCTATTTTTAATTATTTGATAAACTACTAGGCTGTTTTCCTAAGCATTGGCATCATTTTACATTCCAACCTGTGGTGTATGAGGGTTCTGATTTCTCCACGTTCTTGCTAACACCTATTATTATCTGACTTTTTGATTCTACTCATTTTCTTTGGTTTTATCTCATTGCGGTTTTGATTTGCATTTTTCTGATCACTAAGGATGTTGAGCAACTTTTTACATGCTTTCTGACCATTTGTATCTTTTTTACAGAAATGTCTGTTCATATCCCTTGCCCATTTAAAAATTATTAGTATTTTTTATTGAATTGTAAGTGTTTGTTTTGTATACTAGATACAAGTTCCTTGTATTAGATTAGATGCAAATTCCTAGATGCAAATGAGATACACGATTTTCAAAATTTTTCTCCCATTCTGTGGATTATTTTTTTTCACTTCCTTGATGGCATCCTTTGAAACAAATTTTGAATTTTGATGAAGTCATTTTACCTATTTTTTTATTTGTTGCTCATGCTTTTAGTGTCATTTCTACGAGGTGCACATGCATGTAGTGTCATTTATACGAATCCTTTGCTAAATCCAGGTGATAGTTTTACCTATATTTTCCTCTGAGCATTTTATAATTTTAGCTCTTACATTTAGTGCTTTGATCTGTTTTGAGTTAATTTTGTGTAAGGAAAGTTTGCATAGGGTCTAATTTCATTCTTTTGCATGAAGTGGCGCAGTTGTCTCAGCACCATTTGTTTTAAAGACTATTCTTTCCATATTGAATAGTCTTGACATCATTGTCTAAAAACAGTTAACTAGAAATGTAGGCTTTATTTCTGTACTCTCAATTCTATTCCATAAATCTACATGTCTATCCTTATGCCAGTACCACACTGTCCTCATTACTGTTGATTTGTAGTAAGGATTGAAATTGGGAGTGTGTCCTCCAACTTTGTTCTTTTTTAAGATTGTTTTGGCTATTCTCTTTCCTGTTCAATTCCATATGAATTTAGAGTAAGCTTGCCAATTTCTACAAAGTCAGCTGAGATTTTGATGAGAAGTAAGATAAATCTGTTGATTAGTTTGGCAAGTATTGCTATCTTAACAATGTTACATCTTCCCATCTAAAATGGAATGTTTTCTCAGCTATTTGATCTTATTTAATTTCTTTCAACAATTTTTGTAGTTTTCAGAGTATATGTTTTGCACTGCTTTTTCAAATTTATTCCTAAATATTTTCAATGTTATTGTAAATGGAATTGTTTTCTTAATTTTATTTTCAGTTAGTTCATTGCAATTGAATAGAAATACATTGATTTTTATGTAATGGTCTTGTATCCTGCAACCTTGCTGAACTCTTTTATTAGATCTAATATTTTTTAATGGATTTCTTAGGATTTTCTACATACAAGATCATATCTTCTACAAATATAGATTGCTTTACTTCTTCCTTTCCAATCCAGATACATTTTATTTTTAATTTTTCCTTCCTTCCTTCTTTCCTTCCTCCCTTCTTTCCTTCCTCCCTTCCTTCCTTCCTTCCTTCTCTCTCTTTCCTTCTCTCTCTCTTTCTTTCTTTTTTGCCTAATTTTCCTTACTAGTCCCTTCAGTATAATGTTGAATAGAAGTGAGAATGGATATCTTTGTCTTGTTCCTGCTCTTAGGAGGAAGTATTTAGTTTTGTACCATTAGGCATAGATTTGTTGTGGGTTTTTTATAAATGTCTTTTATCTGGTTGAAGAAGTTCATGTCTATTCCTAGATTTTTGGGTGTTTTTTTTTTAATCATAAAAGGGTTTTGGATTGTGTCAAATGCTTTTTCTGCATTACTGATATGATCGTGTAATTTTTAAAACTTCCGTTGATCCTATTATATTAATTGATTTTCTGATATTAAACCAACCTTGCATTCTTAGAATAAACCTCAGTTAATTTGGATATATAATTTATATAAATCATAAATATATATATACTGCTGGGTTCAGTTCACTGGTAATTTGTTAAAGATTTTGCATCCATGTCTATAAAGATATTGGTCTATAGTTTTCTTTTCTTGTGATGTCTTGTCTGTTTTTGGTATCAGGATAATAACTGGCCTCATAAAGCAATTTGAAAGGTGTTCACTCCTTTTCAATTTTTTGGAAGAGTTTTCGAAGAATTGGCATTCTTCTTTGAATGTTTGGTAGAAGTCAGCAGTGAGATAATCTGGGTCTGGTCTTTTCTTTGTGGGTAGTCTTTTAATTAGTAATTCAACCTTCCTACTTGTTACAGGTCTAGTAAAATGGCTTACTTCTTTTCAAGCCAGTTTTGATAGTTTGTGTCTTTGTAGAAATTTGTCCATTTCATCTAAATTTTCCAATTTTTGGCTTACAATTGTTTATGGAATTCCTTTATAATCATTTATATTTCTGTAAGGTTGTGGTAATGTTTCATCTTTTATTTCTGATTCTGGCAATTCGAATCTCCTCTCTTTTTATAATGGTCAATCTAACTAAGGGTTTGTCAATTTGGTTGACTTTGTCAAAGAAACTTTTTTTTGTTTGTTTTTATTGGTCTTCTCTATTACGTTTCTATTCTGTATTTCTACCCTAATCTTTGTTATTTCCTTTCTTCTGCTTGCTTTAGGTTTGTCTTGCTCTTCTTTTTTCAGTATCGTAAAATGGAAGGTTGGGTTATTGATTTGAGATCTTCTTTCCTAATGTAGAAATTTATAACTATGCATTTTCCTCTAAGCATTTTATTGGCAGCATTCTACTAGTGTTGATATGTAGTATTTTCATTTTAATTTATTTCAAAATATCTTATGGTTTCCTTTTTGATTTCTTTTTTGCTCCACAGGTTATTTGGGAGTGTGTTATTTAACTTTCACAAATTTAGGGATTTTTCTTGCTATCAATCTCTAGTTTTATTTCATTGTGGTTGGAGAATATTTTTGTGATACTTTTATTTTAAAACATTTATTTAGGTTTGTTGTATGGTGTATTAGGCCATTCTCGTATTCCTGTAAACAAATACCTGAGACTGGGTAATTAATAAGAAAATAGGTTTAATTGGCTTCTAGTTCTGCAGGCTGTACAGGAAGCATAGAACTAGCAGCTGCTTCTGGGGAGGCTTCAGGAATCTTACAATCATGGTGGAAGGTGATGGGGGAGCAGGCATCTCATATGGCAGGAACAAAAGTGAGAGAGAGTGTGTGTGGAGTGGAGAGGTGCCACACACTTTTAAATGACCAGATCTCATGTAAACTCAGAACGAGAGCTCATATATCACTAAGGGGATGGCCCAACCCATCTATGAGGGATCTGCCCTCATGATCCAATCACTTTCCACCAGGTCCCACCTCCACGATTGAGGATTATATTTCAGCATGAGATTTGGGCAGGGACAAATATCCAAACTATACCATATGACATGGCACATGGCCTATCCTGGAAGTAGGTACTCATTTGTAACTCTATTTAATATAATGCTTTGAGATTCATCCATGGCATTGCAAGCATCAGTAGTTCATTTTAATTGCTGAATAATACTTTATTGTATGGGTGTGGATATTCCACTACTGTTCATCTGTAATCTAGTTGATGGATATTTGGTTTGTATTGAGTTTTTTACTATTATGAATGCATCTGATATCAGCATTTACATGTAAGACTTTGTGTGTGTGTGTGTGTGTATATATATATATATATATATATTCTCTATATGTAACGTACATATATATATTAACATAGATGTTCATAGTAGTTTTATTTTTTCTTTGGTAACAGCCATAAACTAGAAACAACTCAAGTATTCCTCCACAGGTTAATGTTATAGTTGTATATTCATACCATGGAATACTGTGCAGCAACAAAAAGAAAAAAAATATTGATGCAACAACTAGAATGGATCTCAGGGGGAAAAAAGCCCATCTCAGAAGGTTACATACTATGTAATTCCATTTATAAAATTTTCTTGATATAACAAAATTATAAAGATGGAGAACAGATTGGTGGCTACTAGGAATTAGAGATGGTGGTGGGTGGTGTGCCTATAAAAGGATAGCGTCAAGGAGCCTTGTGGTGATGGAACTCTTCATGTGTGGTAGTAGTTATACAAATCTACACACGGATAAAATTGCATAGAAACTACACATATACAAATAAATATGCAAAATGATGAAATCTAAATAAGCTCTGTGGACTGTACCAATGTCAATTTCCTGGTTTAGATATTGTACTGTTTTTAAGCAAGATGTTCATGTTGGTGGAAACTGGGTGAAGAATACATGGGATCTACCTCTGCAGTTTTTTTCGCAACTCTTGTGAATCTATAATTATTTCAAAATGAAAAGTTTGAAACACAGATATGTATTGTTAATTGCCTGGAAGATACACATCCCAATGTGGATGTTCTTGATTTATTGTGTAGTGTGTTTTTGCTTTATTTTTAGCAATAATGCCTGATTAAGTTCTGGGAAAGAAGGTTGTATGACAGAAACACACTGTATTTTTCGGTGTCCAAATGCATACTAACAAGTATTAGTCTCATACTCATAATTCTTATTTTTTAAAAATAAAAAAGGGCTGGGCGCGGTGGCTCAAGCCTGTAATCCCAGCACTTTGGTAGGCCGAGGCAGGCGGATCACGAGGTCAGGAGATCGAGACCATCCTGGCTAACACAGTGAAACCCCGTCTCTACTAAAAATACAAAAAATTAGCCAGGCATGGCGGCGGGCGCCTGTAGTCCCAGCTACTTGGGAGGCTGAGGCAGGAGAATGGCGTGAACCCGGGAGGCGGAGCTTGCAGTGAGCGGAGATCGCGTCACTGCACTCCAGCCTGGGCGACAGAGCGAGACTCCGTCTCAAAAAAAAAAATAAAAATAAAAATAAAGTAAAATAAAATAAAAAAGTTTAAACCAGCTAATCAGCTAAACATTATATCCACTGAGGTGAGAGCATTTAACATTCACCATGTTAAAATTATGTACTTGTATTTATTTTAGAGCAATGGTTCTTAACGTTTTCTGATTCATAATACCTTAAAATCTAAGTAAGGCTATGCATACTTCTTAGAATTGTGTTCTTTTTTTTTTTAACTTTGATTTTAGAATCAGGGGGTACATGTGCGGGTTTGTTACAAAAGTATATTGCATGATGCTGAGATTTGGGGTATGATCGAACCCATCACCCAGGTAGTGAGCATAGTACACAATAGGTAGTTTTTCAGCAATCGTCTCCACTTCTTCTCTCCCCAACCTAGTAGTCCCCAGTGTCTATTGTTCCCATCTTTATGTCCATGTCTACCCTATGTTTAGCCCCCACTTATAAGTGAGAATATGTGGTATTTGGTTTTCTGTTCTTGTGTTAATTCGCTTAGGAAAACAGCTTCCAGCTGCATTCATGTTGCTACAAAGAACATGATTTTTTTCTTTTATATAGTGGCATAGTGTTCCATAGCATACATGTACCACATTTTCTTTATCCAATCTACCATTGATTGGCACCTGGGTTGATTCCATGTTTTTGCTATTGTGAATACTGCTGGAATGAACATATGAGTACATGTGTCTTTTGGGTAGAATGATTTCTTTTCCTTTGGGCGTATACCCAGTAATGGGATTGCTGGGTTGAATGGTAGTTCAACTCTTAGTTCTTTGAGGAATCTCCAAACTCTTCTCCATAATGGCTAGACTAACTTACCTTCCCACCAACCATTTTTGTGTCTGTTTTCTCAGCAGTCTTGCCAATATCTGTTTCTTTGTTTTTTGTTGTTATTGTCTATTTGTTTGTTTGTTTGCTTGCTTGCTTTTTAACATACCCATCCTGACTGGTGGGAGATAGTATCTCATTGTGGTTTTAATTTGCACTTCTCTGATGATTAGTGATGATGAGCACTTTTGCATATGATTTTGGCCACATATATGTCTTTTTTTGAGAAGTATCTGTTCATGTCCTTCGCCTACTTTTTAATGGGGTTATTTGTTTTTTGCTTATATATTTGTTTAATTTCCTTGTAAATTGTTGATATTAAAACTTGGTCAGATGCATAGTTTGTGAATATTTTCTTTCATTCTGTAGGTTGTCTGTTTACTCCCTTGATCTTTGTTGTTGTTGTTGTTGTTGTTGTTGTTGTTGTGCAGAAGCTCTTTAGTTTAATTAGGTCCCTCTTGGTAAATTTTATTTGTGTTGCAATTGCTTTTGAGGACTTAGCCATAAATTATTTGTGAATGCTGACATAGAGAAGGGTATTTCCTAGGTTTTCTTCTAGGATTGTTATAGTTTGAGGTCCTACATTTAAGTCTTTAATGCATCTTGCATTATTTTTTGCATGCAGCAATAGGTAGGGCTCCAGTTTCATTCTCCTGCAAATGTACAGCCAGTTGTCCCAACACTATTTACTGAATAGGGGAGTCTTTTCCCTATTGCTTATTTTTGTTGAGTTTGCTAGAGGTCAGTTTGTTGTAGGTGTGTGGTTTTATTTCTGGGTTTTCTATTCTCTTCCATTGGTCTATGTGTCTGTTTTTGTACCAGTACCATGCTGTTTTGTACACTGTAGCCTGGTAGTATAGTTTGAAGATAGGTAATGTGATTCCTCCAGCTTTGTTCTTTTTGCTTAGGATTGCTTTGTTTATTCAGGCTCTTTTTTGGTTCCATATGAATTTTAGAATAGTTTTTTCTATTTCTGTGAAAAAAATGACATTGGTACTTTGATAGGAATAGCATTGAATCTGTAAACTGCTTTGGGCACTATAGCCATTTTAGTGATATAGATTCTTCTAACCCATGAGCATGAAATATTTTTCTATTTTTGGCATCATCTTTGATTTCTTTCAGCAGCATATGTAGTTCTCCTTGTAGAGATCTTTCATTTCTTTGGTTAAATATATCCTGAGGCATTTTATTTCTTCTTTTGGCTATTGTAAATGGGATTGCGTTCTTGATTTGACTCTCAGCTTTATGCTATTGGCGTATATAAATGCTACTGATTTTTGCACGTCGATTTTGTATCATGAAACATTACTGAAGTCATTTATCAGTTATAGGAGCATTTTGGCAGAGTTTTTAGGGTTTTCTAGGTATAGAATGATCTCAGCAGTGAAGAAAGATAATTTGACTTTCTCTTTATTTGGATACCTTTAATTTCTTTCTCTTGCCTGATCACTCTGGCTAGGTCTTCAAGTACTATATGGAATAGGAGTGATGAGAGTGGTCATCCCTGTGTTCTTCTAGTTCTTAGGGGGAATGCTTCCAACTTTTGCCCATTCAGTATGATGTTGGCTGTGGTCTATTATAGATGGATCTTATTATTTTGAGATATGTTCCTTTGATGCCTAGTTTGTTGGGTGGTTTTATTAAGAAGGGATGTTGGATTTTACCAATGCTTTTTCTGCCTCTATTGAGATGATCATATATGGTTTTTGTTTTTAATTATTTATGTGATGAATCACATTTATTAATATCCATATGCTGAACTATCCTTGCATTCCAGGAATAAAGCTCACTTAATTGTGGTGGATTACCTTTGTGATGTGCTGCTGGATTCAGTTTACTATTATTTTGTTGCAAATTTTTGTGTCTATGTTTATCAGGGATATTGGCCTGTAGTTGTCGTTTTTATTGTGCCCTTGCCAGATTTTGGTGTCAGGATGATAATGGATTTGTAGAATGGGTTATGGAGGAATCCCTTCATCCTGATTTTTTTGGGATAGTTTCAGTAGGATTGATACCAGCTCTTCTTTGTATGTGTGGTAGAATTTGGCTTTGAATCCATCTGGTTCAGGGCTTTCTTTTTGCTTGATAGATTTTCTAAATTACTAATTCAATTTTATAAGTCATTATTAGTCTCTTCAGGATTTGTGTTTCTTCCTGTTTCAACCTTCAGAGGTTGTGTGTTTCCAGAAATGTGTCCATTTTCTTTAGGTTTTCTAGTTTGTGCGCTTAGAGATGTTCATAGGAGTCTCTGAGGATCTTTTGTATTTCAGTGGAATCAGTTGTAATTCACCTTTGTCATTTCTGATTATGCTTATTTGGATCTTCTCTCCCTCCTTTCTTTGTTAATTGAGCTAGTGGTCTATCAATCTTGTTTATCCTTTCAAAAACGATTTTTTGTTTCAATGATCCTTAGTAGTTTATTTTGTCTCAATTTCATTTAGTTCTCCTCGATTGTAGTTATTTCTTTTCTTCTGCTAGTTTTGGGTCTAGTTTGTTCTTGATTTTCTAGGTCTTTTAGGTGTGACATTACCTTGTTAATTTGGGAATTTTCTATCTTTTTGATATATGTGTTTAGTGCTATAAACTTTCCTCTTAATGTTGCTTTCACCACATCTCATAGGTTTTGGTATGTTGTGTCTCTATTTTCACTTGTTTCAAAATTTCTTTTGATTTCGGTCTTAATTTCATTGTTTACACAAAAGTCATTCAGGAACAAATTGTTTAGTTTCCATATGTTTGTGTGGTTTTTGAGAGGTCCTTTTCAAATTAATTTCTATTTCTGTGTCACTGTGGTCTGAGAAAATGCTTGGTATGATTTCATTTCTTTTTTAATTTAAGAAGACTTGTTTTATGCCAGAGCATGTGGTAGAACTTAGAGTCTGTTCCATGGGCAGATGAGAAGAATGTGTATTCTATGGTTGTTGGGTAGAGTATTCTGTAGCTGTCTATTAGGTCAAATTGGCTAAGTGTCGAATATAAGTGCAGAATTTCTTTGTTAATTTTCTGCCTCAATTATCTGTCTAATGCTGTCAATGGGGTGTTGCAGTCCCCCACTGTTATTGTGTGGCCATCTATCTCTTTTCTTAGATAGACACTACCAGACTAGTATCTAGTAGTCTAATTGTTTTATAAGTCTGAGTTTTCTAATGTTGGTTGTATATATATTTATGATAGTTAAATCTTCTTGTTGAATTAAACCCTCATCATTATGTAATAATCTTTGTCTTTTCTTACTGTTTTTGGTTTAAAGTCTGTTTTATCTGATACAAGAATAATGACCTCTGCTCTTTTCTGCTTTTTATTGTTGCATGAATGAATCTTCCTTAGTCCCTTTACTTTGAGCCTATGGGTGTTATTTACATGTAAGGTGGGTCTCTTGAAAATAGCAGATGAATGAATTTTTTTTTTATTCAATTTGCCACTTTATTTCTTTTCTTTTATTGAAACTGAGTCTCACTCTGTTGCCAGGCTGGAGTGCAGTGGCACGATCTCGGGTCACTGCAACCTCTGACTCCCTGGTTCAAGTGATTATCCTGCCTCAGCCTCCCAAGTAGCTGGGATTACAGGCACATGCCACCACGCCCAGCTAATTTTTGTATTTTTAATAGAGATGGGGTTTCACCATGTTGGCCAGGATGGTCTCAATCTCCTGACTTCATGATCTACCTGCCTCGGCCTCCTCAAGTGCTGGGATTACAGGTGTGAGCCACTGTGCTCTGCCCACTTTATGTCTTTTAAGTGGAGCATTTAGGCTGTTTACTTTCAAAGTTAATATTGATATATGAGGTTTCATTCTTGTCATAATGTTAGTTAGTTGCTTTGCAATCTTGATTGTGTAGTTACTTTACAGGGTCTGTGGGCTTTGTACTTACATATGCTTTTGTGGTAGCAAGTATTGTTCCTTTGTTTCCATGTTTAGAACTTCCTTAAGCATTTCTTCTTACATCAGTCTGATGGTGATTAATTCCCTCAGTGTTTGCTTCTCTGGGAAGGACTTTATTTCTACTTTGTTTATAAAGCTTAGTTTGGCATTTCTTGGCTGGCATTTCTTTTCTTTAAGAAGACTAAAACTAGGCCCCCAATCTCTTCTGGCTTGTAAGGTTTCTGCTGAGAAGTCTGCTGTTAGTCTGATGGAATTCCCTTTGTAATTAACTGGACCCTTTCCTCTCCTTACCTTCAAGATATTCTTTCATGTTGACTTTGGGTATTCTGTTGACTATATGCCTTGAGGATGGTCGTCTTATGTAGTATCTCACAGGAGTTCTATGAATTTTTTGTATCTGTATGCCAATGTCTCTTGCAATATTGGGGAAATTTTCTTGAGTTATACCCTCAATTCGTTTTCCAAGTTACTCACTTTCTCTTCTTCTCTCTCAGGAATGCCAATAAATCATAGGTTTGGTCATTTTACAGAATCTCATATTTCCCAAAGGTATTGGTTATTATTTTAATTCTTTTTTATTTTTTTCTGACTGGGTAAATTTGAAAGACCAGTCTTCAAGCTCTGAAATTATTTCTTCTGCTTATTCTTGTCTGTTGTTAAGACTTCCAAGTATACTTTGACATTATTTTAGGAAATTTTTTAACTCCAGAATTTGTGGGTTTTTTTTTGTTGTTGTTGTTAATATAACTATGTTGTCTTTCAAATCTAAGATTTTTTTTCTGGCTTCTTTATATTGGATTTCAATTTTCTCTTGGATCTCATTGAGCTTCCTTGCCACTCATATTCTGAATTCTATGTATGTCATTTTAGATATGTTATTCTGGCTAGGATCCATTGTGAAGGAGCCAAAACATGCCGGCTTTTTGTATTGCCAGAGATCTTGTGCTGAATCCTTATCTGAGGGAAGTGATGCTTCTTTTCTTGAATATGCTATTGCTTGGATAGGGCTTTTAAATTTTTTATTCTTTTTTCCATCGAGGGTATGACCGTAGCATATGTTGTGTATGACTGATTGGTGTTATATCTGGATACTCTCAGAGGACCAGGGTTCTGTATGGGTTCCTTGGTTGCAAATAGGTTCATGCAGTTGCTTTTTCAGATGCTGTATGTCATAGCAATGTATTTTTGTTTGGTGGTATACTTCAGGCTGCAGTCCAGTAGATGGTACTTAAGTGTAGGAGCTGGTAGATAGGCTATAGGCTGTCAGCATGAATTCATCCCCACCTAGGGTAGAGCTACTTAAGTGCAGAAAGAACCCTCCTTAGTTTGTGCTTGCCTTCAGCAGGGATAAAGTCATTGGAGAAGTGGGGAAAGCAACCTTGCCCAGTGTGCACTCGTCATGCTCCATTGGAAATAACCATAGTCATGTCTGTAACAGTCCACTGGGGAAGGGGCAGGGGTGAGAGATGACCCCTCTCCCCGTCTGTTCCCAGCCTTTGGTGGTGCCCCCTTCAGTGGTTGGCACTTGCACTTGTGTTTCCTTTGTCCTGGGGGAGGCTTTGGCAGTCTGTGCTCTCCACTTCCCTGGGGTGGTATGCACTGAGGGTTAGTTCTCCAAGAAACCCACAACTTCCTGGAGATCTGCCAGTTCCTTGTGCTTGCCAAAGTCAGAGTGAGTTATGGGGATTATCTGTGGGAGGTCTCGTAGTATTGCAGTTCAAGAGTGGAGCTCCAGGTAAGACAGTGGTGCCACAGGTGCACAACTATTATGGTGTCCACTGTCTTGACCAGGGTGTGAGAGGGTGTTGCATGGCTGTGCAAACTGGCCACCCAGTTCTCTATTCTAAGGAAGATCTCTAATTGCCATTGACACTGACAGCGTTGTTGTTGGTCGTAGGGACAGAGGGGCTCCCCATCAGTTTTGCAGTCAGCAGATTGTCAGAGGGGTAAGCACTCCCATCCATCCTTTTTGCTGGGCTCTGGCTGAGGGGTCAATCTCATCCAGACTTTTGCTACTTTTTTTTCTGAGCTCCCCAGCTTCTTCATGTGGGCACTCTGACAGGTTCTGGCTATCCTCCCTCCATTTTCCACTCAAAATGATTATTTGCCAGTAACTTTGATCTTTCTTCAAAGAATAACTGGCATACAACATCCCTAGTCAGCCATGTGGCAGTCCAATATTCAGTGAGCAGATTTCCATGTGCACTTCAGGGGCTTAACTTCTGCAATAGCCCATGGCTTCAGAGTCTTCACCCTGAGATTGCTGGCTCCAGCAAGACACTCAGCTCCATTTGACAACTTGTGGACTGTAAGTGCCACAAATTCAAATGTCTATTATGAGAAGATTTTTAACTACAAATGTAAGTTTTTGAAATTGTTTTTGTTTTGGAATTGAAAATAAAATTATAGCTTTTATGGTACTGAAAGAACAAAGGTAGGTATTTTCTTAAACAAAGCAGTATTTTGTTTTTAAAATGAGTTTAACATCTGCATGTGAATATCAATAGATTATAAGACATTATATCAACTTTATATTTTTCATTCTGTACAAATATAAAGACTCACTTTTCCTTCTAGGGATGATATTTTAAAATCACTCTTCATATGTGAGTAATTATTCCTATACCTATCTGAGGTAATCTATACAGTTATAGATTACCTGGAAATGTATAAATTAAACTGAAAAGTGAGTTTCATTTTCCATTGATTTGTAACATAGTTTCATTTTCTATTCAGCTAATTTAGGAAATTTGTTCATTGTAATTGGACTGAGTGTGAATATATGGTTTAAGGCTTCTTTCAGTTTATGTAATGAGTCCTGCTAAATATTTCTGCATGTCATTTTGAGGATTGTTAAGTCAATTACATTCATTCTGTTCTCTCTGGAGTAGTAAGATGTGTGCTTTTCATCTTGCCTTTTCTACTGTATATAGAGAGCATATTAGTACTGCTGTCTCTGTAAAACAAATTGACTTTTCATGCTTAGACCTTTGCTTATTGCTGATTAACCCCATTTCCCCCTTTCTTTATCAGTTGTTCTGAATATTGTTTTTCTACTTTGAAATTTGTTCTTTCTTTATAATAGTAGGTCTTCAGAAAGAAAATCAAAGCAATTTGTTATTTAGTTTTTCAACTTGATGTCTGTGTAAAAGGTATCCACATATTCACTTCTTTTTTCTTTCCATTCAGTGAGAATTTTTGTTGCTCTCCCACAGAGTGTATTTTTGACTTTAATTAATAGTGAAATCCTTATTAGTAATTCTAGAAGATATTAGACTTTCATTCTACATTTCTCTAAAAAAACAACTCAATTAAAAGTATGTGAGATATTGCACATATTAATTAGCTCAATTTAGCCATTTTACAGTGTATACATATTTCAAAACATGTTGAACATGATCAATATATACAATTTTTATTTTTCAATTAAATATATATTTTTAAAAGAACAAATGATATTCTTGGAACCCAGATAAGATTAAAAATAGATACAACTCTGAGAAATGTTTTTGTTGACTGATACATAATCTTTATATTCAAGTCTGGTTTACAGAAGTATAATGTCCATAGAATAAAATTAAATCATCTGTAATGTAAAATATAAATTTTTACGTTGTGTTTTTATTCGATTTTATTCAAATTTAATGTCAATTTCAATGTGTTTTTAACAAATATAGTGCCGTAACAAACACTATAATCAAGATATAGAATAGCTATAGCATCTAAAAAGTTTCCCCATACCATTTTGTAATCAACCCTTCCCCACACCTCCAGCCACAGAAAACTACTAATCTCTTCTCTGCCTCTATCGTTCACCTTTTGTGATAATATCATGTAAATGGAATCATATAGTGCATGACCCTTTGAGTCTGGCTTCTTTTACTTAGCATAATTCATTTGAAAGTCATCCATGTTGTTGCATGTGTCAGTAATACATTTCTATTCATTGCTGGATGGTACTTCATTGCATGGGTGTACCACCATTTTAAAAATCTATTCATTAACTGAAGAATATTTTGATTGAGTGTATTATTGAATGATGTGGTAAATGTCTGTTTAGCTTTCTAAGAAATTACCAGACTGCTTTCCAAAGTAGCTGTGCCATTTTGCATTCCCATCAGCAGCATATAAGAGTTGCAGCTGCTCTGCATTCTCAAAAGCACTTGGTACTGTCAGAATTTTAAATTTTATTTTATTCATTTTTAGCAATTGTATAGTGGTATATCATGGGGTTTTAATTTGAATTTCCCCAATGAGTAATGATATTGAACATTTATTATCTGTATATTTGCCAGCTCAGGACTTGGTCTACTGCACCATACTGAACAGTAAAATAAAATAAAATATGATAAAATAAAATTATAACTACTTTCAGAGAAGGCTAGACCTCATCACATAGAGACAGCTATGTGGGTCATGGTACCAGTTAAACATCTGTATGTTTAAATAAGCAAAGGGTCCAGTGGATGTGGACCCAGCCTTAGCTAAACTGTCTGAATAGCACTTGTCTTAAGCTAGAATTCCTCAACAAACAGTGCTTGAGAAGGGTTTGCATGCAGTCATTCGCTTTTGGAAGTTAACTTCTAAAGAGATAGAATTAGAGGTTAGGGAAGATGAAACAAAGGTTCAAGAGTTATTGAGCTGATCACTTCTAGGGCAGCTGTACCTCAATTCTGGATCAAGGCATAGTTTCCCTGAAGCAACTATGATAACATTGCCTTTGATTTCCTTCTTGTTTTATTATTTTCTTCTATCTCTTCTCCCCTTACACCCATCATTCCTAATTTCCTTTCCATTCTCCAATTGTAACTGTCATAAACAACATACAGTCAAGAGTGAAGAATTACCTTTTGTCCAAAAAAGAGAAAGAGCCCATTTCTCCTAATATCATGATTCACAGGTCTGTAAGCACTATGAGAACTTAAAAAAAATGTTTTATGTTTTGTTTATATTCAGTCTTTGCACAGAATCTGGAATATAGTGATTGCTCTAAGACTGTACTTTGAATAAATAAATGAATGAATGATGTTTAGGCCATTCCAAGATCACCTGAAGATTCTTCCTTTTTTTTTCTATGCCTAAAGACAAAACTGTGGTGATAATTATGCCAAATCTTTTAAACACTCCTGAAGCTTCCTGAAAGATTGTTCTTGAGATTTTATTATCGTTGCTATTAGATGAAGTGAAAACTTTACAATTAGATTACTACTCCATGCAATACCTTCTCCAAGGCTCTCAAAAATGTCTTTTTAAAAATTATCAGAACAGAGCCTATGGAAATTTCTGTGTCCCATTTGCATTCGAAGCCTGTCTAATAAGCCAGTGTTCCTCTCTCTATAATTCAAGCTCCAAGACACTGGTTTTGCTCACCCAAGCCTGTGAACAATGATCTATCCACCCAAATTAGTAATATTAAGTCAAATTTATGCAGGTAGGCTTTCAGCATATTTCCCATTTGGAGCTGCATTCTTCTTCCATAGTCTGTTTATGAACAACAGCATTAGTTATAAATGTTTCCCAGTGAACCAGCACTCCAAATGATAGAAGTGAAACTTATTGTAGTTCTTACAAAACACTGACATGAATCCCACCAATCATGATGACATGAATCTGAGAAACTCCATTCGACTTCATGACTGGTGTTTTGTCATTTTAAAGTGAACTGGTGAGACTTGAAAGACTTCTTATCAGATAATTTTTTAAGAGTATGAGTGGAGTATTGTTGAGCAAACATATTTTTGACTGTCAAGCAGCAGAAGAACCAGTTTACTCCAAAGAATGCAGAAATGATCACTTTCTACCTTGAATAATAACAATGATAATTACCAATACTATTTGAAAAAGGAAAAGGGGACAGTAGAAATCATGTTTTGTATTATAAAATGCCTTTCCACTTTGTCATTTTTCCTTTTTTTTTTTTTTTTAGAGAGGGTCTCACTCTGTAGCCCAAGCTGGAGTGCAATGGCACAATCTCAGCTCACTGCAGCCTAGATTTCCTGGGTTCAAGCAATCCTCCCACTTCAGCCTCCCAAGTAGCTGGGACTACAGGCGCATGCCACCACACCCAGCTAATTTCAACGTTGTCATTTTTCTGATCCCATTATTTCACTTTTCTCTTCCTATTGGCATATAATCCTTTCGTTTGTGGCAATTGAATCATCTGAAATAGAAAATCTAGTTCACATATCATGATTATTGATGGATACAATAATGAAATGAAGGTGCCAATTTGCTAGTCTGTTGAGGACCCTTTCTCTCAAACACACACGCACCTGATCACTTGCTCATTCACACACACATAAACTACATTGATTATCATTCCTAACACTTGCATAATAACTTAGCTTGAAAAGCACTTCCACAACCCCTTGCATCTCATTTAGTTCCTGCCACACATCTGTAGATTAGCTCTCATGCCCGTATCAGCTAAGAAATTAATGCCTATGAAGATTCAGTGACTTGAACCCACATTGTCCTACTTTTGGCAGGATGCTCTTCTATTCTACTTGTGGGAATGATAAAATTATCTCCCTCAAAGGTTATTTTGTAGATTACATGAGAAGATACACATAGAGCATTTACCACATGGTCTGGCATATAGCAAGGACTGAGTAAACAGTAGCTAAATTTACGAATATCCTAGGGGAATGTACATCATACCACAACCCTTGTCTGTCCCTTTTAACAGCCTCCTGTGATAGAGACATCTTCATGTGAAATATTTCTCAAAAGGTCATTCTTCTTAATCATCTTTAAAATAGTGTTACTTTCTAAAACCACAAGAATACTGTACTTTTAACACAGAGAATTTTGTGTCATTTATACATAAAAAGACAAATTGGCTACATCTAGTTATTAATATAGAAATCCGTATTAAGAAATCAATATTGCATGGACTTTTATAAAGCTCACTGTACGAGGTCAGGAGATTGAGACCATCCTGGCTAACATGGTGAAACCCCATCTCTACTAAAAATACAAAAAATTAGCGAGGCGTGGTGGCACATGCCTGTAGTCCCAGCTAGTTGGGAGGCTGAGGCAGGAGAATCACTTGAACCAGAGAGGCGGAGGTTGTAGTGAGCTGAGATGGCGCCGCTGCACACCAGCCTGGGTGACAGAGTGAGATTCCATCTCAAAAAACAACAACAACAACAAACAAACAAAAAACTTCACTCTATTATATATCATATCTCCATTTGCATTTCTGACATTTGAGGTTTTATGTTTTTAATATAAGAAAATAGATCGTAATACCGGCCTTCCATCAGGTTCCTTAGGAAGGGGATTCTGAAGTAGATGCTTCTATGTAGAAAGTTTATTGGAGAGTGTCCTTGGGATCAACATCTGTGAGGGTCGAGGGAAGCAGGACTGGCCGATGGTAGATATTGCACCAGCAATGGTAGACAGATCCTCAGCCTGGACCTTGGATAATCATCAGGGTTGACCTACATGGACCTTTGTACACCCTCATCCACCAGTCTTTGCATGCTGACTCTCTGTGACTAAAGGCATGGCCTACAGAGCCCCTCAGCTGAGACTCCAGCCACGCACACTCCCAGCAACTGAGCTGATGGGGGGAATCCACTACAAAACAACATCAACTGCAGTATCCCTTCCTGTGTCTCTCCCATGTGCTTTTTCATTCTTGATGCTTTCTTGATCACATTCTAAGAGAGGTGGTGAGGAGAATGAAGCCTCTAATGCTTCTCTTTTGGATTTGTCAGTGTGATTTTTATTATCATTGGTTTTTGCCTCTTTACCTTTAAAGATACTAGGGTAAGGATTTTTTTTTAAATACTGAAATTGACTTGTTTCCAGTTCGGGGTAAGGCCAAGGATCCTGGCAGGAAACAAGTGGCACACTCAAATGGGGGTAACCAAGTATAATTTAGTGAAGGTACTATTTAAAAATGTATGGGCAAAGTTAAGGGAAACTGATGACGAATGATGAAACCCTGTGTGGGTAACAGTGAGAAACCACTGCTGTCTCAAAGCTTGAAGGGCAAGGACCAGGAAAGGGTACAGAAACTGGAGACAGCTGTAGTCTGACAAGAGCTGTGATCTTTGGAAAAGGAATGTAACCACTAGTGATGTAGCCATCCATCAAAGAGGGAGCTGACTCAATAAATGCCCTGACCTCACTCCTGCCGCCCTCTGATCTCCTGTTGGTGCTGCCCATTGGCTGAACATACCAGAGAGCAGCAGGTAAGGGAACCTGTGGAAACAGTCCATGTGGGCCAGCCTCCTGTGCACAGAGCAGGGGTGAGTAGATTTGGGGCAGCAAATGGAAGGTCTTCTTTTATGACCTTGTACAATTTCCAGTATCTTTAAAGTTTTTTAGCTTCATTTCAATTTTTTGAGCCATTTTCTATAGGGTCAACTCTAGTTCATATCATCCTTGACTGCTTCTATTCTTGCTTCCTATGAGCCTTTTCCCCACCCGGTAAACCAGAATGTTACTTTGGAAGCAAAAAGTACTTTTTCTGATACTTGCTGAAAAATTCCTCAATGTCTACCCACTGCTCTTAAATACCAAGACCAATCATTTTTCCCTGAACCCTAGGACTCCAGGTCTGACCCTGCTTGTGCCTACTCCCTGCTACATTCATGCCAGCCACCCCCTTGTTCTTTGTCTGTGCATACTGAACTTCCTTGAGGTCCTTGAACAATCTATGGTCACTTCAACTCTCCTACTCTTCGCTCTCCTTAGGACACACTGTGCCTAAGTAACCTCTCCTAGTCCTTCACATCCCAGGTCTGACATGTGCTTCTGCAGGGAAACCCCTGACCCTTTCTCTCCCACTCCCAGAATAGCTCAGGATATCCTGTCAAATGCTTCCATAGCAGCTTTTACTTCATAGCACTCCTCTAAATGTGCAATTTTGTAGAATAGCTTACTGTCCATTTCCCCTTAAGCTGTAAGTTTGATGATGGCAGAATCTAGCACAATGTCTTCTGGCACATGGTAGGTACTCAGGAAATATTTCTTGAATGACTGTTTGGATGAATGAGTGAATTGCACTGGGTGGGAAACTTGCCACACTAGACTGCTCACTTGCTTAAAGGGGCAACTGGAGATAGTCCCTGAAGATTGCAGGCTCAGCCATGCCAAGAGGTGATTTTTTTTAAAACTGAAATCAAGGACATCCTTGATTTTGTGTAAAACTCTCCTGATTTTCAAGTGGTGGTCACTAATTCTAATTTGTTTTAAAATATGATACTGTCCAAAGAAAACACCCTATGGGCTAAATTTAACCCAGGGGGTGCCTGTTTTAACTCCTGGTATCAGTCATTTTCAAAGAAGGTAAAATTTCACAACCAAGTTACAGCTCTCTGTTTAGCATGTAAACCCAGTGCATTTTTTTCTAATGCTGTTATTAATGTCTGGGTTTAACTCAAATTTATTTGTAATTAATTAATGGTCCAACCTAGCTTACATTTAATCATAATAAATCAAAATATTTTAAAGGAACATTTAGGCAGAAGACAAGATCTATGGAGCAGTCAAACACACCTACTAAAAATGTGAATTTGTAAACACTGACTCATCTGGTCTTTTTGATGATTACTTGTAGAAAATGCATTAATTAAAATGAATAGTGTTGCTTTCTTAATGGCAAATTATTTTTTCATGGACATGAAACTTTGCCGGAAGACAAGTTGCACTGGGAGAAAACATGTTTCTGTTTCTATGAATTCATCAGTCATTTCAGCTCCTGTTCCTATGAGAACTACTCAGTATGCAGTTACTAAAAAGCTATGTAGAGCAGGTGCTGAAGACATTAAATGGAAAGGAAGTCAGGGAACGATTACACTGTGGAGCAAACAAGGTTGCAATGGAGACTAGCTGAATAGAACAATATAATGTACTGTCTTTCAGAAACATTGCACAGACTTTGAACACCCTCATGAGAAGGAACCAATTTGAGCTCTTTGCTCAATCCAGTAAACACTGTTAGGAATTACGATTTCCTCACCAACCAAATCCCAATTTTCTGAAGAAAGATTTAGATCTCAGGCCTCTTTTGACTTGATATATTTGTAAGGTCTATTTTATTTTCCTTTATTTTGCCATTGCTTAGAATGAGAAAACATATCACAACTACTGATGTCAAATACTATCAATGTCAAACATCTTTCATCCAGGGCTGAGTTTCCTGCTGTCTTTGGGCTCCTCCCCTTGGATGGTGGCTTGTCATAGGTGATATTTTCCAAGTGAAGAAGTATATCGCATAATGAGATCTTGTAACACAGGTATATTTTTTCCAACCAGCCTCCCTTCAGGCGGTAGACTTACTCTACATAAAATTAGATCATCACCAAATTAAAGACGCTCTGATTTTCCTGGTCATATTAAGGCATCATTTCTCAACCCTCATTTCGTTCTCCCAAATAGGAAGTCTCACCCTTAAGCTGAAGATAGACTCTGTCTTTTCAAACTTGAGAGCAAATTTTGAGGGGTAGATGTATTTTTCTCTTCAAATGAAAAATGTTATTACAAAGAGAACTTTTACAAATGGTCCTGGTCAAACTTCCCATACATAGCAGTTCATGTATCTTTTTAAATGTAATAGTCTATAACTAGGGCCATGCTTTCCAGATATTTTCATATCAAAACATACATAAAATACATGTAGAAGATAGCAGAGTCAGCTTGGTCTGGGGCCTCCCAATAGGCAGCTCTGAAGTATGTAAGGAATAATATCCCTGCATACTTTATTTTTTTAATTTTTTGAGAGATAGAGTCTATGTTGCCCAGGCTGCTCTCAAGCTCGTGACCTCAAATGATCCTCCTGCCTCAGCTTCTAGAGTAGCTGGATCCCTGGGTACTTTTAATCCATTCAGGGCACACTGGTTGGGAATTCCTGACTGGGATCACCTACCTCTATTAACATTGAATTTGTAGATCAGTTTCACATAGTGAAGGGCAATGATTTTTGATATGTTAATTGTTTCAAATAAGTACTGTTTCCATTAGCTTGCCAAACATAACCTGCTATATTAAAAATTATTTTTATCATCCCTGAGACTGATATTTTCTACTTGAGTAGAAATATTTTTAAGTAAATATTTATTTATCACATTGTGAGTACAGCAGTTCAAGGACTCCTTCAAGCTGCAAAGTCTAAACCCAAATCATTCGGTGTTAGTTATTTAACATAAATTCCCATTTGGTTAAGTGCGTAGGTTTTCTCTTTTTGATAAGTACTTCTATGACATTTTGGGTAAGGTCGGTAACAGGTACTTGTGAGTCAGTATTTTTTAAATTTTAATTTAATCATCCTTAACGTACTCACTGAAAATGGGGAGGGAAGATGAAAAGAAAAAAGAACTCCTAACATCAAAACTCCTTATTGACTCTCTTTTTCACATTCGATGTTAGGGAAAGGGCCAGAACAATTTGTTTGACACTTCCTCCCTTCCCCCAAGTCTTCTGCCACTAGTTGTTAAAGGAACCACAAACTCATGGGAAACCATAAAACCTTCAAAAGTTTTACTGCCATGTCTCATTTAAAATATGTATACATTTTCAATATAAAAATATACAGTAGTGTACTCTATCCACCGGTAAAGAAGCAAGTTAAACAATACCAAAAACTAGAATAAGTGAAAATAAGAGTGAAGTACCATCTGTCTTTTCTTACTTGTAACAATTCTATAATGAGAAAATCTAGCACTGGAAATGGAATAATTTAACCTGAGGTAATTATAAGCATAGCTAATTTGATATGACAATGTATGGTTTCATATCTACTAAAAGATGTTAATAGTTTCTATGTCCTCCTCAACAACGTAGAAAATTGTCTCGAAATCAGTACAGATAGTCCAGACTTACCATGGTCCAACTTAAGATTTTTCGGCTCTATGATGGTGCTAAGGCAATACACGTTCAGTAGAAAGTAGTAAAATACTCTCTTTATAATGCTGGGCAGCAGCAGAGAGCCTCAGGTGATCACAAGTATAAACAACCAATACTGTACATTGTACTGTGTTGCCAGATGGTTTTGTCCAACTGTAGGCTAATGTAAGTGTTCTGAGAATGTTTAAGGTAGGCTAGGCTAAGCTATGATGTTTGGTAGGTTAGGAGTATTAAATGCTTTTTCAACTTATGATATTTTATGATGGGTTCATTGGGATGTAACTTCACTGTAATTCGAGAAGCATGTGTACTTTTGAGTACAGACAAGCAACACTTAACAATGGGTATACAGTCGGAGATATGCATCGTTAGGTGACTTTGTCATCGTGCCAACATCATTGCATAAAGTTACACAAACCAGATGGTATAGCTTACTACACACTTAGGCTAGATGGTGTAGGCTATTACTCGTAGGCTACAAACCTGTACAGCATGTGGCTGTACTAAATACCGTAGGCAATTGTAACACAATGGTAAGTATTTGTATATATGAATATATCTAGCCATAGAAAAGGTATGGTAAAAACACAGTATTATAATTTTATGAGATCATTCTCATATGTGTGGCCTGTCACTGACTGAAACGTCTTCATGCAGCACAGGACATGACCCCATTTTTTCAATAGATTGTTCACAACTTTTTCAAAAGCTTGTTCCTTTTCTCTGCTCTCGCAATTGTCAAAGTGGTAACAGG
This sequence comes from Homo sapiens, assembly GCF_000001405.40. NCBI lineage: Eukaryota > Metazoa > Chordata > Mammalia > Primates > Hominidae > Homo > Homo sapiens. Next base: position 67,325,035 of record NC_000003.12, on the reverse strand, counting down.
TGGGATTGAATGACCTTCTTCTACCTCTGGATTTCTAGAGGTTTCATTTGCTTTAAAAGCAGTCCCCTGGGCTATAATTTCTTCCCATTGTCCTCCTCACTTTCCACTCCAGAACACATTATCTCATGAAGTATGTTGGCTTTGGTGCATCCTCTAAGAAGACAGAGGGTCTATAGTCAATTGCCTTTGTTTGCAATCACCAATCCATCTTCTTTTTCCATTTCCTATTTGCTCTGCATTCACCTTTATAGGATTCCATGGGAAGGTATTGGCATTAATATCAGTCATGGATCACCAGGTTTGAGATATTTCCTGTATCTCAAGGCTTGTGGTAATTGCAGATGAAATACCATTTGCATACTAAAGCTATAGCCAGACTGCTTCCAAAGTTGGTTCCATACTTCTTTAAGCTCAAAGATGCTAAAAATGAAAGCATCTCCTATGAAAAGGATCTTCTAATTATGCATTATATTAGGGGAATAAAAATAATATTTCGGTGCTAATACTGGAGATTGTATCACTCAATTACTAAGCTGAAATTTGTGAGAGTGTAGGAAAGAAAAACAGTCATGTACTACCTTCTTACTACTTTTTCAGCCTTTTCTTGTAATTCCCTGAACATGGGATAGGTATTAAGTGCCAGAAATCATGGCAGAAGATAGACAGGAGAAACTGGAAGATTTGAAAAGTTATTCAGTAATTTCTGCCTAACACTCATGATTAACTTCCCAAGTAAATTCATCAAGGAAAAACTAGAAACCCTGAGCCCAGGTTACCCCATATTTTGGTTATAGGGACTCTAGCTAAAAGCCATCATCGGTATTTCACATGCATTAATTTTTAAGCAAGTTATAGCTTTCCACTTACTCAAATTCCTAATATTGGTCTGAGTATTTTATAAGATTCAAAGTTTAAATTCTTGACTCTAACTGTCCCTCAGCACACCACCTAACTAATCTGCTCAGATTTACACTTGAATATTAACAAATAAACCATCTAGGCTGAATATATTCCACAGGCCCCCTTTTAAGCTGACTTTCTGTCCCAAGAGGCTAACATGGGCTTCCTCATCCTATGGCTTCCTTTTGAGTTCAACCATTGGGAGCCCCTGGAGGAGACTGGAGGGAGAAACAAAAGAGAGGTCCAGATGTATATTTTTTTATCCCTCTGACACTGCCTTGGCCTGCATTTTCTCTAAACTGATCTCAAAACTGACTTTTCGGTGTGACTCTCTCCTTTTTGGTGGTGTATATACATTCTCCCTTATCCTTACAGTATCACTTTTATAAATAGTTTTCTGTCTCTTTTTATTATTATTTTTTTTTTTTGGTAAGTTGTTTCTGTAAAATAAACCCTCCTCTAAATATCCTAATTTGAATATGCTCTCTGTTTTATGTCGGAATCTACTGATACACTGCCTAACCAATCATAGACTTGTGGTGCTTCTTCTTGGGTGTTATATATGGCTTATATTTAATATCATTGAATATGGTAATATTAGCCATGTAGATTTTGTGAAAGATTAGCATAGTTTTGCCACTCTAAGAATTACAAAATAACTGACCAGCCATAAAATACTCAAGACTAAACTGAGAAGTAAAGCAAAAGCTTGTAGGAGTTTGAGAACAACAATAACAACAACAAAAAGGAATTCTTAAAGTCTGTAATTAGCTTCTAATTTTGGCAGAAATCTCTAGGCAAAAGCTGGGTTCAGCTCTCCACACAGCAGGTTAACATTTCTTATTACAAGGCATCGTACCGGTAAAATAACTTTAACCACTGGCAGGAAGAGGAACTGAGAGCAAGGGCAGTGGACACTCCAGTGAGACCATAGAAGAATCATCAATCACACTCAAATCGACCAACGCAGACTTGAACAACAGGGTTTCTAAAAGTTTGCTGGATGAGAGCTTCTGCTTTTAGAAAGATTAAATAGATGTACTTTTTCCTATTTCTCTCAGTAAGGACAGCTAAAAACCCTGGATAGTATAGTTAAACCAACATAAGAAGACTCTAAAAGGTGAGAAAAAAAGAAGGAAACCCAGATAGCGAGGGACCTTGGAACCAAAAATGACATGGTGGTGAGTTCCTCCAAGTTTTCTTTTTGCCTGGAGTCAGCAATCCAGAAATGCCAATGGTTGAAACAAAACATGCCCTAACAAAAGCCCACTCTTTCCAGCCAAAGGACTAGGAAAGGGGAAGCCATGCAAAACAAAAAAAGAAAAAACCCTTTAGACAATAACTTCTCTGCTTCAGCCACACACCACAGATAAAATGGTATCCCTGTCCTGACCTGGTGATAAAGAGATGCCTCTCTTTTTTGCCACTGGGGTGGTGAGGAGCCCTTCACCACCAACTTACAACAGAAGAATAGTCAAGAATCTGAATTTCTACCCCCTACTTGGTAGGGAGCATCCACTTTCCTGACACAGCAGTGTCATAGGAAGCCTGCTAAAACCAAAGATAAAGAAGGTCCAGATCTCACAACATAATATTCAAAACGTTCAGGTTGTTTTGTTTTGTTTTGTTTTGTTTATTTATTTATTTATTTTTGAGATGGAGACTCGCTCTGTTGCCAGGCTGGAGTGCAGTGGTATGAACTCGGTTCACTGCAACCTCCACCTCGTGGGTTCAAGTGATTCTCCTGCCTCAGCCTCCTGAGTACAAGATGTTCAGGTTTTAATAAAAAATAATTATCCATCACAAGAAGAACCAGGAAGATCCCAACTTCAATGAGAAAAGACAATAAATAGACACCAACACCAAGTTGACAAAGATGTGAAAATTATCTGACAAATATTTTAAGCAGCAATCATAAAAATGTTTCATTCAGAATAAACTTGAAACATGAAAAATGAAAAGTCTCTTCAAAGATAAAAAGATACAAAGAAGTATCAAATGGAAACTTTAGAACAGAAATAAGAAAATTAAATGAATTCACTTAACAGTAGAATGGAGAGGACAGAAAAAAGAATCAGTGAACCTGAATATAGAGTAATAGAAATTCCAACTTTAAACAAAGGAGAAAATAAACTCTCTCTCTCTCACTCTCTCTCTATCAGATTACATATATTATTTGTATCATATATTTTTATTAATGTATTATACATATATGTTAAATTAGTAAGTTATATATGTTTATTTTCCAATTACATGTATTAAATATATACATGATAATGTACATATACATATGCATATGCATATTATGGATATGTACACATACCTATGATAGAGTTATACAAATAGGAGTTATATTCAGAGACAGGGGAACTATTTTTTTTAAATCTAACATTCATGGCCTTGGAGTCCAAGATGAGGGGTGAAAGAGGATGACAGGAAAGTATTCAAAGAAATGACAGCTGAAAATATTTCAAATTTGCCAAAAGGTATACACCTATAGGTTCAAGAAGCTGAACAAGTCCCAAGCAGAATAAATGCAAAAAAATTGTTGCCAAAGCACATGATAGTCAAACTTCTGAAAGCAAAAGACAAAGAAAGTCTTGAAAGCAGTCAGAAAGAAATGATGCATTAATTATAGGATAAAAAATTTAGTTGACAGCAGCTGTCTCATCAGAAATCATGGACGCCAGAAGGAAGTGTCACAACATTTTTTTGAAGTGCTGCAAAAAAATGTCCACCCAGAATCTTTTATCCAATGAAAATATCCTTCAAAAATTAATAAGAAATGAAAATATTCTTAGAAAATTGAAAATAAAGAGAAGTTTTGTCAGTAGACCTAATCTATGGCTGAAGAAAGTTCTCTGAAAAAAAAAAAAAGGATAAAAGAAAAAATCTTGGACCATCAGAAAGGAAGAGGGAGCAATGGAAAGAACAAAACATAGTAGACTTTCCCTCTCTTCTTGCATTTTCCAAATGTGTTTTGACAAATGAACCAAAAATTGTAATAATATCTAATGGGGATCTCAATGTATGTAGAGGATAGATATATTTAAGGCAATTATTTCCTAAATGGAAAAGTGTAATGAGATGTAAAGGAAGGTAAGATTTCTATACTTGATTCAAACTGGTGAAATGAGGATACCAGTAGACTGTGATAAGTTATATGTATATATAATGCAATACCTAGAGAAATCACTAAAAGAGCTATACATATAAAGAAATATGCTCAAAAAACATTACAGATAAATCAAAATAAATTCTAAAAGATGTTCAAGTAACCCCTAGAAATAGAGGAAAAAGAAAGCAGAGAAATAAAAAAGATTAAAAAAAACAGAAACAAAACATAAAATGGTAGACTTATGTTCTAATATGTCAATAATTACATTAAATATAAATGGTCTAAGTAGAGCAATTAAGACAAAAATTGCCAGATGACCCATCTATATTCCATCTATAAGAAACTCACTGAAATTATTATATAAATAGTTTGAAAGTAAAAGGATGAATGGAAATTTCCAGGCAAACATCAACAATACCATACAGAAAATTAACTCAGAATGGATTGTGGCCCTAAATTTAAGAACTAAAATATAAAACTCTTAGAAGACAGCATAGGAGTGAATCTTTGTGACCTTGAATTAGGCAATGATTTCCTAAATATGACAACAAAGCAAACATAAAAGCAACAAAAGAACAAAAAGGTAAATTGGACGTGGTCAAAATTTAAAACTTTCATGTTTCAAATGACACCAGCAGGAAAGTGAAAACACAATCCACAGAATGGGAAAAAATATTTGCAAATCATGTCTGTGGTAAGGGATTTTATACAGAATGTGTAAAGGGCTCTTACCACTCAACAAATAACCCAATTTAAAAATATGCAAAAGATATGAGTAAACATTTATTCAAAGAGGATATGCCATTGGCCAGTAAACACCAAAAAAAGATATTCAATGTTGTTAGTCATTCAAAAAGTGCAAATCAAATCTACAATAAGTTCCATTTAATACCCACTAAGATAGCTAAGTCAAAAAGACAATAACTAGTGTTGGTGAGGATGCAGAAAATGAGAACCTTCATACATTGTTGATGGAATTGTAAAATGGTGAAACCACTTTGGAAAACAGTTTGGCATATCCTCAAAATGATAAACACAGGGTTACCATATGATCCAACAGTTCCCCTATTCTAGGTATACACCCTAAAGAAATCTGAACATATGTGCGTACACAAAAACTTTCACATTAACTTTTATTGTAGCATTATCCAAAATAACCAAAAGGTGCAAACAACCCAAATATCTGAGAAGTGATGAATGAATAAGTAAAATGTGGTATATACACAGAATAAAATGTTATTCGGCCACAAAAAGGAATGAAATATTGATGCATGCTTCAACATGGAGAATCTTGAACACATTATGCTAGGTGAAAAAGGTCACAAAAGTCCATGTGTTATGTAATTCCATGAAATGCCTAGAATACACAAATTCATAGAGAAAAATGTAGGTTAGTAATTGCCAGGGACTAGATGGAGAGAGGAAGAGTGACTGAATGGTTGTGGTGTTTCTTTTTGATGATTAAATTGTCCTAAAATTAGATAGTGGTGATGGTTGTACAAATCCCTGATTATACTGAAAACCACTTAATTGTAGATGTTGACAGGGTGAAATTTATGCATATGAATTACATACCAATAAAGATGTTATTTTAAAGTAAAAAAAAAAGAAAGACAAGAAAAATAAACCAGAAGTAATTATATTAATATCAGATAAATTAGACTTTGAACCAAAGACAATTACCAAGGACAAAGAGAGACATTTATGTTAAAAATGTCAGTTCACCAAGAAGACATGAGGATATTAAATGTGCATGCATCAAACAATACAATCACAAAACAGGTGAAACAAAAACTGACAGAACTGAGAGAAAAATAGACAAACCCACAATTATAGTTGCAGATGTCAACACCACTCTCGCAACAATTGATAAAACGATTGTACAGAAAATCATCAAGGATGTATCATCAATGCCATCAACCAACAGGATCTTATCAATACATATAGAATGTTCCACCCAATTACAGCAGACTACACAATCTGTTCAAGCACTCACAGAACATAGACCCATAATCTGGGCCATAAAACAAGCCTCAACAAATTTAAAATAATTGAAATCATAGAAATGTGTTCTCAGACTAGAGATTAATATTAGAAAAGTAGAAAAATCTTCAAGCTCTTGGAAACTATACAACATACTTCTGATCAATCCATGGAATTAGAAAAGATGAAGTGCCTCAAATCAGTATTCTCCCATCCCAGGGAACTAGAAAAATACGGGCAAGTTAAACTCAAAGCAAGCGGAAGAAAGGAAATATTAACTATAAGCCAGAAATTAATGAAATTAAAAACAATAGATAAAATCGATGAAACAAATAAAATGTCCCCCCGTAGGTGAATGGTTGAACAAAGTGCTGTACATCCATATCATGGAATACCACCCAGCAATAAAAAGGTGTGAAGTATTGATAAATGCAACACCTTGGATAAAACTCAAGGATGTCATGCTGGGTGATAAAGGCCCTTCTTGATAGGTCATGTATTGTATGATTCCATTTATGTAAGATTCAGAAAATGACAAAATTGTAAAGATAGAGAACAGATTATTGTTTTCCAGGTGTCAGGGGTGGTGAGAGCTGTGACTAAGTGTGACTATAAGGAACTGGCACAGGGAGGTCTATTTGGCAGTGGTTTCACAAATCCACACGAGATAAAACGGCATAGAACTGTACACACACCTTTTACCAGTGTCAATTTTCTTATCTTGTTATTATAATTATGTAAACTGGGTGGGGAGAGCTCTCTGCACTATCTTTATAACTTCCTGAGACTATAATTATTTGATTGCTGGATAAATTTCTTTTTTATCCTTCTGGGACCATGTCATATTTATTATTTATAAATGCCTGCTTATGAATACTTTAGTTTGAATACTTATTCAAAAACAGAAAAAGCATCCAAAAGACAGTTTTAAGGTTCTCATTTATCCATATTTCACCTTTGTGACTTTGGGAAAGTAAATTAACCCCTTTGTGGCTTTCAACTCTATTTAAAGGAGTTGAATTTGGTCTACTTTGTGTCCTCTAATTTGTTTTGTGAGAAGCTAAGAACACCTAGTCTGCTTATGCCTGCAGGATGCTTGAAAAATCAAGTGATATATCTTATCATGATTTGCAGATAGTAAGTGATCAGTAAGTACTTGCTAGATTTAATAGGGTTGGATCATAAAGGTTGTGTGTAAATTAAGAGATGTACATTATAGGGCATTATTATGGCCGAGTTCGTACTGTGTAATGCATCCAGACTGTCTTTTTAGAACAGTTAGATTAAAAATGCTGCCTCTGTGAAACATCGAGACCATGAGCGAATTTTGCATATAGGGGATGGTCTATGTAGTCCAAATGACTCCCTATAACTAGAATATCTATGGTGGATGTATTTGATGCCAAGATCTACTTTACTAGGAAAGCTCACTTATCTCCCAGCTGTTATGAGTTTTGCTGCTAGTAGCTGACATTTATCTTGTTCACTAGAGAATTCTCAGCAAAGAAGGTTTTTCTTAACTAGAAGGTTATTCCCAGACCTGGGAGTTGCCCACAACCAATGCCAAACACAGGGATCAAAAGGCCAACCCCTTTGCTTCAAAGTGGGACAACTCTGTGCTGCAATTTATGCTTCAGAGCTTTTCTTGAGATCCAGCTGAATGGAGGTTCCAGCTGAGCCCACATTCTTGCTTGGTCCTATTCTGCCCCGCTCCCTGGCTCCCTTTATCAAAAACATCCCCTCAGTCAATCACACGCACTTGAATTACTGTCTTAGGATCTACTCAATTCAGATTCCCACAGGCGCCAGTGAAGTGGATTGAGATTTGAGGATGAATTCAGTATAATCATGAATGGCATTACTATCGTTACAAAAGGGACTCCAGAGATATCTCTCTTTCCTCTCCTGCCATCTGAAGTTACAGTGAAAAGACTACCATCTAGGGAGCAAGCCCTCACCAGACACTCAATCTGCTGGTCACTGGATCTTGGACTTGCTAGCCTCCAGAACTATGAGAAATAAGTTTCTGTTGCTTATAAGTCACTCAGTCTGTGGTATTCTATTGTAATAGCCTGAATTAACTAAGACAGTGGGCATGTGTTTGCATGTCTGCATGGGTATGTGTGCACATGTGTCTGTGTGCATGTATGTGTGCATATGTGATTACAATAAGACGGTAGTATTTTGCTTTTCCTCTCTTAGCAGCTGCTGAAAGCGTTTGGCCAGGAGTTCTAATCTCCTTTAAATGTCTATCATGCTTGTTCCACCCTGAGAGGTGTTAGGAGAGCCAATTCCTAATAACACGAATCTTGCTACTTCCCTGGAAGGACTCTAGAATCAAGTGGAGATTTGCCCTTTAAGTAAAAGGATTTTCCCCCCTAATATTTAAAAGATGGTACTTCTGTGACTCCCTTGCAGAAGGCTTTCTCTGATTGCATGGTCCTGTAGCTTTCTGTCTCTCTTCACCAGATCTTTGTGTCTATAGTGTTTTTTGTTTGTTTGTTTGTTTGTTTGTTTGCCTGAGCTAAAGACATAGGCTGACTTTTTATCGCTTTCCTTTGGAGGGACAATTAGTAAAGATCTTTCTGATTTTAAAAACGTAAACTTGCTGATTCCCACCTCCCCCGTTTGCTATAAGAGCCTTGAGTTTTGTAGTATTACTGTATTACCCCCAGCACATTAGCTATAGAAAACTGTGTGCACATGCAGGTATGCATATGGACCCACAAATTCATGGACCTCACGTGTGTTCCTGTATAACCGTGTCCACTCAGCTAGGGACTTACACGAGTGGGTAAGCCATAGAGGCAATGCCTCTGTGCCTGACTTTCCAGACTATTTTACATCTGAGTTGGTCAGAATCCCTTCAATGTGGGATAGGCAATGTTTTCTTGAGGGATGAGCCCTTCTGCCCAATGAGGTCAGAATCTCCCTAGTGCCTAACCTTAAATGGATAGACTAATTTATTTGACTGGATGAATTACATTTGACAGTGCCTGTCCCTGGTATATGAAAATGAATATTATACTCACATTTTAGGCATGTTTATGAAAATTGCCTTTAAATTATCCCTAATTGCAGAGAACAATGTACTCATAATGATTGGAGTTAGATATATGTCTTCAAAATCAACTTTTCATATTATTTTTACCATTTTTTCTAAAAATGTACATACTACTTGTTATACTCCTTAATATGTTTATATTTGCTACATTTTAACATTTTAAATTATATGGGATAAAATTTATACCTTTGACAATTACATCAGTTCAGTAAGTACAATTGTAGTTTGTTCATTAACTATTTTTTACCTGCTTTTTGAATTTTCTTTGGGCAATAAATAATAAGAAGAAAACAGTACTTAAAATACAACAACATTGTTAAATATTTTGTCCGCTCAAAACATACATGTGTCCATGACATCTTTTATTTTTCTTACATATTGTTATAACATAGTTTCTTCAGCTCTCTTTTTGTACCTTGATTTACAAAGGATTTAATAATGTCAGCCAAGAACTTTTTTACTTCTTTACAAGCCTGCTACACTTGTTCTGTACAGTGAATAGACACAAGTGGAAATAACCAGAGTACATGTGCTTTGGCAATAAATGCAGCACTTGGGGATTCGTTAACAACTTTAGTATCTTTGTTACTTAAGTGGCCCAAAAGAGATAGCACAGCTTCCAGGAGGGTATAGCTCACTTCCAGAAAAAAGATCTGGCTCACTCACTCACAAATAAAATAGACACTTTTTTTTTTTTGAGATGGAGTCTAGCTCTTGTTGCCCAGGCTGGAGTGCAGTGGCACGATCTCAGCTCACTGCAACCTCCACCTCCCGGGTTCAAGCGATTCTCTTGCCTCAGCCTCCCGAGTACCTGGGACTAAAGATACCTGCCACCACACCCGGCTAATTTTTGTACTTTTAGTAGAGACAGGGTTTTGCCACGTTGGCCAGGCTGGTCTCGAACTCCTGACCTCCGGTGATCCACCTGCCTCAGCCTCCTAAAGTGCTGAGATTACAAGTGTGAGCCACCACGCCCAGCCAAAATAGATACTTTAAGCAAGCTTTATGATTGCAATATATGAGAGTATTCATTCCTCCCCCCTTTCTCTTTGTGAAAAGTATATATAATTGCACATTTAATATTTTGGTAGGGGAAATCTATGATTCCAGGACATAAAAGCAAATCAAGGACAGGCAGTTTCCTTCCTCTGGAATTTATCTTCATCTCTACATTTTAGCAGCCTCTCCCTATGAAAGTGCTATTGTAATTTGTTCATGTATTCATTCAGCCAATTTTGATGGAGGACTTGTAGATATGTTGATGTGATAGCAACCAAGACACACAGTGTGTCTACCTTAATTGTCATAGGAGGATGGACAAATAAAGAGGTTTACTCCCAAAATAATTACAGATTTTGATAAGCACAACAAAGGCAATTCCTAAGTAGGGCAAGATTACTCTAGATACTACAACCAAGAAGAGAGGCTATTTTAGCTGAGATATGAGGAAGAGGCAGGGTGAGGAATGACCCAGGCAGAGGAAATAGTATGCCTGGAAGTAGGAAAGAAAATGAGGATGGCTGAAGATGATGGCTATGGTGTTGTTGGCTCCATGGGAAATGATGTGAGACACAGAAGAAGAGGCTAAATCGTAAGGATCTGAGCTTAGTGCATTTGGATTTACTCTAAATGCAAGGGGAAGCCATTGAAGGTTTTAAGCTAGATCAATATAATCTGATTATTTGTGTGCTTTGTGGAAGATGGATTAGAGGAGGCCAAGGAGGAGAGATAACAACAACAACAAAACCAACTTTTAGAAGACTAGGCAATCAGAAATGATAGTCTGAGCCGGGCTAAGGCCAAAAAGAAGGGACAAATCTGTGATATAAGTGGGAAGAGAAAATTGATAGAAGTTGTTGATGGCTTGGAAGTGGAAGAAAAGATAAAGGGAGGAAGCAATGATGACCTCTCTTTCTGGCTTGGGCATCCAAGTGGATCTTGGTGCCTTTTACTAACATGGGCCAGACTGCTTTTATATTTCATATCTACATGAGGAATATGACAGCTGCTCTTACTTACTAGTGTGTCAAGTGGTACTGAAACGTATATGAGGCCTTTGCCTTTTATCTCATGCTTAGCCACTTTCTACTGCATTGTAAGTGTAGATTACTGCTGTTACATGATCCATTACCTGGATACTGTTGATATCAGCCATTGTTTTTAAAAATGAGGGGGCAAAAAACCTCTTAAAAGTAATTTCATGCATCTATCCAGTAGATGTGATACTAACCTTTATCATGGAAAAATAAACACAAGAGTTGATATAAAGCTTTCTTTCAAGTGCTGATGGTAGGGTCCATAATTCACCCTGAAGAGCTGGTACAATGATAGCAAGAGGCCTCCCAAATATATTCATAACAATATACAACTAAAGATTTCTGTTTTATATGGGTCAGTGGAGAATCATCACCGCTGAATCAATGTATCTAACTTCTCAAATGTCTACATTTAAAAAGAATACATTCCCGCTAAGATTCCTATCAGCTTTTGCTGATTACGTTTCATAGAAGGAAATTCTTATAAGGTGAGCTTTTAAAAGGACCAATTTTCTCCTTCTCTTGACTATATAAGACGTTCAGGAATTAATGGGAAAAAAGCAATGCCTGTCTGGTTTGTAAGCATCACAGTCTTATTTCTGCATAAATTCTCACAAGTCAACTCAGAAAACAGTTCAGGGTCAAAATCTCGTCTAGTCACCTAGATTAAAAATTAATTTCTCTAAAGTATATCCTGTATTGAAGCTTTTTCATGCAAATAAATAGTAAGGGCCTTATTCTCTCTTCCTTTATTAGTCGGGCATGTCATGAATTTGAACAGAACATTTTGTTCTGTACTCTAATTACATGCATTATCAGGAAAAATCTATGCCTTGCATACATATCATTAGAAGCAGCTCTGAGAGTGAGTATCACAGGACTCGTCACGGCAGCTCATCATAATATTGACAGTTTAATCTTTTTGTTTTATACAAGATTAAAAGTCTCATGATATCCATTTCTTGATAGCTCGGACGGTGAATCCAATTGGGCTTAATCCATATCTAAGTACCGTCTCTATCGTGAAGATAGACTCCACTTTCACAAATGTGCTAGGTAATTATCTACTGTTATGGGTAAGATACTTCGTTGATGAGAAAACCCGAGAAAACTGATTTTCTAAAAAATAATGTTTACTCACAACTAAGTGGCTGAACAAGAGAAATCAACGACATCCTTTCTCTTCAGAGGAAATGACAAACCAGAATTGTCACTCACTCACCTCCTCTGGTGGTTTGAAGACATCGTTCTATTTGGTCATTTGGTTTATTGGCTGTTGAAATGTAATGGCTACCTTTGAAATGAAATGACTTTTCAAAGGCCTTTATTGAATCTCAGGATGTGTCAGTAAAGAGAGAGAGAAAGAGAAAAAAAAAAGATGGAATTTGGACACAAAAACAGCTTTTGCTCAAAGACTATTTATTAAAATGATAGTACAATGCACTTTGTCTGTGAGGTGGCAAGTTACAAATAAGAAATATGAGAACCTGTAGAGCTGTTGGAATTTAAATTATGTGGCAGCTTTCCATCAGAAATGCAACAGTAATTTACAGTTAGGCTCTTCTGGCAGATTTATGTTTCAGTAAACAAACAAAAGGATTTCTTGACTACAGTGCCGGCTGCAGGAAAAGCACCACATGGATTGAAGGCAACGTTGGGGGATATCTGGCTTATTCCTCTCGTTCAATATACTTACATATTTCACTCATACTTGTATTCATATTGAGGGCCAAATTAATATGAATGAGACTCAGCACATCCCATCAGAATGTATCAAAACACCACATGTTAGAATGGCTGTAGAGTGGGGTATCGGGGAGAGGAAACATTTTTCAGTTCTCTGTAGTCCTGTGGGATTTCTAGTTTGATTTCTGGTTCATGTCATGGCTGTTATGTCACAACTGGATATTATTCCAACAAGTACCTAGTACTGTGCAAATGAGGACATGCTTTGATCCTAAGTGCAAATGAATAAAGCAGATTTGAAAAAAGTGAGAATTTTGAAGAGTGGTGTTGAACCTTTGGGAAAGTGTCTTTTGTATTTGGCAAGGGGCAAGAGACAGTTTCTCTGTTGTCTGACAGGGACTTCCCTCTCACCTTGGCTCCCCTGAGATTAGAGTGGACCATATTGCTGCCCAATTTTTATCAACATTGAAATAGTCACTTTGAGAAACATGAGATTCCCTGGAAACTTTTCTTAGGCCCCCAGGCCTTTTCACCCAAAAGACTTAGAGGCAGAGGATACGGTTTGGGGGTCAGGCAATGAAAAGGTTGTCGATCCGGTTCTCCTTGCCTGGGTAAACCTGAATAACTGATGGTAATGGGCAACATCACCAGCCCTTGTCAGTGGAGTTGATCAAATTCAGGTGCTGACTAAGGTTGCGTATCCTGGGGCTGGTTTTCAAAAGAGTCTCTTCTTTTTCCTATTTTGTTACCCTAACACCATGCTTCCAGGATTTACAGCAAAGAAATTATTAAATATGCTCCCTGTCAATCTCCACAGACTTCCTGTACTGTAACACAGATTAGGGCATATATTGAATCCCATTCTAATAGAGGCCGTTTGGGGTAAGGTCTGTAGGCTGTGTCTGGTTATTAATGATGTATGCAATGGTCTTGAAGCCCAACTTTTAGAAAGTTGAATGCCAGAGACTAGCTCTGGGAAGAAATGTGTTAAACAATGACCCCTTTCCTCTCTTGTCTCCCGCTCTGGCATTCATCAGCCATAGTAATAGGCTATGATAGAGACCACAATGTTCTGTTATATGTACCTCTCATACTGCAGGCATAAAGCAACCGAGTCATGATTGAATAATTATCAGACAGTAAGAATACTTTTCAGGAGAGGATGTTTCCTGACTTTTTCTAAATAGCAAATACCTTCCCAACCTCAGAAAAGAGGTATTTTTATACTTTACATTATAAAGTGTAAAAATATCTGAGGACATTAAGAAGAAATCAGAGGCTGGGCATGGTGGCTCACGTCTGTAATCACAGCACTTTGGGAGGCTGAAGCGGGAGGATCACCCGAGGGCAGAAGTTTGAGACCAGCCTGACCAACAAGGCAAAACCCCGTCTCTACTAAAAATACAAAAATTAGCCAGGCATGGTGGTGCATACCTGTAGTCCCAGCTACTCGGGAGGCCAAGGCAGGAGAATTGCTTGAACCTGGAAGGCAGAGGTTGCAATGAGCAGAGATCACGCCACTGCACTTCATCCTGGGCAACAGAGCGAGACTGTGTCTTAAAAAAAAAAAAAAAAAAAAAAAACTCAGATACGCAAGTAGAGAGAGAATATGGGAAAGATTAAGATGCAACTTAGAATTGTTCCTTAAAGGACTCAGATTTCCCTTTCTTATGAGTTGAAAATGTCTATTTAATTTAGGCATGACAACTACATAGGAGATAACAAATCAAAAGGAATATTTGTAATGCAGTGACTGTGTAATTTATGAAAAATGACGTCTAGGTTATACCCAAACAGTTGCTGCTTTGGACATTTTGCATTTAATAGATCAGGCAAATTGTTCTTTGTATGTTTAAAAATAATGCATTTTGTGTAAATAATATACATAACATAGATATTACATATTTTTTGTATAAATATATACGTGTATGCAAATAAAAATAAACTGAATAAAATGTATACTTATATATAAAAACATCAAAAGTACACATAAAATGTCTTTATGTTTAAGTATACACCTATATTTTTATATATACACATATTTAATGAAAGCATAGTATTGGTTTTGCCTTTCCTTTTGCCAGTGCTATTCTTGTGACAAATATTGTTAAATGCAAACTTCGAAACCCTGGATAATATATGTGACCAATTGCTTCTCTTCATAAATGTAATTAAGCAAGAGAGTGAGTCAAAGATATGCTTCCAGCTTCTAGTTCATTTTTATAGACATTTGGTAATGATGAACTGAGCAATCAAGTGTCAGTGTAAACTGATGTAACTTTTCATACCATGAGCATAATTATATCTCTGGTTAAAAGTGTTACTGCAACACAAGCTAAATTGATGGCAAGTATACTTTCAACTTGAAACATAGTCTCAATAGTGCTTATAATTGCAGGTTTTTTTAGTGGGGGATGGGGAGTTGTGAATTATTGTAAATACTCTCTGTTCAACAGCATCATGGAAAGAAGCCTTGACTTTGTAATCCATCCTACTGAAGCCTAGGGAAGTGTATTTCCATCATTTGATTCCCACAGAGGCCTCGAAATGTTTCCACTGCTCAAGCACAAAACAGAAACATTTTACAAATTTAATGCAAACTAGACAATCAAGATCCTACTTCTCATGGAGCCTATTTTTTATAAAGTACATAAGTAAACAAGCAAAATAATTATTTTTAAAAAAGATTCCACTTTACATTAAAAAAATCATACCATTAAGTAATTGTGATAAGGACCAGGAAAGAAAGAAACAGAGTCTTGTAATAACAGAAAGCTGGGGCCACCTCTGAGGAGATGACCTTCCAATGATACTGGAAGAGAAAAGCCAGCCTTGTGGACAGCCCTGGAAGAAGGCTAGAAGGGGGGATAGCAAATGCAAAGGCCCTGAGGCAGGAGAGAGTTTGGCCGTGATAGGTATTCCCCACAGGTTGGGAGCCTGGGACACAGTGAGTGAGGGAGGGCGCAGGATGAATGGACCTTTGGGTGTGGGGAAGAGCACAAAGACAGGAGAAATTGAAATGGAAATGGAGGAACTTCCCCCATTAGCTGATTCTATTTAATTTATGCTGTTAACCTGATTGCTTGATTGCTTTCTAACCCAATACTACTCTTGTTGCATCTGGCAAAGGGAGAGGCAGAGGTCTTCTAGCCAATGTTTTAAACAAAGTTTCCTGCATTTCACACTCAAAAATTGTCAAACCTAACATATGAGTAGTCCCGCCATCCCATGATCATTGATGTAGACTTCACCAGAGAATAATGAGCTCGTCTTAGAAAAATCATCCCAACTTGTCTAATCACTCCACCTATCGAAAAGCTGGCTAAGATAAATTATATTTAGAGCAAATAATCTAAGGCACATGCTTGGCCTCCTCAGTATCTCCAGGTCAAATAAAACTGATAAATTACAAACTAGGTAACAAAACTGCTTGGCACCCTAAAAATGGTTCTGCTCTAAGATGGCTCTTAATTCCTTAGCTCTTACAGAGGACATTGTAAAACGCAACTAATTCTGCTGCAAATGGCAGCAGAATTAGTATAAACATATGATAAATCAGCACTCTAACAATAATTAAAGAATTACAAATTAAGAGTTAATAAAATATAAAAAGAGATTCAACTGTGCTTGTATTTAAAGATGCTTAAAACATTACTTAAATTATCTATCAGATTAGTAGGAATTTAAGATTTGATAACATCTAATGCTGGCAAAAATGTGAAAATTGTGCTTTAAAATACTGTGGTGGATAGTGTATGTTGGCATGACATTTCAAAGCATATTTTGGCAATAGTTATCAAATGTTTAAATGGAAACATTCTTTGACCCATTAATTTTGCTGTTAAGAATTTAACCTATGAAAAATCCCATGAAAGCATGGCAAGATGGCTATAAAGGCCTGGAAATCACAAGTTTAGACATTTACCTCCCTGCCTACCTGCCTACCTGCAGGCAAAGGCTGAACCTAATGTTTCAAGTACTTCCTCAGGCATAGGAATTTATGGTTTCCTGAAAAAATATGAACATCTTGAGTTCTACATGACACAAGAAATCAACGTCCCACTCACATTCAAGTTTTCTTCCTAGTCAGTAATGGCTACTCGTAGAGCTAAATATTGCATGATTCTTCTTTTACTTTGGTTTATTGACCAATCATCTATTAAAATTCACAAACAGGTCAGCCATGGTGGCTCACACCTGTAATCTCAGTGCTTTGGGAGGCCAAGGCAGGAGGATCACTTGACCCCAGGAGTATGAAACCAGCCTGTGCAACACATTAAGACCCCATCTCCACAAAAATTTTAAAAATTAGTCAGACCTGGTGGCATGCACCTGTAGTCCCAGCTATTTAAGAGGCCAAGGTGAGAGGATCACTTGAGCTCAGAAGTTTGAGGCTACAGTGAGCTGTCAGCCTTCCACTACACTCCAGCCTGGACAACAGAGCAAGATCTTGTGCCTCTTAAAAAAAATAAAATAAAAATTCACAAATGTGAGTCTTAGAAATGCCCCACCAAGAGACAGAATGCCCCTGTCTCTCATCTGTTTCACATTCAGGCTCTTTTCTAGGATTTCATTAATGCAGGATGCAGTAGACTTTGTTGATTATTTCTCTAGCAGCCATTTCTTTCTTCCTCCTCTATTTAAGTCTCAGTACCACCCTTCTTCCTACAACACCATGTGATGCCCCTGAAACTAGTTCTATCCCCAGCACCAAGAGTACATCCTGACTAGCCAAGTCTAGGAAAGCTTTTTCCTGTGATTGGTCCAGAAGCCTAATCAGAGTCATGTGTCCCAACCAGTTCAACTAGCGAAAGGCTTTTAGGGTTGGGGAGAAGTTTCACTTTTTTGCAATATCCCAGTTCATACTGATAGATGTGCTGCAGACAAAAGGGAAGTTACCTAAGAACAAATTTTTCATCGACAAAAGCAATGGCAAGAGAAACCCAAAGAAAATGAGCCAGAGCCTTGATCACGCTATGCCTGCAGCCCAAATTATATCTAGATTTCCAGTTATGAAAGGTATTTCTTATAGTTTGTGTCCATGTGAGTTAGGTATATTGATACATGGAGTATCATAAATCTTTATTAATAAAGACTTTTTGTGTGCTCTGTGTTTTAGCAAGGGTTTGAATTCAAAGCAACGTTCTACCTGGCTTAGGATCAAATCAAGAGTAATATAATTTTTGTACTGTAAAACCAATGGTCATTTATCTAGTGCTAGAGAAATTGCAGTATTTCCAGTGGGAGATAGTGAAAAGGGAGTACTGGATGGGGAATATTTATAACTTTAAGAAAAGTGATGGAAAATCTTTTTAAAAATAAATGTTTTAAACTGAGTATTTTATGGAAAATATGCCACAATTCCACTCCATGTAAACACTGCAAATATCTCACGAAGGTTAAAAAAAGAAAAAATAAATGAAGACTACAGACATTTAAAATGCATGTTCTTCTTGAGAGTCTTCTTGAGAGTTTGTTCATATCCAATTAACTTGTACAATCCCACCCCATTATGATGCAATGCCAATATTTTTATTACATTTTGCTTATGGCTACTCCTCCAATCTATGGATTCCCTAGGCTACCCATTGAAGAATGGTAGTTAATATTTCTTTATATTAAAAATATTTTGTGCATCTATACTAAGAAAATTATTTTTACTTCCTTATACCCTCTTCTACCACATGCCCACACACGTGCCCACTGATGCATGCTGGTTTACTGTTTCTCACCAACGAATTAGAAAGATTAATTCATTAAATTTCCATATTCAGGAGGGCCTGTCAAGAACCTTCCAGATTTCTTTTCACCAGGTATTGCTTGACAGACTGCTCAAACTTCTGAATTAAAGATTAGCTCCAGCTGATAAAGTTTAGTTACACAAACATTGAGAAACAATGAGTTTTTATTACCCATGGAGAATAAATGCAGACAATTCAAACTCACTACCTAGGTTTTATGTATTATAATACAAAAGTTCTGATATCTCAAGTTCAAATATAGAGTTTGATATGAATCCCAACAGAAAATAGACTATTCAGCCACAGTTATTCATAGCTGTTCCAGACTTTGGGCATGGGTTGTATGTCAGTCTTTGTTATGGAAATGAAACTGTGGTCCTCAGTAGGTCACCCATGGTTTTCTTTTATGAACTGAAATTTGTTTCCCTGATTGGTGGGTTATGGCAGTTGGTGACAAAAGAGACTTTGGGGAGGGGGAAGTGCCTATTTGAAGACTGGGGAAAGGAAATTTTATAACTTGCAAAGGAAAATGCTACTGACACGTCAACAGATCTGTAATACAAGGAATAAGAAGTCTTCCCGACATGCCCTGCTAATTTTAGAGTTTGGTAGCCATTTGAGTTGGATGAGGGTAAATGGGCGATAGACGTCCTGTATTATATGTCTCAGGAATCAGAGTTGAGTTGCTTTTTTTTTTTAACTAAAATTTCTGCTTTTGTTAATTCATGCTGCTCTTTCTGGTAAATGCTGGACAAGGGTTTAGAAAAGCTGTTTGTAATCTTTCTGCTGCTTTCTTTCTGGTGCATTCTAGATTGATAATACTTTTCTCAGCGGCACTCAAAAAAATCTTATGCAACAGTTCAAATGCTTGAACCAAACAGGAGTAGAAATTTACATGAAAAATAAGGTTTCATTGTTTCTTCTTGGGTGCGAGGATTATTTTTTTCTTGTAGCACCGAAAGTATCACCAGGATTATCTTAGGTATCTCCTCCAGTGGTCAATTTTTTTTCTTTCCTGGAGTTGCTTGAGTTGCTGTTTGAGATCACGAATTTGCTCAGCTGCATAAAACAGTTGAGACATTTTGAGGGAGGCAATGCAGCACTGATACATCAAAGATTGAGTCATTCTCTCCACCTCTTTCCAACTTTTCTTTCCACTTATTTGGTGTGGAGGTTTTCATCTTCATGATAGTCACCTCATGATAACAAGACAGTTGTTTCATTTTTAGCTTTAGGTCTCATTTCCAGGTAAAGAGGTTCAAAAGCCCAAAGGGTCATGCAGTTGAGCTTGCCCCTTTTAAAAGCTGTTTTTGGAAGCTCAGTCCAGTAATGCCTGCATGCATCTTATTTGCCAGGGTTACTGGGCCACCTCTAACTGCATAGGAGTCTGGTAAAGTAGGTAATTTTAGCTGGGAGCATTGTTGCCTACACAAAATCAGGATGTTGTTAGTAAGGACAAAGGGGAGAATGGGTTGGCTGAGCAATGAGCAATGTCTGCCATACTATCAAAATCCTGCTCTTAGCATTCAAATTGTTCAATCTGGATGCAAGCCAGGTGGGATGCTCATGGACACATTTTTATTCTTCACTTTCCCTTCTATATTTTAAGCACAGATCAACAGAGTGGATAATTCATACAGATTTTCCATGGCTGCCTTCATCTACTGTGTGTCCTGTTTCTCTTGTAAAACATTTGCTGTTGGTTAGCAGAAAAGGCCTCCCCAACACTCAAGTCTGAAGATGGCATTGCCATCCCACCTTCTGGTAGGGCTGTACTAAGTTCTTTCTTCCAGAGAAGAAAGTGGGTTGTCATTAAGCCATCCATGCACTCATTTCTCTGGGACTTTTGGTAATATCTAGAGATCATGAAGGGCCAGACTGTAGTCTCAGCACTTTGGGAGGCAGAGGTGGGAAAATCACTTGGGGCCAGAAGTTTGAGACCAGCCTGGCCAATGTAGCGAGATCCTATGATAAAAAAAATTTGCCAGGTGTGGTGCCAAGTGCCTATAGTCCTAGCTACTCAGGAGGCTCAGGTGGGAGGATCACTTGAGTCCAGGAGTTGTAAGTGGAGGCTTCAGTGAGCCATGATCGCACCACCACACTCCAGGCTGGGCAGCACAGCAAGACCCTGTTTCCAAAAAAAAAAAAAAAAAAAGTAAAGAAAAAGGCAAATTTAACTGAACTGGACTTGTTCCCATCAGATACGTTATCCACAAAGGAATGAGAGTAACAGTTGAAAAATGTACCTGTGATCCTGTCCCTATCAGGTGTTAGAGAGTTTTATATTTGCTATTCCTTCTTATAGGATAAAACTTTAACTCCTTAGCATGTAACACAATGACCTGTGTAAACTGGTACCTTCCTACTTTGCCACCAACAAATCCCCCGCCATGGGCTGTAGCCTCAAGTAGCATCCAGTTGCCTGCTTTCATTACCTGACAGGTACCCACCATGCCTGTCATGCTGTTTTTTGCTACTCTCCCTTTGTTTTTGCTGCACCCTCTTTCTGGAGTGCCCCTCCCCCCACCCCACCAAACCTTGCCACTTTCTCATCTAGTTACTTCTTACTCATTCTTTAAGTTATTGGTTCTCAACTGGGAGATTTTGCACCTCCTCCACAAGGGGACATTAAGGAATGTCTGGAGACATTTTTCATTATTCCAAACTGAAGAGAGGATGCTATTGGCATCTAGTTGGGGTAGAGGCCGGGGATGCTGCTGAACACCCTACAATGCATAGGACAGCTCCCACAGCAAAGAATGATCCAGCCTCCAAATGTCAATAGTGCTAAGGTTGAGAAATGCCACTTTAAGTATTATCTTACCCAGAAAAATTTTTCAGAACTTCTCAAGACTGGCTCAGGTACCTCCCTTAATGTTGTGATAATATTATCAAGAACTTATGGAGAATTTGTATCTTGGTGGTTACTAGATTGTTTTTAAAAATAAGGCTTATTTTGAATCCACTTCTACCACTTTATGTCTTTTAACAAGTTACTGAGCCTGAATTTCCTCCTCTGCAAAAATTGATATGTAATTCCTGGGGTTGTTGTGAGATTCATGTCTAATTTATGGAACAATGCATGTTAAGTGCTTGGCACAGGGCTAGGCACTGAGCACAGAGTAGCTGCTACTGCTGCTGTTATTGTTGTTTTTATGTTTATCATTATTTATTACACTCTGTTTCTAAAATCAGGGGTGGATTTATCAAGATACCAGTGAAGCATGCACTTTAAAGCCCCTCATTTTTCTTGGGGCCCTTCTAATGCCCAGTACTTAATTCTGTATTCAAGATTTTATATTATTGTCTTAAAAACTCCACCCTTACCCATCACCATTGTATAAGCTCCAAGCTCAATGGAACTTAGAATTTTAGACTTGCCCCTCGCCAGGCTCTAACTTAAAGTCTTGATATTTGGGGCACAGTAAATATCCACTAATAGAAGTGAGCTAACCAGAACTGTAGCCTCTTTAGCAAATTACTAACCAGCCTGCAGATAAATGTACTTATTCATTGTTGTCTGTTAAAAAAAAACACTTATTGCTTAAACTCCCACTGTTGCCTCTCTCCAGTGTTGTTGGTGTTTTCTAGAGGGCATTTTACCTATCATCCGGGAATCAGTCGCATCTCTCTCCTTTTGTTCTCTCTTTGCATTTGAGGATTCACCATTGTGACAAGGACAATGCGGAAAGAAAGTGTATGCTGTTACTGATTACTTACCTAAGAGAATTCTGATGTAACTGCAACAGCAAAGTCCTGTTTCCATGGGGACTGTCCGGGTCTTGGAAATGTGTGTTAGCACAAACTTCAAGTTATTACAGTATTTGCTTTACAGTTATCTAATTTGCATAGTTTCTCCCTCCCTAGTCCCAGCAGACTCCAATCTCAGCCCTGTGTTTCCAGGAATAGCTGTGTATGTGTATGTGTGTGTGTCCGTGACTGGCTTCCAGTGCCAAGGTTGAAATGACAAGAAAAAAAAGAGCTGGACAGGTCAATAAGGAAAAACCCATGATGGTGGGATAATGCTGAAGTCCAAGTTAGCATTGACAATGACATGAGATATTGGAATTCTGACCACAGAGAAGTCCAGTGACAGACACTTAATGAAAATAGAAAGATAATAATAGAAAAAGGATTGCAAGAAAATTAAACTCTTGGGCTGGCAAGGCTCAAATAAGGATGAGAAATAACAATACAAATATCAAACTTGTCCCACTGTGTAGCTGATTGTGCAAAAAGGATTGCTTGTGGCTTTTCTTCTCTTCAATTTGATCTTTTCTCATTATTTGATAGCATACATCCTCTAAAGTAGAAATCACACAGGTCCTCTTTGAGAAACCATAGGCACAATCTCCTCCTTGACCAATTTCCACCAGCAACTGCTTATTCTGATTAGAATGGAGGCTGGGGGGGGAAGAGCCACATTTAATTATTTTTACCTGAGAAAAAGTATAGGATGTTTCACCATGGGAAAACCTCTGGTCTGCTTGCCTCTGAGACTCAGTTTCTTCATTTGTAAAATGAAGTTAACTTTATTCACCCATGAAATTGTTGCAGTGCATGTCTGAGGTAAAGCATGGGAGGTGTCTGTCTCCTAGTAATTTATTCTCAGGCACTCTTTTTCATGGGATTATTGTTTTAATAAACCAGAAGGACATGCCATTGGCTCCCAGGCTGATGTCTCCAGCCCCAACCTCTTTACTAGTCTCTAGACTCATACGTTCTGTCTCCTAGGACAGTTCCGCTTGACTCTCTCCAAGGCACCTCCAATGCACACAAACAGGATGAAGTCATCATCTTTCCTCCCAGATCTGGTCCTTCTCTAACCTCTAGCTCAAGAATGGCAGCTCTGTTTATTTGAACAAACCAGAAACCTAAACATCAATTTCTAATCTTCAATGACTTCATTCTACTTAAAATAGACTTAAAACATTTTGAATTTAGTCCCAGATCTCCTTTTATATAAAAGAAATGCAGAGATTATTTTTATGGAATCCAGGTTCTTCAATAAAGTGCTTTGTGTCTGAACCCGTTTAGCACCTGGAGTTAACAAATAAATACTATTCCCTGAACTGCTAACCTACAGGGAAGGAATCAGTGCATAGGCAAGGAGTCCTATGAAACAAAGATGCTTGCTATATATAAATTGGACTGATTTTGTTTGTTTTAGCCTCCCTAAAAAGCCAAAGGAAAATTCAATAGATTTTAGTGGAAGAAAAAAGGAAGAAAGGAAGCAGAGTTGAAATACTATTTTCTTGCCTTCAAACACTCATTATATTTATTAAAGGAAATAAATATGACTCAAAAATGTTTGTTATTGCCTTTTAATTTTTATTAAATAACATCACTCACTATATAGGCTGTTGAAGAACGTGAAACCAGCTTGAGATAATGTTCAATTATGTTTCTAACTTGGTTTTATTTCTCATATGAATATATGTCAGTGCTTACAATTGCTACTGATCTCTGATTTAGGATTTCTGTTGGAATTCTAATGCATTAATGCATTAAGTTAAAAAAAAGTATTAGCTAGAATCACATAATTTAAGATTCAACCACAGCATTGCACTTGAACCTACTGGAGGCTGTAAAATTTACGTTAACTTTTTTTTAAAGTATTGCATAGAATCACTTAATTTAAGATTCAAAGAGATATTTAGGATTAAGTCCATCACCTTCATTTTTGAAAGAAACTGGGATAGAGTAAGGTTAAGACTTGTCCAAAGTTATCTAGACAGTGGTAGCGCTAAATCTCAAATCTAGTGTTTGTGAATTTCTATCTAGTCCCTTTCCACTGGTACTGATATTCTTTACCTCTTCTATTTTAAACAGTTTTTTAAAACAAAAAACTTCTCTCACTAAAAGTTCACTGTGAAATTTTGTTTTCTGAAATCCTTTTGCCTGTTTCATGACACTCTAGTAAAAATAGAAAAGAACTTTGACACAAAACCAAGGGAAAGAATTGCTGCATCTTGACCATCTCTCTTTCCATATTTTTCTTTCTTCATTTTCCCCAAAAGTCCTCTACATATACTGTTCTGAGTCCTCTCTTGACCTTGTTTATTTCACCAGTTGCTGCAAACTTACCATTAATTGTCTTTTGAATTTATTATCAAAATAATCTAAACCTATTATTAAAACATTTATATCCTCACTTGTCTAATTCTAAACATTAAACTTTCATTTAAAGTTGAACCCAATAAAATAACTATTTTTTAAATCTCTTGGTAACTGGCTTCTAACCATCTTTTTCAAGGAGTTGAATTAATTATTAAAATAACAGATTATTTGCCTTAAGATTAAATGCTTGGTTTTAAAAGCCAATTTGTATGGGTAGACAGCCTGCTGTTCTCTGCACATTAAAATTCAGAGTACACAAAGTAGATTTCAGCTTTTTGGAGCTTCTTTGCAGATCCCACATGTTATAGTACCCTCAAAAGAAGTGTTTGCATATGAAAAATATTTAGCAACCACATGTGAGTTACATTTCTTTCTATGTATCAGAATGCAGCACAAGAGCTCTCAAACCAGTGGTGCTCTTTCCATCAGGAAGCATCATTTGTCAAACACTGATACATATAATGAGAACAAATGCAAAAATTTTTAGGTCAAGTGGCATTCTTTCTTCTTCTACCTCTTGTATGTAAACAAAACCAGGCAGTCATATATCAAAGCAAGACTGAGAATACTCAAGTTCATCTAACATTTCTCTAAGTGGTCTGGCAATTCGAGCTTTCCTCCTGCAAAGGAGCACTTCAGAACCACTGTGGTTGTTTCTGAAGTCGACATCTGTTCTGGTTGGAGCCTCTGAGGGCCAATACTTTTATCAAAACTGTTGGGAAGGGAAATTCTCTCTTGATGTGATAACAATATAGTTTCTCTTAGGTATGCAAACATAGAATTTGCATTGTTCTTAATTTACAGTTATGTAATTCTTTTTTTTTTTTTCTTTTTTTTTTGAGATGGAGTGTCGCTCTGTCGCCCAGGCTGGAGTGCAGTGGGGCGATCTTGGCTCACTGCAAGCTCCGCCTCCCAGTTCAGGCCTGCCTCAGCCTCCCGAGTAGCTGGGACTACAGGCGCCCGCCACCACGCCCGGCTAATTTTTTGTATTTTTAGTAGAGACGGAGTTTCACCACGTTAGCCAGGATGGTCTCGATCTCTTGACCTCGTGGTCCACCCGCCTCAGCCTCCCAAAGTGCTGGGATTACAGACCTGAGCCACCGCACCCAGCCACAGTTATGTGATTCTTATAAAAAACTTTAAATGAAACAAAATAGCCTCTTCTGTCATTGATCAGACACAGAACTGATAAAATATTACAGTGTCTAAGATATAACTAATATAACCAAGCATCTCTCAATGCTCGTTGGTTCTAAGTCTCTCTCCCTATTTTTATTTTCTTAGGGAGATCAAGTCTGTAATCTCTTTAGCCTTTATATTGTAAAAGCTAAAATAGATTGTCTTCTATACTGACCATCCTAAGCTGCCCATTGACAAAGTCAATTATTTCCTACAACCCCTCCACCCTTCTATTGTATGAAAGAATAACTAGGCTGACATTTGCCTCTGTGTTTTAATTTTTGGCTCCTTTTACCTGAATTTCTTTTTTCCAAGGTCTCCCAACCACTACAGCCAAAACCCAGGACAAAAAAAAATTGTGTCAGGCAGAGGGCTAGATAACACTGTGATCACCACCAACTGGCCTTTTAGAGATTCAGGTACCGTCATGTGTTCCAAGAGATTTCAACTCATGGCTGCATGGCAATGAGAAGACTGTATCTATATTTCAGTACTTGCGACATCAGCAAGTCACATTTTCTTGGGTTTATTTTTTCTGCCTTGTATTGATTCTACCCTGTTCCTAATATACCAATATCTGAAGTGCTAAGAGATATCAGCCTTCCCTACTCTTCTTATGTATGTTTTAAAATTTTAAATGATATGTCATGTTAGTATGTATTTTGGGGATGTGTGTTTTATTTTGATACACATATCTAATATTTAATGATCAAATCAGGGTCATTAGGATATCCATCACCTTGAACATTTATCTTTTCTTTGTGTTGGAAACATTGCAGTTCTTCTCTTCTAGCTATTTTGAGATACACAAAAAATTACTCATGAGGTTTGGGCTGGTGTCACATGGCCCAAGCTTGACTAACCACAGCATTGCACTGGAACCTACTAGAGGCTATAAGATTTACATTCCAGAACTTTGGTCAGACTAATTAGAATTATTAGAAAGGGAGGGTCTTCTTGCATCCATTGGTCTTGAATCTGGGCAGACAGCCTGGAGCAGCTGGCTCCTGCGGCAGACCATGACAGTGTTGGCCTGCCCGTATTTCCTAAGCACTCCCCATTTCCATGCCAGGAGACCCAAAGACTTCCAATGGTGAGCTACTGTGTCTCTTTGCCGAAGGGCTTTCTCTGGTCAAGGGAGCCCATTCAGCTTGCACATTCATGGAACAGGCTGCAAGTGCCAGAGAATTAATATTCCCAGAGCAGCTTTCTATTAGCAGCTGACTGGAGTTGGTGGATCAAAACCTTAGCTCCCTCTCTGTTTGGTTGATACATCTCTGAAGAGTAGATTTGAAATTGCCGTGTCAACATATTATTTGTTATTTAACTTTGGATGGATACAGGTGTGTGTCTGTGTGTGTGTGTGTGTGTGTGTGTGTGTACATATGTATACATATATACATATATTTGGGGTTTTTTTTGAGATGAGGTCTTGCTCTGTCACTCAGGCTGGAGTGCAGCAGTGCAATCATAGTTCACTGCAGCTTCAACCTCCCAGGCTTAAGCATTCCTCCCACCTCAGATGGGACCAGTAGCTGGGACCACAGGTACAGGCCACCATGCCCAGCTAATGTTTTTATTTGTAGATATGAGGTCTTACTGTGTTGCCCAGACTGGTCTCGAAATCCTGGGCTCAAACAGTCCTCCCGCCTCAGCCTCCCAAAGTGCTCAGATTACAGGCATGAGCCACTGCAACTGGCCTTTTATTTGTTTTTGTATGAGTATATATTTATTTGCGTATGAGTATATACATAATATTCATACAAATGCATATACAACACAAATTATTTTATATTGCTGTTAATATCTCTGACTTGGAGAGAGGCATATTTTTTCAGTATCTTTCCTGGCTTGGTTATAGAATGCTATTCCAATTAGCTCAATCAAATCACCCAACATGTATAATATTTCTGAGCTAATAGTCTGCCAGTATTTACCAGTACAGCAAAATCATTTCTGTATCAGTCAGCATTCATTTCATAGGTGCCTATCTGATTGGTCAATGTCCAGGTCATAATCCTTAAAGGCAGAGTTGACATCACAGCTCCATACTCATAACCACTACCAAAACCATGTCCTTAACTCTCCATGGTTCTAGAATCTAGTCCCACATGCTCAAATTCCTGCCTCCTCAAGCAAGTCCAAAGATAATCAAAACTGAGAGAAAGACGAATATTTTCTAGATAGGAATGGGAAAAATGAACAGTAGAACTCTGAACTCTTTATACCTGCAACAGACTAAAGGCAGGATAAATTTTTAGAGATATTAGCATGATTGAGTTATCTTATCTTCTTCCTCATCTCACAAAGAGAGCTGAATCCTTGCTGTCTCTTTGCCTTAGGATTTTTGCAGGCCTTAAAGCAAAATCCTCTTGAGATCTGAGCTTCTCTTACCTGTGTAAGTACTTGAGTCTATTAAATTTATTTATGTATAGGAGGGTTAGGAAACAAGAAGATAAGAGCCCAGAAGGCAATGGGTGCATAGTAGTGCATTTATTGACAAAGTAGCATAATAGAAGAATGCTTAGGCTCAAAGGTCCACAGTGGAATAGGACTGGTCAATGTGAGCAGTCTCTGGCCCTGTTTTCTATCAGATAAGCCTCCCGGATTCCATTTCACACACTAGTTTTTCTCAGCTGAAGAAACGAAGGTTTAGACACATTAATCTGATTTCAGAAAATATATATTTGTATTTAAAATGTATGTTTTTCAGATAAGGAAATATCTTTAGTTAGGTTACAAAATAGAGAAAATAAAGAAATGGATATTTTGTAAGCACTTGAATTTTGAGATCAAAGACCATACCTTCAATAGCCCTGTAGACTCAGTTCATCAAAGACAGTAGCTGTTCTCCTACAGTGGGAAACATCATCCCTGGAGCAAGGCCTTGTCATCCCATGAGGAATCCTAATGTCACCGTGTGTGGGAAGGGTTCCTTTGTATTTCTCACATTCCGGGCCTGGGGAAACTGTCTCATTGCTCAGCGGGAGGCTAAGGTCAAGGTCTGCTGGCTCAAGGTGATGTAATACCTTCCATGGCTTTTGACATGAACAAAACCAGGCACAGCTTTCAACTCCCTGAGACTGAGTGCTTTTTGTTGTGTTTGCAGATGCCTCAACCAGGATTCTAATCTATTTGAGAATTTTTGCCCTGTATGAATAATGCCCCAAAGGCTTTAAAAGAGAAAAATATATACAGTCCAATGTAAAGACTTATGGGTTTCAGTGGAAAACAATCCAGTAGGGAGATTTAAAAAATTAGTTTGTATTCTAGGCAACACAACATGGAGTATTTGAGGCACTTAAGACTTTTAAATATGAAGGAGTTTGTTGAATGGGAAAGCTATTCATTTGAAATAGCATGTTGGAGTTTAGAACAGGTAGGGAAACTTACCTTCTTTTTTGAAATAAAGAAAATGTTGCAAAATTGAGTTTTGCTTTGCCCACACAGGAATAGTAAGAAACCAAAGCTCTAGGCTTCATTTCTGCTAAAGAGCTCTGAGTATGTAATGTTGCAGTCACTTCTACACATTCAAGACAAGCCACTATGTGTGTTTGTAAACAACTAAAAGACCCAGCTAATCTTGAGCAACACACAAATGAGCCATCTTTGCGAATGCCAGTTGCTTGCTAATAACTTTCTAAAATTGTTCTCCGGCACTAATTGAAACTATAAATCCTAATCACATTCAAATCCTAACCACTGTATACCATTAGCTCACTTCGGTTCTTAATCTTCTTCTTCTGGGGCACTTTCTTGCTGTATCCTTCTTCCCCTAGGAGCAGCCACATTTATTATTGCAGTTCAAATATCTTGATATTCCTGTTGGAGGGCTATATAACATCTCTCTAAACATGTCAACACCAGGGCCGCTTAACAAGAATATCCACCTCAATCCTATTGGAGCAAGGTAAAAAAAAAAAAGTCAGTGAAATATATTTTCAGTTATTTCATTCTATATGCCTATAGATAACGTGGGTCAAAAGACTATTTTAATTCTGTTTTGTTAAGACAGGCTTCTTCTCTTACATAGTGGAGCAGGTAGGAGGTTCTGGTTGCTTCTAGACAATTTGCCAGACAAGAAAAATGGCTTCACAGATCATCTGACAGCTTTATTCTTGTGGCTCTGGCAGAAAAATAGGCAAAAATGATTGCAGAGGCGGCTGAGTGGAATACAACACAAAAGTTCAGAAAAATATTAACTGGTTGTAAAATGAGTGGGAGGATGTAGTAAAGGAACTGGCATTTCAGTTATATAAAATCACTTATTACAACATTTTTATAGCCAAATTATGCTCCCTTTCTGTGCTGTATCTTTGGGTCTGTTGCCTGGAATAGATGGTAAAGAATCCTTCCATGAGACACAAAATGTTTATATGGAAGAAGAAGCTATGAATCGTTTTATGGCTGAATCATGCTCCTGATCCCAGTGAAGACCCCTTGGTAGTTTTGGTCTGATTTATATCAGGCCCTGTGCTTTTATAGATCTGTTCTGGTCCCATTTACCTGCCTGAAAAGCCACTCCTGGGCCTTCTAATGGATACTTGTAATTAATGTGGAATGCTCTGATACTTGTATTGAGACAAGTCCATTTGGGAGCTTCAAATAGCTAGGACAACAGTGAAACCTCTAAGTTTCCTGGTCTTTGAAGCAGAAAAGACTGACTCAATGTTTTCTTAGATGACAGGGCACTTAGTAGAGTTATCCTCAGTTCATCCCTTTTAGCGAAACTCACTCATTAAACACAAAACAGATATCATCCTCTCAACCTTCTTGTAAGAAGTAGTAAGAACTTGGGCATTACCTTAAGAAGCTCTTTGGTAGAAAAACTGGAGAACACCGAGCATGCATCCCATGCGGTAACATGTCCTACAGTTTCAAGAGATAGTAAGATATGCTTGGTCATAGAAAGAAATTTGTAATTAAGTAGTTGGGAAAACACTGAGTGAAACAGAGTTAAATAGGTTTTTCTACTGCAGGACATCCAAGCTGTTCTAATATCTTAACATGCATTGCAGATCTTCAAGGAATATACGCATTTTTGATACGTGTTTTATAAGAGGACTCTTTGGCTTATGGAAACTTGCATGTGATCAGTGTTCCTTAGAATTTTCTAAGAAACAACGCCCTTTTCATTCAGGACTATATTAAATGAGGGAGACAAGATGTTTCCC
Organism: Homo sapiens; assembly: GCF_000001405.40. Lineage (NCBI taxonomy): Eukaryota > Metazoa > Chordata > Mammalia > Primates > Hominidae > Homo > Homo sapiens. Next base: position 67,294,034 of record NC_000003.12, on the reverse strand, counting down.
TAAATGTCAGGCAAGTTTAAATACTTTCCTTCTCAAATATTCTAGAACTCCTCATACTATATAATAATGATCTAATGTCCCCTTTTTTTGCATTTCAAATCCTAGATAATCTGGCCCCAGCCTTTTTTTCCCTTTGTAACCCATTACTTAGTTTACCTGGCTTCTCACACTGTGGCCAAACTTATTTCTTGTTGCTCTATGAATACTGTTGTTATCTCTTACCTCTATATCCTTCAGTACACCACCTTTCTCTTTGCTTCTGCCTATTTAATACTTAACCACTTTTCTAGAATCATGCAGAATCCTACCTTCATGAAGCCTCCCCCAGTTCTGCTATTTGGAGTTAGTTTCTCCCACCACATTTCATGTGGACCTCTGCTCTAGCTTATATAAACTTTCTGGTTTTCTAGTGGTTTGCTGACCTTTATGTGTTCTACTCAAATGTGAGTTTCTTGAGGGCAGGGGCTGTGTCACTCATCTTTGGGGACAGAGCCTATTACATCATCAGAACGGACAGAATCTAGGCCAAGCTAAATCAAGTTACAGCAGCTCCTAGATCCCATTTCCACCTGGCCTTCTCTTCTAGCTTTCCTGCAAGGTTTTTGAAATGACCAGGCCATGTGATGCTGGCAGGTTCTACCCTAGAGCTGGTGTAAGGCCACTCTAGCAATTCTGAGTGTATACTACTATGTTCTCATGTCTGTTTCATAGATGCATATTTGACAGGGTGCTCCTGGCTAACAGATTAGGTTCCCCAGACATGCCCAGTTTACCTGCAGAATTTCTCTAGATTTATACCATAAGACTGTACCTATGAGGTTGCAGGGAGGCAGTTGAGCTTACAAAAGGACTATTGTACCCCCTCTTTCTCCAACCACATTCTTGCTGAGGGTGCTGTCTTCATGGTCTTGCCTCACTCAGACTTTAAATCTCCCTCCCAGAGCCCTCATGTTGCTTAGGATATTTGGCTCAGACTTTTGTTTGCTGTGGATTCATCATTGATGACTGTCTTACCTCTAGGATCTGCAACTGGGGAAGACAATGTTTACCTCTCCATTCAGTTTCTTTGCCTAGCTTCAGCTCTGAGAATCCTAGCCTGGTTTAGAGAGCTGAGCCTTCCCATTTTATCAGAATAAACCTGCAGTTACTTGCACTGTTCCAGGAAGCAAAAGAATAGAGAATTAAGAGTAAATAATGAGCTCTGGAGTCAAGCTGCCTGGGTTCATATCCTGGTTTCAACACTAAAGAGCTGTAAGTTTGGTCAAATAGCCTTTGCGATTTCAGTTTACTTAGCTATAAAGTAAAATGAGAGTAGTGCCTATTGCACAACATTTTTGTGAGAATTAAAGGAAATAACATGGGTAAAGCACCTGGCACAATGCCTGGCTTGTTGTAAGGGCTCAGAAATAGTAGCTCTTATTATTATTGGAAGAACCAATTTAAATCCCAGGGATTCCCTGAGCAACATGGTTAATATCCCACGTGTCCTCCCTGTAAAATGGGTGTTCTTTAGCTACTGCTGCGTCACAAAGTAACACAACTTAGTGGCTTAGAGCAACTCACATTTATGATCTCACAGTTTCTGTGGTCCAGGAGTCTGGTGCCTACTTGGGTCACCTGCCAGGCTGCAGTCAAGGTGTGAGCCATGGCTTGGTTCTCATCTGGAGGCTTGACTGAGGAGAGCCCACTTCCGAGCTCACTCAGGTTGTTGGCAAATTTCATTTTCTTTTGGGTATGGGACTCATGGCAGCTAACTTCTTCAAAGTCAACTATAAAGACAGAAAGAGAGAGACTTCAGCATATGAAAAGCACAATGTGATCACACATACCCCATTCCCTTTGTCACAGATTCTGCCCACACTAAAGGGGAGAGGATCACACGAAGGCATGAATACCAGGAGGTGGGCATCATGGGGTCATCTTCGTGTCTATCTGCCACCAGAGGGATGATTTAAAAAGAAACAAGCTCATGGGTTGTTGTGAGGATGAAATGAGTCAACGTTTGCAAAGCATTTAATATGGTGCCTGATGCATAGTAGGTGCTCAATAAGGGTTTTCCATTTATAATCAGGCCAATGAGTGTAGGAGAAAGCTGGGTTGGAATGAATGAAGGAAGGAAGCTGCTTTCAGGATTCATAACTGAGTAGATTCTTCCCAGGTTATCTTTATGCAAGGCTAATTTCCCCAGTGGTTTTAGATTAGCGGCTGCAGGCTCTGCTGTGGGTGGTGTTGAATGTCAACTGTGGGTGGGTATTACGTGCATTAGTCATGTGTAACTAATTTAAAGTACACTGTGTTTTCAGGCAAGCGTCTGTAATTGCCATTTTTGCTAATTGTGAGAGTGACTTGTTTGCCATCTTCCCTCACAACCACAGAAAAAAGAGTCAGGAATCGAGGAGTGCACTTGAATAAATTGGCGTCCTCCTAAGTGAGGTACCCAGGTATTGGTTTGCTGTAACAAGTTGGCTTGTAGGAAAAGTTCAGAAATCACAAAGCTTGGGTCAGTTCAAAAATATCCTGGCCAACCACAGATTCTCTGGTACAAAGAGCACCGCTCGTGTATTTCCTCATTCAGCTTGGTATCTCTTCTGTTCCAGACTTTGTGCCAAATGTTCAGGAGAGAATGAGACAGGAACCTAGACAAAAATCATGCTTGTGTATTTTTAAAACGTGGCCCCCAAATTCTTTTACACTCCTTCCATTGAGGGAAAGGGGAGCTCTATGTCTCCTCTCTCTGAATCTGAGTTTTTGACTGGTGACCAGTAGAATATGGCAGAAATGATGTTGTGTCAATTTCTAGTCTCAAGCCTTAGGAAACTTGCAACCTCTACTTTCTTTTTCTTGGGATACTTGCTCTTGAAATCCAGTAGAGAGGCCACCACGTGCAGATGAAACGATAGTCAAAACTCCCTACCAGCCTTCTGGGAGAGTCATCTCATAGTGCATCCTCCAGCTCCAGTGGAGCTGAAGACACATGGAGCAGAGATGAGCTGTCCCCACCAACTCCTGGCCAAACTGCAGATTCATGTGCAAAATTATGGTGGTGGTGGTGGTGGTTTTAAGCCATTACATTTTATGGTGATTTGTTAGGCAGCAATAAAAAACCAGAACAATGCCTTTATACTTTGGGAAAGGAACTTACAATCTGGAAGGAGAGACAGATACTAGTCAAAGACTAAAACTAGCAATCATGTATCCATAGGCTCTGCAGGATAGGGACATGTTTCTATGAAGCCATAAGACGAAGGAGACTGACTTAGTCAATGTAGTCAGAGAGGGCTTCTCTGAGGAAGTAATGTTTGGTCTGAGATTGAGCGGTTGGGAAGAAGTTAACTAGATAAAGGAGAAGCAAGAAACTGCTTGTGCAAAAATCTCATGGTGAGCAAGAGCACATATTTGGAGAAGTGAAAGATCAGTGTGGCTGCAGAGGAAAGGGAAAGAGTGACATAAGATGCTGCAGTTGAGACAGATGTCCAACTAAGCCCATCCCGCACTAGGCAGTGCACTGCATTCTCCTGGGAGAATAAGGGGACACAGTGAGGCTCACAGGCATGTGTAGATGAGTGGGAGAGAAAGGGTTAAAGCTCGGCAGGGATTTGGTGTCACCTGCCCATCTTACCTACAAATGCAACCCACAGTAAATAATCATGTTGCTGGGATGGGAGAAGGCTTAGTCTGTTCTATATTGCTATAGCAGAATACCACAGACTGGGTAATTTACAAAGAACAGAGATTTGTTTCTTACAGTTCTAGAGGCTGGAAGGTCAAAGGTTGAGAGGCCTGTATCTGGAAAAGGCCTTCTTGCTGCATCATCCCATGGAGAATATGGATGGGCAAGAGAGTTTGAGGGGGCATAAGAGAAAGGGAGAGGCAAACACATCCTTTTATCAAGAACCCACTCTCTCAGTAAATAACCTACTCCTAAGATAACAACATTAATCCATTCTTGAAGGCAGGGCCCTCATGACCTAATCACCTCTTATTAGGCCCCACCTCCCAACACTGTTGCATTAGGGATTAAGCTTCCAACAAGTGAACTTTGAAGACACATTCAAACCAGAATAGGGGGTCTTGATCCAGTAGGGTATTAAGTGCTGTCTGGAAGAAGAAAGACTGAAAAACATTCTCTTAACAGTTCCAACTCCCTTTCTAAACTGCATTTTTCAGCTGACCTAATTCAGTCGCAATGTCTGCAGGAGCTTTTAATAGATTCACAGGGGCTAGTGTTTCACAGACTGTTCTCTATTTTTACATCTTTACAGTGAAGAAATTATTCTTTATAGCTAAGCATACTTGCTGGAATTTTTGCCTGTGTTTTCTCCTTTTGCTTCTGTGTAGATAGAAAAATGTTGAGCAAAGACCTTTATATACATCTAGTTCATGTACATGAAGACAGTGGCTTCACCTCTCTTCTTTTGTCCGACTTTTTTGATTGTCTCTTCTTTTTCTAGCAGCATCTTCTGCTCCTAATCCTCAAATTCTTCTCTTCCTTCCTTTCCATGTCCACAGCATGTCCACATCACCTCAAACCTCAGCCTCAACTTCATTTAAGCAACAGATATTTTCAAACACTTCTTGAGGACAAAGCCTAGGAATGGGAGAAGTAGGAATGAGGACTGGAATAATCTGACAAGGTCAGTGGCTCTCAATTCTGACAGCATATTAGAATAACTGGGAGCTTTGAAACATGTTGAGATATTGACCCTATTTCCAGAGGTTCTGATGATTTTGTTGGTTTCTTACTATTAATTAGAGTGGGAGGTTACAAATAAACAAGGAGAGGGGGCTAGAATGATCCACGTGGTAATCAATTAGACTCAGCAGCATCAGTATGAATGTATGTTTAGCCTAGTATAAATACAGAGAGTTACATGTAGAAATACTTATATGTTTATAGCTGGATTAGTAGATCTGTATATATCGCCTTACTTTGTTAATTGAGACAGCCTAAAAACAATACCTCAGTAACAATGAGCACACCTAGGGCCCAAGTCTTGGTTTCTAATATGATTCTCCAGCAAAGGGAACCAGGGATCCTTGGAAAAATGGCTGACTTTAGAACTGAGGCAAGAAATATACAAGATAAGCCTGGAGCATGTTGTAATACCAGAAAATAAGGAAGTGCTAAAACACACACATACATACACACACACACACACACACCACAACACTGGGGGCATGTCACAGGGGCGGTGAAAAAGCTCCCAGTGGCCAAAGCTGAGAAAATTTCAGCAACAAAGTAAATAAAGTAGTATTGGTTTATGACCCACAGTATAAAATAAACATCCATGAGTCCATACTAGTATACATAAATAATTGAATAGACAAATACATGTAGAGAAGCAAAACCTCCCATGAGAAGAATTCCAAATAATTTATGTGCATACTGTGCCCTTAAACAGGTGCAGTACCACTCCTCACTTCTTAAGTGTGAGCTATGCATAGTGACTTCCTTCCAAAGAGCATTTACAGTGTGGATAGGGGAAAAATAGTAACTTTACATTGGAGAAAACTGACAAACAATAACTCAGCCAACCAGGTGACAAAGGTTAACAATAACAGTGATTAAGACATGTTGAAAACATGCATCCTTGATATGATATGGTGAAAGTGGCATATCATATGGTGAAAGATTGTCTATGTAATCTTCCTCTTAAAAAACAGTAACTCCAGTCTAATCATGAGACAAATATCAGACAAACTCCTAATTGTATTAGTCTGTTTTCACACAGCTATAAAGAACTTCCCTGAGACTGAGTAATTAATAAAGAGGTTTAATTGACTCAGAGTGCTGTATGGCTGGGGAGGCCTCAGGAAACTTACAATCATGGTGAAAGATGAAAGGAAGCAAGGCACCTTTTTCGCAAGGCAGCAGGATAAAAAGAGAGCAGGCAAAACCACCACTTACAAAACCATCAGCTCTCATGAGAACTCACTATCACATAACAGTATGGGGGAAACTGTCCCCATGATCCAGTCGCCTCCCACCAGGTCCCTTTCTACATATATGGGGGTTACAATTTGAGATGAGATTTGGGTGCGGACACAGAGCCAAACCATATCACCCATTGAGAAACACTCTGCAAAATACCTCACAAGTACTCCTTAAATTTATCAAGGTTATCAAATACAAGAGAAGTCTAAGAAATTGTCACAACCTAGAGGATCCTAAGAAGATATGACAACTAAATGTAATGTGGTATCCTGGATGGGATCCTGGAACAGAAAAAGAGCATTAGAGGAAAAACTAAGGAGATCTAAATAAAAGATGGGAATTAGTTCATAGTAGTGTATAAATATCAGTTCATTAATTATGACAAATGTGCTATATTAACATAAGAAGATAATAGAGGAAAGTGGATGTGGATTCTATAGGAGATCTCTGTTCCGTCTGCTCAATTTTTTCTGTATATCTAAAAGTACTCTATGTTTATAAGTTTATTTAAAAATTAGAAGTATCTTTCACCATATTTTGACTACCTCTATATTATTTGTCTTCTGGCCAACTAACTAGACTGTAAGTCTATGGAAGACAAGGAACCCTCTTTCCTTTCATATTATTTTAGCATGCATTACAAGGTCCCACAGTATGTAGGCAACCAATGTTTGTCAAATTGATGGCAATGGCCTGATAATGTGTAATTTTTAAGTACCAAATGTTTCTTTTGTAAAATTGAGAAAGATTTAGTTAAAACCAAAAAAAAGCATATTAAAATCACTCCTGATTGCATAATGTCTCTTTAGATCCCTGTTAATGTTTTGATATTCTTCTAGACATTCTTTCTTTTCCACAGTAAAACTGGGATCATGCATTACCTACTTTTTTTGAAACCTGTTTTCACTAATTATTTGTTATAAATATTTTTCCATCCCATAAATAATCTTCTTAAAACATAGAATGAGAATTTTAATAGCTAAATAAGTTTAACTGCTAATGTTTGCCCCAGAACAAAGGGAAGGAAGGAAAGAGGCAGAATAAATAGGGAAGAAAAATAGTTGCAGGTGCTTGCAGTGTCTGTGACGCTGGGCATCAGGAATGCATGGCTTGTTGGTGTGATGGGAGTTTGGCAGGCAGAGTGAACACTGGTCTTCCTTGCTTCCAAAAGTTCACTTTTTCTGCAGATAAAATGACTACAGAGGTAATTTTAATGTCCCCCTGCCCCCCGCTTTTCCACTGCAAATTAGCAGGAAGGATATCCACCAGCAAGTCCGACAGCATTCTCAGTGCCATGCTATTTCTTTGTCTCATTAGTTGGATGATTCCAAGGCTTGGTGGTTAGTTGGCAGACATTAAATAGTACTGTTGTGTCTTTGTGGGGCTCCAGGTTTTCAGCTCAAAGCCACTTTCTGGCCCATTTGTACAGTGATAAAATATTACCAGGAAAGAACTAATTGAGGGGATGCTGGTTTTCTCTCCTGTCCTTAAAGCATATTAGAGAAGTGACCAGCAGGATATCGGGATTGCAAATCCTCCATCAATTTCTACAAAAAAAAAATCAACTTCCACGGAGACGAGGCAGGTTTTTTGTCTATAGAACAAACTGTACTTGGGATAGTCTAAGTAATCTTGCCTTGGTTTTTAGTTAGGGAAATGCTTATATTTCTTTCTTAACCAATTATATGGAAGAAAAAAATGAATCCAATAGGCCTTATCAAAATCAGCTGCTGGGTCTCAAATTCTGTGATATCCATCCCCCCTTTGAACATTTGGAAAAAGAATTGAAGTGAAAACTTTTTCTGAGTGGGTTGCTCTGAGTGGATACTTATTTTTGGCTGGCATAACAAGGACATTTAGAAAACAATGAATGTTTATGTGGGGAGTGAAAAAGGCAGTCATGAAAGTGTGGGACCAGTGTGGATTTGGGGTTTTGAATAGCATGTGGGTGACTACTGACATTTGAGAACTTTTATCTGGGGTGGATTACGGATGTAGACATTACATGTGTAGGCTCTTAAGTGGCATTTAATAATGCCAAATCAACAGCTGATTCAATTTGGTGAAAAGGAAAACCCATGACTCGATCAATCCTTTTGAGAAAGATACTGTGGGATCGTGTAGATAAGTGTTTCTGGATGTTGGAGAATGTCTATGGCCACTGAAAACCAGCATTTCTAAAACAGAACATCAAAATTATGTTTCTTACTGTAGAGAAAATTTCAGGATCGTGTGAGTCCATTATAAATCCCACCCCAGGAAGGTTATTAGAAAAATAATAAAAACCCTTCTTTCCTTTCTTCTTTTTTTTTTTTTTTTGAAGGAGTCTCACTCTGTCGTCCAGGCTTGAGTGCAATGGTGCAATCTCAGCTCACTGCAACCTCCCCCTCCTGGGTTCAAGCGATTCTCCCCCCTCAGCCTCCTGAATAGCTGGGATTATAGGCACCCACCACCACACTCAGCTAATTTTTGTATTTTTAGTGGAGATGGTGTTTCACCCTGTTGGCCAGGCTGGTCTTGAACCCCTGACCTCAGGTGATCTGCCCACCTCGGCCTCCCAAAGTGCTGGGATTACAGGCATAAGCCACCACATCTGGCTGAAAAGCACTTCTTAAAGATTGTTTTGATCCTGAGAGATTGCATGTTACTGCAGTATGTAGACTATATACTGGGATCATGGAATCAGAAGGTCTGGTTACTACCTTGCTATGCAATGACAGCAAATCACCAAAGAGTAATCAATAGCATGTTCCTATGATGAGAGCTGATAATGTGGAATCTGAAAGTTTGGGTTCAAACCTTTGGTCCATCATTTCCTAGCTATAGTGCTGTAAGCAAGATGTAGAATCTTTCTGAGCTCCAGTTTCCTCTACTCTAAAATGAGGATACCGATAATGAATACAAGCCCCACAAGCTCTATCACATTATTATAAGAATGAAAGGAGGAAGATGTGAAAGCCAACTGCCATATGACATGCTGCCACAGACCCAAAATTGGCATTTCTATGTGGTTCTAGTTCTGATCTAGGAAGCTTCAAGACCTTGGAATGTGTCATTTAATCACAAGTTGCTTTTACCAACTTTGCTTACACAAAGCCAGCCTGACTCTGTCCCTAGAGCAAAAGAAAAAACTTTCATCCACAGGCATTCCCCCACCAGCATGCAAAGAAACTGTTCAAAAAGGCTAAAAAAGTGTAAGGCTTTCCCATGAAGGAGACTTGACTGGCCAGGCACTGTGTTTAAGTAGGAGAAGTTGATGATGGTCACCTAAAATCGTTCTTGAATTCCAAGCTGGTACAGTGAGTAATGCCAGACCCAGTATTCCAGTTGGCCTAATAATTAGAGAGGGAAAATCTTCATAACTGTCTCTCCATGAATAACCATGAGGACCTCACAAGAAGGCAGGATCGACTGGGCCACATCTCACAGCCTGGACATGAATAGGAGACCCAGGGTTCCCACAGCCAGGGCTTGTAGGACACAAGATCTAAGACTCTTCACATTTTGGACTGTCACTTAAATCTTTTAAAATTTATACACTGCCTTATCGCTCCCACTACTAAAGTGTAAGCTCCTTGAAGATAGCTATGTGACTTGTTCATCAACAGGAAACCACGTGGCAACCAAAGACAAAATACGTGATTTAGAGTTACAAAACCTGGGTTTAAATCTCATCTCTAAAACTCCTGGGCACTATGACATTAAACAGGAAACACCTAAACCCTTCTAGGCCTTATTATCTGCTCTGGTTGATAGGAATTATTGCCTTCAACTGGGTAGTTTGGCTTCATTTAAATTTACTTAATATTTACACTGTGTGCTAGGACATACGAGCTTGGTGCTTTTTCCATGTATTCATTCTTCAAACCTCACAGCTCAATGAGATACAATATTATTACTTCCATTTTGCAGATGTCATCATTTACCATTTTGAAGAGGTATTAGAATGCCCTGGGACACATTTTTTGGTTGTTCTGTACTCTTTTCCATTTGGACTCACTTCTTGGGTAATATCATCTGGCCTCATGGCTTTAAGTACCAGCTAGATATCAGTGACTTCCAATTTAATACATTGAGCTCACACCACTTCTTAAATGTTGGATCCACATACCCAACTGCCCACTCAATATCTCAACATTCTCAGGCATATGAGAATGATCTAAGCCAAGCTCGTGATATTCTTCCCCCTCTAAGTGTGATTTTTTTCCAGTTACACCTTTGCTATGGTATTGCCCAAAGTTCGTGTGTTGGAATCTTAATCCCCAAAGCAACAGTGTTGAGAGGTGGGACCTTTAGGAGGTGTTAGGTCATGATGGCCCTGCCCTCATGAATAAATTAATGCCATTATTGCAGGAAAGGGTGTGTTATCACTGCAGTGAGGAGTGGGTGCCTGATAAAAGGATAAGCCTGGCTCCCTCTCCTCCCCACCCACCACGTGCTCTTGCCCTTCCACCTTCCACACTGGGATGATGCTGCAAGTCCCTCGCCAGATGTGGGCCCCTTGACCTTGAATTTCCCAGCCTCCAGAACCATGAGAAATAAATTTATAGTCTTTACAAATTACCCAGTCTCAGGTATTCTGTTACAGCTGATGGACAAAGACAACCCTTCTCAGAAAGTGTTAACTCTGTTCTTTCAATTGCTCACGCCAAAAATCTTGGATTAACTCTTTAATCCTCTCTTAGTCTGACATTCCACATTCATGAAAACAATCCTGCCAGCACTGCCTCTGAACCCCTCTCATCTGGGTTTCTACTGCTACTCCCTAGTCTAAGCCATCATTGTCTCTCACCTGGATTATTTCAGAAGCCTCCTAACTGGTCTCGCTACTTCTGACTTTGCCCCATTGTGGTCAGTTCTTAACATAACAGCCAGAGTAGTGCTGCTGGAATATTGTTGGTTGGTGTGTTTCTATTAGTCTGCTCTCACGTTGCTGTAAAGAACTACCTGAGACTGGGTAATTTATAAAGAAAAGAGGTTTAATTGGCTCGTAGTTCAACAGGCTGTACAGGAAGTGTGATGGTTAATATTGAGAGTCACTTGAGTGGATGGAAGGATGCAAATTATTGTTCCAGGTTTGTCTGTAAGGGTGTTGCCAGAGGAGATTAACATTTTAATCAGTGGGCTGGGAAAGGCAGACCCACCTTCAATCCATCTGGGTGGCCACATTCTAATCAGCTGCCAGCATGGCCAGAATAAAAGCAGGCAGAAGAACATGGCAAGACTAGATTGGGTAAGTCTTTTGGCCTCCATCTTTCTCCCATGCTGGATGCTTCTTGCCCTTTAACATCAGACACCAAGTTCTTCAGCCTTTGGACTCTGGGACTTACACCAGTGGTTTGCCAGGGTCTCTCCGCCCTTTGGCCACAGAC